>NW_019805495.1:0-305244 GCF_000001405.40 Homo sapiens
TCTGATGATCTTGGAAGTGCAGAAGCAGGCTCCAGTGTTCCAATAGCTCCACATAAAGTTAATAAAAGTTAGCTGGGAGATGTAATTTAGGAAGCATCCTAGCCAGCTGACTGGTCAAGCAATAAATTGCCCAACCCAGAGAAGTGGTTGACAGCATATATCTTTGGTGACATTGTTGAGGAGCTTGGCTGTATTGTATGAGTGGTTCTTGAAGAGAGATAACTAAATGAATCTGGATACCATCAGAAAACTAGGCTCATCAATAATACAGAATCCAACATACCCCTGGAGCATCTGAGCATCAGATTGGGTAAGGTCAGGGGTACCTTCTCTATACTACCATATCAGCAGCCACAAAAGAGGATTATTTTTCTCTCAATTCTTCTTCTTTGCCTCAGTGGTAAAGTAACGAGAAACTAGGATAGAGAGAAAACATGAAGGACGTTTAAAGGCAAAGTCATCTACTTCTGTTCCAGGTGCTAAATCAGGGAAAAATGTTCAAACAGTAGATCAACCATCTTTGTCCTCTACTATTCTTCAAATTTCAAGTCTTTTCTGAATAGAATGGAAAGAATGAGGATTCTGATAAGAAAACTATGTTTTAAACTGAAAAGAAATGTCTTAAGAACCCAAGGTAATCAAAATAATTATGTATTTAACATAAGCTTCCTTGAAGGGTTCTGCCACCTTACTGGGAAGCTATAATTTTAATAAATAACGTAACACATTGGGAAGCATAACACATTAAGAAGCAATAATTTTAATAAATATCTGTTTATATTAATACTTCAAATATTGGAAGTTCTTCAAGAAACCAGTGGCACTATTTTTAAGTTATTGTTCTCTGAGAAAAGTATGACCTTGAAGCTAAACTTTTGGATATGTATGCTGAGAACTTGGAGGAGAAATAATTTATATGCAACTTAACTAAGCAGTTTAAACATGAAAAATGTACTAACCATAGTGCACTTAAATGGTTAAACCATAAAGGAGGACACAGAATACCTTGATTATACTTCCAAGGTGTTGGTATTAGATTGTTTCAGATAATTGTACCTGCATCTTATTTGTCCTGACAGGGCACAGATTATTCTTTGGCCTAGGTTGATAAACTGAACTGCACCTTTATTCACAGTATGACCTATTCCTTCAGCAGAGTCTAGACATTTTGTGGCAATATTTCAGTGCTGCTTACTTATACATATTTGGTAGTTTCTTTGAGTGGACTAAATCTCCCTTTTTAGTCCTTGCACTCATACTTCTTATCTGAAAAAGGAACAAAATACTTGTAGAAATCTACTTGGTCACCTTATTCTGAGGATCTAGTCGTATGACCTGTCTTTCCATCTTCTCTCAGTAATTTAGAGGAAAGTCCCTATCCATATAATCTGTCAGATAATTCTTACACAAAATTTATACATTTCATCTCTGATGACCACTAGGTAGAAGTCCCCCTACTGTCATGTTGGTTTCATAAATATCAGTGTTCATGCAGTGTGTGGGCCGATTCAGAGCTTCCATATACCTACAGTTCTATGCTAAAAATAAGAGGAAATCATTTGTTTCCTAGGCAGCAATTTCATGGAACATGTATAGTTCTCCTTTGAAGGTGTCCTAAATGGTGAAGTTTAGTATTTGCAATATTAACATGTTTGGTTTTTAAAAAAACTATTAATAATGTGCTTTAACAATCATAGATTGCCAAATTAAGCAACTATTAATACATGTTGACCAAGTTCAAACTTGTGCACAAGGAGAGCTAGGTGTTCTCTCTGTATAAACTCTACATAGACTATATAAAAGGGGATAGGGAATAAGAACAGAAGGAAGGAACAAAGGTAGGAAGGAAGAGAGAGAAAACAAGAGAGAAAGAATCTACAAATAAACACCAAACCCACAGGAAGATTTTCAGACTAAAACAAAATGCTTAGTATGATGATTGGTAGGTATTATATGTTCAATCCATGGTAGCTTTTAAATTTTGTTAAAATAAAAACAATCATTTCTGTGTAAAATACTTAGGAAAGCACTCGAGTGTTAAATGTATCATGAAATATAAGTTCAGTGTTTATTATAATCAGGCCAAAGATAACAATGAAGGCAAGACATTGATAAATCAGGAAAGCAAATTCTTCTTTTGTTGGCTTAAATTTATATTAATATGTACAGATATACAGCCTATGTAAATTATACCCCCGTTTGCAAACTATTTAGCACCTTCTGTGTAGAAGGTTTTATATAGAGTATTCATATGCATTAGCTCTTTAAATTCTGAGAACTCTAAAAGAAAGCTATCATTGTTGATATTTTAAAGATATGAAATAGATGCTCAGAGATTTTAAGTGATCATCTCAAGCTTGCACAACTAGTAAATCTAAGATCTAGAATTCAAATTAGGTCAGATCCTTGATGTTCAACCACACACTAATCCAGAGGTCTTCTGCTTTGTTTTTTCCCTAGGAAAGTAGATCTAATATTTCCATAGAAGCAAAAAGTAGCTAACAGAACTTGACAAAAAGATGTTTAGATAAATCAAGCTATAATTTATCGAATAGAGAAAGGAATCAAAAACATCTGATGCCCCAGGCTATGAGTAGGACATAAGTCAAAATTATAAATTATTTTATTACTGCTTTTTCTCCGGAGAATTTTAGAGCTAGGTTAAAAACACAGTTTGATAAATACATCTAATAGTGATTCATAGTATTATTATTTCAAACCTGAAACTTTCCTGGACTCATACAGATGCCTAAGAAACACAGCTGCTACAGAATAAGTTCATTGAGTACTCCTGGCGAAAGGCATATCCTGTCCCTTTTATTTTTTCCTTCATCTCAAGTCTCTTTAAAAATAAGTCCCAGAAAATGATCCATTAAAACAAGACATGAAAAATAGCTCTTAAGTGAATTAAAACTTAACATTCAGTTAGTTGTATAAAACTGTAAAATTATTTCATTACATTTACAATAGGCTTTCTTATTTTGATATACTTTCATATTTTACAGGAAAAAGCTTATAATAAAATTTAGCTGTTGTCTTGATTTATTTTTAAGGTGTCAAAACCTAATTGTTCTTGTCAATTAAAAGAATATTTTCTTTCATTTTTCTAGAGTTGGGTGTCCTCCTCCTATAGGTTGGTGACATTGTGAATGTTTTCAGTTAACAACCGGCTTGGACACAGGCATTCAACTGGTTCAACTTTTCCAGCTTACTCTCTTAGATAACAGAAGTAAATGTCTCAGTTTCCTTTGTCAGTTTAAACACAGACAATTAGGGTCATGCTGACAAATAAGATGCTCTGCGAGTTTCAGTCGATTCGATTCTGAAACTGAAAATACTTTTGCTGAAATTGATTGAATATTTATGCCCTGTTAACAGTGGTTTGGCCACATTACTTTGTGTGAGGTATTGTGAGGGCAAACACAGATCAAGAGAGATAAACTTGAAAGAGTTATAGAGTTTTGTTACTCACAGTTCCCTAGGGAGAACACAGCATGCCATGCAGTGTCACTCAAGAGATACCGGGACTGGTGTAAAATACACACACACACACACACAAATATACACACATACATACAAAAATATATATACACATATGTGTACATACATATACATGTAAACATGTATGTGTGCATGTATATACACATACACATATGTATGCATATACACATGCATGCATATATACATGCATGTATATATGTATATAAAATATATATGTAAAATTATATAAAGTTTTCTTTGTTTCTATTTAAATTCTTTAGACCTCCTTCTTCATTATTGTGAGACATAATTCATTTTGTTAAGGGAACAAAGACAACCACTTCCATTCTTCATTTTTCCTGCTACTGAGACTGAGCCAGCCAAACCAATATCCTTGCCATCTCTCATAAAGAACTTATGTCTTCTCTGTGCACATACAAATATCTCTCTGCTCTTTCCAAGTCACATTTTGCTGCTCCTTCAGAAGGTAAAGAATAATTTTATGAAAAATTTTATGTCACTCTGATCTAGTAATTAGATCTGTAATTTATTACTCTCTACCATTTGGATGCTTGTGTAGGCTTCACAATCCTCAGATTGGAGCTTACTCAGAGTAGATATGTAATAAGTATTTGTTGAATGGTTTCAACTCTACTTCACGCAAGTGCCCTGTGGATACCCAATCATGAATATTTTGAGGGTAAAACCCTAACCGTGTGGTTTGTCTCACATGCCTTAGTCCAAAACTGTATAGTTGATGTCTACCTCATTTATTTAACTCTATATTGGATTGTGACAGATATAATAATATATTGATACTATGATATATTAACCAGGGTCATGTCTAGCAAGAGAAACATATATAAAGAAATGACAATACACATTCTTATTTCATTTCAATTGAAACAGTTGCAGAAGTAACAAGTGGAATGTAATTAGTGTATATTAACATGGAGATCTAACTTGGCCTGAAGAGCTATGAATGGTTTCCCTGATAAAGTAATCATTTAAGCTGAGATCTAAAGGATAAGTAGGAAGGAGTCAGTAAATATTTTCACTTTACTTCAGTATTGTTCACCAAATTTCTAAATGTGATTTCAATTTACTGACATTCACATGATTATCTATTAGGTAAATCCACCTGGGGCATCAGATGGTTTTTAAATTTAAAAATGTGACTCTAGAATGAAAACTAGAGTGCTATGCAGGAACACAATGTTTGTATTCTAAATTTCTTATTATTTCCAAAAAACTTTCATCCAAAGACTACATGTAATTATTTATTTGCCTTATTTTGTAGGCAATAGAAAAGAATTTTGGAAAAGTTAGCAACATCCATAGTAGTGTTACATTGATGACTATGATATGCTAGTCCTGAAGTTGTTAAGCTTATAAATTTACAGTTGGTTTTCAAAGAAGTAGTTAAGCAATAAATATTTATTTTATTGCACGTTGTCTAAATATGAACATCTGCATTGTAATCAGTTACATCATATGTACTAATAGGGACTGCTGTTTATGATAGTCATTGTGAATGTCCTATGGGTACTCTCTTGAGATTCACATAAGATAAAGAACATGAAAGAGCCATGGAAAGGATAAAGCATTAGGCAAATAACACGTTATATTTGTGACATTCTTTTCCAATTTTCCTGTTGTTTAAATGTAAAAACATAAGAATTTTAAAGTGTTTCAAGAGAATACTTTAATGATGGATCAAAGTTAACAAGAAGAAAAGAAAGAAAGAAGATAAAAGATAAAACTCCAAAGAAGATAGCTTGAAAAAATAATTAGCAATGCACAACTTAAAGATTCTATTAAAGTTATGAGTAGCAGAGTAAAATTGATTGGATAACTCAAAAATGTAAATGTAACTAATATCACTGAATATTTAAAAATGGTTAAAATGATACATTTTATGTTATGCATACGTTACAATATAAAAAGATAAAATGTTAATAATATTTTATTACTGCATTAAAATGCATTAATATTTTTATCATTATGCATACTTTACCACAAAACATTTTTTAAAAGCTTAATAAACAGATTCTAGAAACATATTAGAAGTATAATAAATCATTACCAGCTACAGTTTTCCAGGAATAAAACAATGTTTTATTATTGGGTAACCTATTAACAAATTTCCCTAGGAATGACAAATCACAATAATCTCAAAAAAGTTTATAAAAATTGTTAGAATTTAACATTTATTTTGTACAAAATAGCAACAGTTAGAGATATATTATGCTTATCGGAAAACAGCATTCTCATTAAAGCCAGAAACAAAACAAGGAAACTCTTTACTACCACCACTATATAGTATTGTCTGTGAGTTATAAGACAATACAATTAGATAAAGGAAAGTAAGAGGTATAAAAATTAGAAAGGATATGAAATTATTCTCTGGAGATTTTGTAATTGTTTACTGTAAAACAAAATTTTTTCAAAACTTTGTAGAGTCAAAAATATTTATAAAGGATAAAATAATTAAGCTGAAAATTAGTTTATAAAAACCAATTAGTTTAAAACAAAGAACACTACAAAAATATCATGAAGGTAAATTCCCATTTCAAATAAATGTTAAAAGGTAGTAAATATAACAAGCACAGGAAGACTCAAAGAAAATTTTAGAGGACAAAAGGGATACAAAAGAAGGCGTTGAGTGCAAATAATGATTTGAAATAAGAGGTGTTAAAATATAAAGACAGCAATTCTCCCTAAATTGTTTAACATTTAACACCATGTCAACAAAAATGCTTTGAGATTTACTTAGTAGCTTGGGGGGTAGGGAAACTTTTTTTTTCTTTTTTTTCTTTTTTTTTTTGTAAAGTGAACAATCAGTAAAAACCAGGATTTTTTTTTTAATAAAAAGATACATACTGAGGAGAGAATAGCCTTATTAGATGTTGTATTAGTCAGGGTTCTCTAGAGGACAGAATTAATGGAATATATATATATATATATATATATATATATATATATATACACACACACACACACACATACATATATATATACACATTCTATTTATATATATATATTCTATTATATATATATACTTAATAAACTCCTATTTTTTTCTATTTCCCACAAAATTCTTTTCTATTTCCTACAAAACAAGGCAAATAAATAATTACATGTAGCCTATATATATTATAGGAGTTTATTAAGTATTAAATCATATGATCACAGGGTCCCACGATAGGCCATCTGCAGGCTGAGGATCAAGGAGAGGCATTCCAAGTTCCAAAACTAAAGAACGGAGTCTGATGTTCAAGGGCAGGAAGCATCCAGCACAAGAGAAATGTAGGCCAGGAGGCTAGGCAGTCTCTCATTTCACACTTTTCTGCCTGCTTATATTCTAGCCATGCTGACAGCTGATTAGATGGTGCCCACCCAGATTAAGGGTGGGTCTGCCTTTCCCAGCCCACTGACTCAAACGTCAATTTCCTTCGGCAACACCCTCACAAACACACCCAGGATCAGTAGTTTGTGTCCTTCAGTCCAATCAAGTTGACACTCAGTATTAATCATCACACATATTATATCAGAAAACTGTAATAGTTTATACTGTATGATATAAACAAACAGATCAATGGACCAGAATATAAAGTCTAGAACAGTAGTGAGTAACTAGAACATTAGTAAAGTCTTAGCACTTTAGGGATGGATAATTCTTTTTGTCAGATGCTGTCTGGTACATTGTAGGATTTAACAACATCCATGGCCTTTACCCAAAAATGACAATAACTCTCCCAAGTTGTGACAATCAAAAACATCTCCAGAGACTGCCAAATGTCCCCAAAGGCGCAAAGTTGCCATTATTTAATACCTACTGATATAAAAATATATCCAAATATAATTGGCTATTTATATACAATAAACATGACCTTCAAATTAGTAGAGAAAAAATAGATTATTTAATTTTATGGCTGGTAAAAGTGGATAGAATTCTGGAATAAATAAAAACAGATCTATACCTCACACATTAGAACAAAATAAATTCTGATAACTCACACAATGAAATGGAAATAGACATGAAATATAAACTCTAAAAGTCTTAGAAGAAAATAAACAATTTGATTATTCAAAATAATGTTTCTAAATAAGAACAAAACTCAGAAGTCATTAGAAAAGATTGATAAGTTTGATCCCTGAAAAATTTTTAAAAATCTCATTTTATCAACAAGATAAAGTCAAGAGATAAATGGGAAACTAGAAAAATAATTTCAACTTGAATCACAAGGAGTTACTTTCCTTGTTAAGAAAAGATTACAAATCAATAAAGAAAACAGGATGAACTCAAAACAAAAAGTAGTAAAGATTAGGAATGGTTGACAGAAAAATTATAGCTGTTTCTTAAGCATATGAAATAATATTTTGACATATTCATAAAAAATGCAAATTAAGATCATATTGATATATAATCTTTCTTATATCCTGTTTGCCAAGATCACATGTGTGATGACATGCTGCATTGGTGGGTGTATGAGGAAGTGGCTGATCTTCAAAGATGGATATGTAGTTATTAGGAAAAGAAGGAGATAAAATTATGAGCATTTCAAAACCAAGTAATTCCTGTTGATGTGTAAATTAAAACAACTACTAAGGAAGGAATTTTGAAAATATACTTCAAAATAACAACTGAAAATACCATTTGGACATATTCTAGAACATATTCACAGTTGTGCAAAATGATATATTTAATAACGATATTTGTTATATTATTGATAATACAAAAATTCTGGAATCAGCTTGTTTATAGGCACTGGTAAAACATTACAGTACATCACTTCAAAGGAATCCTGTACATTCATGAAACCACTATAGTTGTACTGAAAAATAAAAAAATAAGGTGTAGAACAGTGTGCTTAATATGCTATACTCAATTTGTATAAAAATAAAGAACACATAAACATTTCAGATACATCTGAAAGGACATAAGAAAACAGGAGGTATACTTACTTTTACTCATTAATGTATTATATATTTTAAATGATATATCATGTGCATTTATAAGATATTCACAATGAGTAAATACAATTTTTAAATGCATTAAGGACACAGTGACAAAGCATCCACAGTCAGCACACAGGTATATCCTATGTGACTGCCTCTGTTGACTATTGAACGGAATTACCTATCACAGAATCATACGTTACCAATGGAGGTGTCACAATTTTAGCCTGGGTTCAGCAGTAGGAAGGGACTGGCTAGAATTAGTTTTGGCATCTTACACCTACTACTGGGCTACTTAAAGGGCAAACTAATCACAAGCATTGCAGGAGCATGAAATACATGCATTACTTAAAAAAAGATTTTGTGTTTTATTCTTGCTATTTGAAAATAAATATTGAAGCATCTATCATGGGGATAAATCAAAATATTGTAGCACTTTTTGGAACTTTTTAAAAGATAATTTTAAATTTTCTTTGAATTTTTATGGGGGTGAACCTTAAGCATTTTCTTTCTTTTTGTTTGTTTGTTTGTTTGTTTGCTTGTTTGTTTTGAGTGGGGAGATTTAGGACCATTATTCATCCTAAAATAAATCTGTCCTGGTGTCCAATAGATCTCATTCACTATATAACATTTTCCTACACCTTTATGTCACACTAACCATCTACTATCCACACTGCCATTTCTTGCTAGGGTTGAATGTTACGAACCTTAGCACACCTTTCTCATAATGAAAATGGCATAACCTGGGCCCGATCATTTCCACTAGGGGAAAACAGGTGTTTGCTACTCTTTAGGGCCCTGGCAGGTCACACACTAGAATGCCTCCATCTATCGGACTTCAAGGATCATCAGCCACCTCGATACCATTGCTGTGTATGTACCAGGCTGCTTCTCAGAGATGGTGATGCCCATTCGAACCCAGTATAACTTTGCTATCCTGTTTTGCATACTGTGAGCAGAGATTCTGGTTGCATTTCTTCCTTGAAGGAAGCTCTACGACTTAAGTTATTTTCCATAGTCCCTGTAAGTTTGAGTCTTAATCAAGATAATCCCCAGTAGACCAACCGTTAGACAAAGTGAATTTGAAGCAGAGAGGATAAAGAATAACTAAGGGGGTGAGAAGTTATTCGTTCATTTATTCTAAAAATATTATTACATACTAACTCCGTATCAGGCATTGTGCTAAGTGCTAGAAATACTGAGATGTGTAAGGCTGAGTTGCTGTTCTTAGATACTCAAATATTATTAGGGTAACTTTCATCAAAATTACTTTCAAAATTTCATAGAAACTGCCGGAGGCTTCATGTACTAATGCTTTCATGCATTTTAAAAAATTCATCAATAGCTACGTTGTATTAGTCTGGGTGTTGCTTTTTGATGATGCTTCTTTGATATCTACTGTAATTAATTACCACAGGATGTAGGCTCTTTGATTTCACAATTCAGCTTAAAGAGGAAAAAGAGCTTTTTCAAAACACCTGAAAGAATTTTACCATGGCCCTCCACTATAATCCCACTCTTGTATGCCAGTTATATGTTTTTGACTTTCAGTATATGTAGCTTCATACTGTACTATGGCTTTCTAACATTTGACCTCGAGATCTTAAATTTGTGTCTTGTGAATGTGTCCAAAGTACTTGTCATCTGCTCTCGTGTAGCACCTGGACATAATCTTGGCACCCATCAGATCATATTATCACTGTTTTCCCCGCAAAGACTTGCAGTTAAATTTGAATTTCAGTAAAACAGCCTTATTTTTAGTGTAAGAATGTCCCATGAAATCTTTGGGGCACAGAGTTATGCAATTTTCATTATGAATGTATACTTTAAAAAATTCGTTAATCTGAAATTCAAATTTAACAGCTTCCTGTATTTTATCTGAAAAATCTACTTTAAAGATGTATCATAGCCTGAAGATTGTATAATTTTATCTTTAAATGGTATTTAAAAATAAAGGACATGATTTAGTCCATAGCAATCAGAATTTAAAAAAATTAGTCAACCCTTTTATCAACTACTATAGTCTGGGTTATATTCTTATATCTATATCTACATACATATATATTTTATATATATATAATGTATGTATAAATGTAATCTGCTGTTAATTTTTTTCTGTTAGCTAAAAGTTTTTCATTTTTTTTATTATACATTAAGTTCTAGGGCATGTGCACAACATGAAGGTTTCTTACATATGTATACATGTGCCATGTTGATGTGCTGCACCCATTAACTCGTCATTTACATTAGGTATGTCTCCTAATGCTATCCCTCCCCACTCCCCTCACCCCATGACAGGCCCCGGTGTGTGGTGTTCCCCACCCTGTGTCCAAGTGTTCTCATTGTTCAGTTCCCATCTATGAGTGAGAACATGCGGTGTTTGGTTTTCTGTCCTTGTGATAGTTTGCTCAGAATGATGGTTTCCAGCTTCATCCATGTCCCTACAAAGGACATGAACTCATCATTTTTTATGGCTGCACAGTATTCCATGGTGTATATGTGCCACATTTTCTTAATCCAGTCTGTCATTGATGGACATTTGGGTTGGTTCCAAGTCTTTGCTATTGTGAATAGTGCCGCAATAAACATACATGTGCCTGTGTCTTCACAGCAGCATGATTTATACCCCTTTGGGTATATACCCAGTAATGGGATGGCTGGGTCAAATGGTATTTCTAGTCCTCAAGGATCTAGTTCTAGATCCTTGAGGAATCGCCACACTGTCTTCCACAATGGTTGAACTAGTTTACAGTCCCACCAACAGTGTAAAAGTGTTTCTATTTCTCCACATCCTCTCCAGCACCTGTTGTTTCCTGACTTTTTAATGATTGCCATTCTAGCTGGTGTGAGATGGTACCTCATTGTGGCTTTGATTTACATTTCTCTGATGGCCAGTGATGATGAGCATTTTTTCATGTGTCTGTTTTGAGAAGTGTCTGCTCATATCCTTCGCCCACTTTTTGATGGGGTTGTTTGATTTTGTCTTGTAAATTTGTTTAAGTTCTTTGTAGATTCTGGATATTAGGCCTTTGTCAGATGGGTAGATTGCAAAAATTTTCTCCCATTATGTAGGTTGTCTGTTCACTCTGAATGACTTTGATGAGTTGAGAGAAGAAGGCTTCGGAAGATTGATAATAACAAACTTCTCCGAGCTAAAGGAGGATGTTCAAACCTGTCACAAAGAAGTTAAAAACCTTGAAAAAAGATTAGACGAATGGCTAACTAGAATAAACAGCATAGAGAAGACCTTAAATGACCTGATGGAGCTGAAAACCATGGCATGAGAACTATGTGACGAATGCACAAGCTTCAGTAGCTGATTCGATCAACTGGAAGAAAGGGTATCAGTGATTGAAGATCAAATGAATGAAATGAAGCAAGAAGAGAAGTTTAGAGAAAAAAGAGTAAAAAGAAATGAACAAAGCCTCCAAGAAATATGGGACTATGTGAAAAGACCAAATCTACATCTTATTGGTGTACTTGAAAGTGACGGGGAGAATGGAACCAAGTTGGAAAACACTCTTCAGGATGTTATCCAGGAGAACTTCTCCAACCTAGGAAGACAGGCCAACGTTCAAATTCACTACAAAACACGACAAGCCAGAAGAGAGAGGGGGCGAATATTCAACCTTCTTAAAGAAAAGAATTTTCAACCCAGAATTTCATATCTAGCCAAACTAAGCTTCATAAGTGAAGGAGAAATAAAATCCTTTACAGACAAGCAAATGCTGAGAGATTTTGTCACCACCAGGCCTCCCTTACAAGAGCTCCTGAAGGAAGCACTAAACATGGAAAGGAACAACCGGTACCAGCCACTGCAAAAACATGCCAAATTGTAAAGACCATCGATGCTAGGAAAAACTGTATCAACTAACGAGCAAAATAACCAGCTAACATCATAATGACAGGATGAAATTCACACATAACAATATTAACCTTAAATGTAAATGGACTAAATGCTCCAATTAAAAGACACAGATTGGCAAATTGGATAAAGAGTCAAGACCCATCAGTATGCTGTATTCAGGTGACCCATCTCATGTGCTGAGACACACATAGGCTCAAAATAAAGGGATGGAGGAAGATCTACCAAGCAAATGGAAAACAAAACAAAAAAAAAGCAGGGTTGCAATCCTAGTCTCTGCTGTTAATTTTTTTTAACCATAAATCTGAATAGGTCTTCATTTCAATTTTTTTCTCATGAATTAATGGGTTATTGAAGTAAATGAAAGGCAACTTTAAGGATGTCAATTCATGTATTCATTGAGTAAATATTTATTAAGTGGCTAAAATGTGGCAGACATGTTCTAAGCAGAGATGGTGACATGATAGAAAAAAATGAAATTTCATAAAGATAAAATTGGCCGTATGTTCATAGAAATAAAATGAGATCATTAAAATAAATAGTAAATGACTATATACTGTGAAACTGTGTGATTATAGAAATTTGTGGGACTTTGGGACAAAATCGACCTGATGCATACTTTAAGGAAGAGAATTTGTCAAGATATATGAGTGAGGTGGAGATTATTAAGCTTATATCAGGAAGCCACTAGTGTTTACTGTTATACATTAATTCAATGTATTATTTACTTTTGCTAATTGGAAATTGATTACTGTGATACAAGATATATAATGATCAAATAGAAAAATAATAAAGTTAAAATTTTGAACTAATAATTATGGATCTGACAAAATTGAATGCTCACATTTAGATAGCACATGTTTCTGGTTGAATAGGCCAAGGTTTCTAGGGAGCTTTCTGAACTGTATTTTTCAGTTTATTTAATGAAGGAGAGTAATATTTAGACTTTGTTGCATATAAAAATAAAAAGCAGTTATTGGTTATTAACTTATCCCCCAATAGCAAAACTTACGCTCCAAATACGTTTCTGTTTACTTGCTAGCTCTCGATTGGTTTACAGAGTCCATGTTTCCATGAAAGATGGAAATCTAAGTTTATAACCATTTACTCAGGAATAAATACAAGGCTATATTATTCTATCTATATATCTCTAAATATTTAATTTATGGTGCTCAATACCTCTTGTTCATTTCTCTTCCTTCTAATGCGCCATTGATAGTTTATACCTAACTTAAAGGCATTTAAGTTGAAGACAATTTTCTTTGGATTGCTTCAGGAATGGAGGAAAGATTCTGAAAACAAGTGTTGAGAGAAAATCAATTTTTCTTATTTAAAAGGCTCATGAAAACGGTCACTATGGAAACAAGACATGAGTCCATGGAACATCAAGAGATCAGAAGAGAGGGCTTGAGGTGAGACTCTCAGTCTTAAATTTGGAAATTTGACATAAATTTTAATCCTCATTTGATGATAACTTCTTTATAAATTCTGAGGTTTATTTTAGATTACATAGCCCTTGGATTTTTAAATTTCTGCGTAATTCTCTGTGACATTTGTTTTTTCTTCTTCTTCCTTCTTACCTTCCTTCCTGTCTTCTTCACACACTTTATTCTCACACTCTCTCTTTTTCTTCTTTCCTCCCTCCCTCCCTTTCTTCCGTATCTCCTATTTAAATGTCTTTTTCTCCTCTTTCTTCTTTTCCTGCCATTGTTCTTCATTGTTTTGAGTGACAATGTGACATGCAAAAAGAAAGGAGATGACAGAAAACTTTCTTGGCTTTTCCTTTTTTATTTTTCCAATTTCTTATTTTTTAATTTGTATTTATTTAATTTTTGAAATTTCATATTTCTTGACCTAAAATATTGTAGTATTCTGTCACTGTTTGCATACAATGGAGATGCTTATGAAATACTGTCTAAAGATTTCCATTCATAGTAACAGTGGTCAGCTTCTGGATATGTGCAGAAACCAGTGTTAATGAGAGAAAAAAGTTAGAAGGGTTTTTTTGTTTGTTTGTTTATATTAACAAAAATACATTTAACCACTTGGTCTTTGGAGGATGTAGGATGGAGGGAGGCCATCTATTAGTTTTCAGGGAAAAGGACAGGTATATTGCTTCTAATTTTTCCTTTGAGGTGGTCTGCCAGACTAATTAATGTTAGAGGTAGCAAGCGGGTAATAGCCCTAATAGAGAACTCACCATAGTGGATGGGGGCTACCACCATTACCGACCTCAGTCAATTGACCTAGGCCTCTGGTCATTTCTCTGGAAATGACATAATATACACCCTCTCTCAAAATCACATTCAGAAAGGTTTTTTATAGCAACCTAGTTATTGTCATTCTTTAGAAATAAAGCACTGTCAGTTCAATTCACAGGATGACTTGGCTAGTAGAGAGTTCCAGACACATTCCCTTCTAGCGTTCTATGATCTACAGATAAGCCTACAAATCTCTTGGCTTTTCTACACTCAAAATATTACTAAGAAGTGGGGAAAACAATACACTGTATTAAAAATAGAAGTGTGAGCAATAATTGGAAAATGGATTGCTTAAATATTCTAGGTAGTTCAGAGTAAACTCATAAATAGTTATGAGCTTAAATGTAATTTTTTAAAATTTTAACACTTGCTTGAGGATATCCTTATATAGTTATATATGAATAAAATCGAAAAATGTGTAGTTGAAAATCATCATTAGCCACTGTATTTACAAATATAGGAAATAATTTAGAAAACAATTTCAAGTAAAACAATTAAAAGCTAGGATTTTGCGTATAACGTATATGCAACTAGACTTTCAGAACCTTGAGGTTATTGCTCTTTGTAACCTCTATACATAGCACATAACAACTGCTCAATTAATATTTGCTTAAGAAGTACATGGATGCACAGAAGTACATATATATATTAACAGTTGAAAACAAAACGCAAAAAAAATTCACTTAATTTTGAATTTACTGGACAATAAATATTTGTCATCCTATTTGTTTTTGCATCAAATATTGAATAAATTATCTTGTAATATTTTGAACATTTTAATTCCCTATATATTTTTATATCATGAATTGCTAATATGACTTTTCTTTTTAAAATTTTTCTAGAAATGCTGTAATGTCTACTTGAGATTTTATAACAAATATTTTATTCTGGTATATGTGAATTAAGTATGTCAATATTCAAGATTTACACAGTTTAAGAGTCAATGGGGAAGAGTGTTTACAGAGTTAGGATGCAGCATAAGATAACTGGAAATAGCACAAGTTTGGGGTTCTAGGATATGATTTTACATATTGGAGTTGCTATTTTAAAATTGTATGGTAGGCAGGGTGTGGTGCCTCATATCTGTAATCTCAGCATTTTGGGAGGCTGTGGTAGGAGAATCACTTGAGGTCAAGCGTTCAAGAACAGCGTGGGCAACATAGCAAGACACCATCGCTACAAAAAAATAAATAAAATTAGCCAGGTGTGGGGATTCACATATGTAGTCCTAGCTACTGGAGAGGCTGAGACAGGAGGATTTCTTAACCCCAGGAGTTTGAGGTTACAGTGAGCT
The DNA here is from genome assembly GCF_000001405.40 of Homo sapiens. Taxonomy (NCBI): domain Eukaryota; kingdom Metazoa; phylum Chordata; class Mammalia; order Primates; family Hominidae; genus Homo; species Homo sapiens. The sequence continues at coordinate 15,863 of NW_019805495.1, forward strand.
GTGATTGCCACTGCATAGCCTAAGCAACAGAATGAGAACCTGCCTCTTAAAAAAAATATGGTAAGTGCTAACAACTTCACCTCTTTGGGTCTCATCAGTTACTTCCCATAGTTGATACGAAGAATATTTGAGAGATATGTCTATTTTTGACATAAAGTATGCCTTAAAATTTTTACAAATCTGAAATGGGGGTATCCATTGGGAAAAAAATTCTCATTCTCAGAAGGGGTAAACAGGGCATTAATTCTCATGTTGACAAATTGTGCTTTACTTGATAAAATGTCACCTACACTCATGTCTATGTCATTTGTACCAAATTAATTTAAAATAAATACAAAGGATGTAAAAAAGACTGAAGAGTGGTTCTGAATCTTGGCAGTACATTAGCACCATCTGTGAAACTTTTTAAACATTCCTTGAGGCCTCACCTGCTATCAAGTAAGTCAGTGGTTTTAAAAGATCTCCCACGTGATTCTAACATGTAGCCAAAGTTCAGAATCCTTGCACTAAAAAGTCTATGTATCTGAACTAGTTTATGCTACTTTAGAATCTAGCTTGTGAAAATCTGGATTAATTGCTAGAACACATTAATTTATTTGTTAAAAGTGTGTTTGGTAACCACTACATGCTAGACACAATAGCCAGTACAGAGAATGCATAAAATAAAATGCCTAAGAAGAGTTTGCATTATATAAGGCAACCTGATGAGGCAGAAACCTAATGAATAATCGCCATATAATATGACATGCTAGGGCTTTTTAGCAAAGTTTTATGGTAGCTGAAAGACATGGTGTCCAGTCTTTCAAGGGAGTTGGGCAGGCAGTGTTTCACTGGAGTTAATCTTGAAGGGTAAACATGCATTCATTAGAGGGAAAAAAAGGAGATTAATATTAAATGTCTTTCAAAACAATAAAGAGTCATGATAAAAGGGAAAAAGGGGAATTAGAGATTAGTGAGAACTTCTACTCTTTCTGAATATTCTGAAGATATTCATTCCAATATAACGTTTAGAAAGCCCAGTGTTTCCTAGTTCCTGGGACTTGAATTATCAGGTTCAATTTCATTAAAGGACACATTTAAGTTGAATGATGCCTGGATCTAAAGTGCTTACTAAATTATTATAAGCTAATAATAACTAACATTGTATGATTACAAGGCACTGTTCTGATGGCTTAGCAGGAGTTAACAAGTTAATACTAACAATGGCTTTATGAAGTAGTCGTCACTAATCTTTCTCTCTACTTATAAATAAATAAACTAAGGTACAGAAAGCTTAAATAGTCAATACACAACTAGTAAGCAACACAGCCAAGTGTCAAATCCATGCAGATTGGCTTCAGAGATCATGCTTTTACTCATGTGCTACAGTGTGTTAAATGCTCACCATGTACCAAGCTCTGAACTTTGCAAGTGTAACTAATTTAGTCTTCCCAATAAGTTAATAAGCTACAGAACTAGCATTTTTTCCCATTTTACAGACAAAAACACTAAGAAAGAGAACTGAATGATTTACTGCTTCAACAAGCACATGGGCTCTCGATCTATCCATCAATGTTTCTGATAGATCTGTGTGTCTAGCCCAGCTCAACATTCTTACTTAATCTTAAAGAGGTATAAAAAGCAAATATTTAGTAACATAAATAAGCTCTCACCTCATCAATTTTCGAAATTCTGGCTTTCATTGCTTACTACATAATTTAAAATAATTACTGGCTTTAGCTCAATTAATTGCTTCTAGGAAATGTAACACTGAAAAACAACATAAATTTCCCAAATCACTAGAGTTACAGTGTGTTAAACATAATGTTAGATTTCAGGTGGCTTAGAGTCCTCAAGACTAAATGTATTATAAATACTTGCAACAGCTATATCTAAGCCATTAAGAGCATAATTGTCTTTTGTATATATAGTGAAACATTCCCAGCAATTCTATTGAGCAATGAGTCTGAGGTTCTGGTTGGAAGGACAAAAACTTCTGTATACCCTTACTTGGTCATTTACATGCATTTCAGAATACTGCTGCCATTTTACTTAACCTATTTTTTATTGTAAGTGAAAAATTTTACTATCTTTGCCAAAAGTATTGATGAAGAATTACTACAAGACCTGGTCTTATAATTTAAATATATTTACAAAGAGATGAGCTCTACTAGACTAGAAAGTAGTTTTCAAATTTCCGAGTATCTTAAAAAGTGGACTTTATGTCCCAGGCTATGTTTAGTGTCTTGGTCATGCTAATGTGGGATGTAAATAACTGGAAATTAAAATAAACTAATCCTCATTCCCATCATCATCATCATTACCACCAAATACCCTGTACTTGCCACATTTCAAGGACTGTACAATTGCTTCACATCCATTATTGTTTATCTTAGCAACCTCTACATAGGTACTATTATTCACATTTTACAGAAAAAAACAAAACAAGAAATTTCCTGTTAACATAAAAACAGAATTTAGAAAAGGATTTTCTTTTGTTATATATGACCCTTCCTAGTAATCCAACACCGTTATTCAAATTCTTGCCTATACATCACATTGTACTGGAACAAAGAGAGTCATATTGTGAGGAAATGTGAGGGAAAAAAGGACCACGATTTGCTGAGACTTTATAGCACTTTTGATTTCCAGAGTGACTTTATGTATAACAAAGAAAGTTAGGTATTTTTTACATTACCTTTTTGATTTTCCCATTTCCAGATAAGGAAAGGAGGTTCCAAGGTTCAGCAGCTTGTCCAAGTCCCCTATTCAAGAAAGAGCCAAAATTCAGTTTCCAAATGCAATCAGTTAGGACTGAAATCCAGTGTACATTCTGCCTCACCCTTGGATGAGTGCTCTGTGTCTTCACCTGGGATATAAAGGAAGTCCTTTGCCCCTTGTGATGAGACAGTTACACATACACACGCACACACTATATTTTGTGCACCCAGAGTGAAGATGAATATCTCTGTGTTTGCCATACATGTGCCAAGAGTCTGCTTGGACAGAGGACTTCATCTTGGAAAACACTGTCTAAAGGAGTTGCAGTTCCAAAGCACTAAAAGACTAAATACTTTTCTTACTGTATTTTTTACCAAGTATCATAACAAAAATTAATTCACAGGGCTATATTTATAGGTCTGTCCTCCCTGAAGAATAGAGAGATGAATAAACATAGATTCATAAATAACAACTTCTTTGAATTAAATTTCCATGGTTTGTCTAGATCTTAAATTGAAGTTTTATATAAGAGTGCGTAATATAAAAAAGGTTCCTATTTTTGCTATAAAATCCCTGCTGAAGACACTGAGTTTTTAGGGACCATGTATATAAGGGTCTATATAATAGTACTAGTATTTAGTAACAGCAGCAAGAATAAAATTCTTTCTATGAACAGACTAAATTTCTTATATTAGATAATGATGTAACTAAATATTTTCTGGTAAAGCACTTAGTCAATATGATAGGAGTATTTGTCATTTCCTTTTTCTGCATGGCTTTCATTTTCCATTCTTAATAACATATTTAATTGACTCATTCACATCTAGAAAGTTGCCAGATTAAATTTAGTAAATAAAATTAGATAAAATTACCTTCATTTGGGAGTTGAACAAGCTGAGCTACAGTTAAGGTTTGTCAAGCTCTACTTCATCTACCCCACTGTCTTTTCAGTTTCTAAAGCACAGCAAATGTTGTTCTGCCTCAGAGTTCCATATATTGTTCCCTCTGCCTGTAAACCCCCTTAATTTTCTTCCCACTCTTTGATCAGCCACCCCTTGTTGATCACATCTCTTAACTCAGACAGAAACATAGACATATGTCACATTTTTTTGCATAATAATACACTTTTTTAGGTCTTGATTTAATATTTGTCTTAGAGTTATTTTTAATGTTCAATTAAAACAAGATACCAGGCCCCCTCCTCATGCCCTGCTATTCTTTATAACTGTACCTTGTTCTTCATTTTATTTCCCATAAATTGTGACACATCAGTTAGTTTATTCATGTGTTCCTTACTTTAAGCCTCACAGGACAGGAGACGAATTCTATTTCATCCATCATTTTATCCCCAACACCTAGCCATTCCTGGTACATGATAGTTTAATAAATATTTAATAAATGGTATGAATGAATAAATTTAAACACATATGCACTCACACACATATATGTAATAACTTTAAGTTTTCTAAGGCCAAGTAAGTATATGTTAATATTTTGTGTATCATTCTATTATAGTGTTTTGTACAGTAACTGGCAAAAAAATATAGCAATAATAAATGTTTAACGAGTGTTCATTAAATTGATAAAAACATTCAAAAATTTTTAAGCCACTTATAACCTTTTATTTAATGAGCTCAGATAACCACATACTTGCAAAACATTTAGAATTTATATAACCCCCTTGAAGTCTAGAACATGAGCTAGCTAAGTCTGAGAATCACAAATGCAAAAACACAATTTAAGAAGTAGGTAAGTGTGCCCATATTTGGAAAAGGTGCTGTCACTCAGTAGTCTTTCAGACCTCCTGCAAACATTCACATGATTTACCATCAGTGTTGCCAACTTGTACAATGAAGGGCAGCATATAACAGGTGTACCTCTATTTTCATAAATATTCATTTAAATATTCCAAATATTTATTGAGAGGACTTAGGCTTTTACTCAGTGAAATCAGAAGGTACTGGAGAGATTTGATTTAAGATAAATTCTTTAAAAGATCACTCTGGATGCTGTGCTGAATGTAGCCTGTACTAGTTTGGAATTTATTCCTGTGAGGCAGGTAAAAGATGATAGTTGATGGATTCAACAGGTTCTCTGTGAAGGTGGTTAGAAGTGGTAAGATTCTAGGATATATTTGAAAGGCAGAGCTAACAGGATTTCATGACAAATTCTCACATATAAGGACAGAAATGAATGGAGATTTCAAGTTTTAAGCTTGATCAATTCTGAGAATGACTGTGTTTTCCATTCTTTTTTTCTACTGTTCTACATAGGAATTAAAATATTTTGTTCATTAATAGCTCATCCTAAGGCAAAAGTTATACCCTTGAGCAATTTATAATCAGAACTTACTATTGGAATGTAAAACATTGTTTCTATATCCCTTTTAATTTTAATTTTGCCTAATTCAGCACTTTACAATTATGAGATGAAGCTATATTTTAAAATGTCACTGAGCAATTTTAAGATTATATAATCACGTTTTACTTCTCATCTGAAAATTTAACTATTGTTCAACATGGAGAATGTCCTTCACATTTTAGCCTTTAGAGCATAGGAAGTCGATATGTATTGGTAAGCAGGTATTACATTTACGGAGTGCTTTGTCATTTTTTGACATGCTTTGACATGTCTTATGTCATCCCACTCTCGTCATAACACTGGAAGACAGGAGAGAAGGAAATATGTGTAGGAAATTGAAAAGTTTAAGTGACTGAGTGGACAACATTCACTACACAACATTCACTTCTTTCTCATTCACTAATGTATTTTGATCCAGCTCCAGCTGATGGAGAAAAACTGGGAGCTTGGAGTGCTCTATGCTCACTCAAAGCTAAATGTCTCATACAAAAACCCAAATTTGACCTTATCTTTATTGTTAATGCCTCAGAAAATTGGATAAACAAATCACTGTATTCATCAGACTTAATCACATCACCAGAGTCATCTAGTCATGTCACCCTCCATTTTCTTGCGAACTCACTATTTTTTGTATTTTCTCACCTATGCCATCTTTCTATTTTCTCATCTATGCCATCTTTCTTTCTTTCTTTCTTTTTTAATTAAGGAAGCTCACTCACAGCTTTCCTGGCCTCTCTCCAAAGTACTAAAACTTGTTTTGTGAATTGCAGTCAAAGAAATACAAAAAGTAACAATGATCCCATCAGTAGACGTGAAAATGCAAGAAGAAAGATGCCATTGTAAAACTCAACAAGGTGTGGTAGATAGATCTCTTTTTCTTGTTGTTAAATCCTGAAGCTATCAAACAATAACTTACCTTATTGACAAGGGTCTGGTGGAAAATCTAATGAGCATTAGTAATGAATGCATCAGCATCAATCCCCTTGACTTTAGTGCACTCATCTTTTCATCTTTGATCCAGCTGCTGAAAGCACCTGGTTCCCAAAATTCAGCTAGGGAAATACAACGGGAATAATAATCATATTGCTGCAATGTCTTTCTTTTCTTTAAATTAAGCCATGCAAGTAATTTATACCAATCTCCTTTTCAGAGGCAGAAACGAAGTCTGTTTTTGTATTTAAAGATTACCTCAGCATAGCTGACAATCCTGGGCAGTTATGGGGGTGGTGAAGGAAGGGAAGCAAAGTCATTTGAGAAAGTAAAGACATTCAACTGCCAACGAAGAATAAATTTTAACGGATGTAGGAAGAATCGTTTGTAAGAAGTGCAGAAAATGCAAAATGGTATTGTTAATAAGTAACATCATTAGAGGCCGTTCTTTCTAACCAGTCACACCTCTGAATCATCTCGGGCTTCCCTGACTTCCTAGCTTTCTGTACCCTCCAGCAGTGACGCCCCTTCTCCCAATCATTGTCAGGGGTTTAAGTGCCATAGTCAAAAAGAACCTTATTATCTACCTGCTCCCCAGCTTCTCTCTGAGTGACACACCACCCACGCCTCCTCCGCACAGCTTTCCTCCTCCCATGGCTCCCAGAGGGAATGTGAGGAGCAGGAGAGGGAGACCAAGGCTACCCTCGCCTGAACCCCGAAACGACGAGGCTTTAAGACCCTTATTCACCCACTGAGTCTATGCCCTGGCCGTTCTGCCAACCCCCGCCGCGCGCTGCAGGAGTATAAGCCAGCCCTGCTCTGCGCTTCCAGCTGCGTCTGCCCAAGCGCGGCACGTGCTCCCGGCACTGGCGCGAGAGAGCGAGCGCCACCGCCGCGGGCCCCGCAGCCGTTCTGCCTGCTGTCACCGCTGCCTCCATCGCCGACACTAGCGCTCCAGCTGCAGCCAAGGCCGCTACGAAAGCGCAGGAAGCCCTCGAGGAGCGGCTGCCTGGGGGCGCAAGGCTCAGGGCGCACACCTGGTAAGCGCAGCGCCTTTTTCTTTCTCTTGTCTGTAGTTACCACGAATATAGGATACCACTGGAGCCCCTCCCCCAGTGCAGGGATGGAGAGCGATCAAGCAAAGGGCGGCAGCTGGGGCTAAAAAGACCCAGGAGGGCAAGTGGTGAGCAGGTGGAGGGCTGGTAGAGCCAGGAACGCTACGAGGTCCTGCAAGTTTAGAAAAGTCACCCTGCAAGGACATGTGCTGTGTGAATCAGACATAAATTTAAGTCAGGAGCCTGGGCTACCGCGGTATCGCTCCAATGGGAGGTTTATGAAGATCATTTTGCTTTTATTTGCATAAGTGAGGGATTTAAGTGGGCTTGTTTCCATAGAAAACGAACTAAAAAAAAAAAACTCAGAGGTGGAAAAAATAAAGATCCGAGCCAAAGGATACGTTTGGATCTTTCTCTCTCTGTGTGTGTCTCTCTCTCTTCCTCTGTGTGTGTGTGTGTGTGTGTGTGTGTGTGTGTGTGTGTGTGTCATGCCAATACATGTGCACGAAAGGCAAGGATTTAGGAAGGGAGATGGGCTCCTCTATCTTTGAGCCCATTAGGTGTTTGGGGGAGCTAATAAGAGCAGTTGCTGGTGTTTCACCCCAAAAAGAGGCAGCAAAGAAGGGACCCGATTGGGTGTAAATTTCAGTGTTCCATTTCTAAAAGGACTATAGTACTAGGAGGGAGAGGTTTTCTGGAACTGTGGGTCATGTAAAGATGGTACACCTGCAACTCTGGACCTATAAACTCAAGTTCATATACTCCCAGTGGAGCTAGGAAGACATGTTTACTCTTGGTTCCTTTATGGAACTTTGGCAAAAATAATCTCTCTCTCTCTCTCTCTCACACACACACACACACACACACACACACACACACACACAGAGAGAGAGAGAGAGAGAGAGAGAGAGAATATGAAAGAAATGAATACAGGAAAGAGAAGGGAGCTGAATATGACTGAATAGGCTGAGTGGGGTAGTAGAAGGAACAAGAACAGGGTGATCGGGTTTGGCATCACTGCGTTCATTCATTTCTACCCTAGGTAGTTCCTGGGCAGATCTCTAGAGAAACATGACCTTGAACAAGCCCCTTAACCTTCATGTACTCAGTTTCTCTATTGAACAATGTAGAGGATCTTCTGCATTTGGGGACACGAAGGTCCCATGCCGTAGTGTCTATGTATGTGTTTCAAGATCTGCATACTAAGAAGTAAGAACACTCATAAAATATGGATAAAGGAAGCTTCAGGGGATTCTTCCTCAAAGTACTGAAGGCAGTTGGCAAGATCCTGACTGTGCTGTTGGGATAATGCATGCTGAGAGGTCTGTGGAAATGAGTGAGGAAAATCCAACCTCCAGCCTGTAGTGCAGTGAACTTGGAGTTCTGAGAGCTGTTTAGAAATGTTCAGATCCAGAGAGCCTAAAGTCATATGCTATTTTTTTAGTGTTTTATTATTTATTTATTTTTATTATACTTTAAGTTCTAGGGTACAAACCTGCACGTTGTGAACAAGTCATATGCTATTTTTAAGGTTAGCATTGACGAAGAAGGTTTGGTGGCAAGGAAAATAAGTGCCAATCCAGTTTAAAGATTAGGTAGTCAGGGCAGCAAGAAGAAGGTTTTAGAGTAAAACATAAATGCAATGTAATCTGGGCAGAGGGGTTAGGAAGAAGAAGATCATGGATATTCCTCCTGAGACAAGGATGTCTACACTCCTAGGAGACAACTGGGACCTACCATGTCCTTGACACTCTTTCCACCTGTCTGAGGAAGGCACAGGTGCCCTTTCTCACTTAATACAGGTTTATTCTTAGAATTTAGGGATTTGTATCCCAGGTGCTGAGATATGACGGTAAATATGTGAAAACTAAGACCTGGGAGTGCCTCCAACTTCCTTGCCATGTGAGCATCTGTTTGCAGAGCTGGTCTACCCATCCAGATTCACCCAGAAGTCTATGTTCCTAAAGGAACTCACTGTGCCACTTGGTGGCACCAAAAAGTTGCGCAAAGAACTGTGTTCTCTATAAATACAAACTACCACCCCTCCCTCCTCCGCTCTCTCCCCTTCCCCCCATCCCCCCTTTCTCAGTAGCGGGGAGATTGCTGCACACGCCGCCCTCAGCTCGGCTGTTCTGAGCACGCTGAGCGGAGGGGATGAGCTTGAGATCATCTTGGGGGGGAAGCCGGGGACTGGAGAGGCCGGCTCTGCCCTGCTGATCCCCGTGGCCCAACTTTTCGGGGGGCTAGCTAGACCGAGTCTCACTGCTTGCTGCGCAGCCAACAGGGGGGTAAGCTTGCTAAGTGTCTGTGTGCCCAAGTGTCCCCTGGCCAGAGAAGGATTTAGGATCTATAGGCTTGCTGAGTAGCTCAACAGTTTGGTTTGGGGGAGGGGGACGCGGGTGGAGCAGGGGTGGCCAAAGCCGACAAGATTCAAGTCTGTTCCATTTGCGAACAGCCTTAATTAAACCTGTTGGGGAAAAAGGCGCGAGCAACGGGGTGAAGGAGGGAAGAGCTGCAAGGGTTGAAAAGGAGATTCTGCATGCCTTCGCATCCGAGTTCCCGCTCTCTAAGGCCAGGTGCGCGTGGTTTCGAATGCAGAGTGTGCTCCCGCAAACCACCCGAGGGCTCGGAATTGTGAGAAGCAAAGGTGGAGAGGAAAAGAGGACGGAGAATTGCTTTTCAATAGATCGGTTAGGGGCCGCTTCGTGGCGCCTGCTGCAGGAAGAGGGGGGACAGCGGGTGGTGCTGAAAGCACATCTCTTTCACTCAGGCTATATTGCCTCTCTTTGAACACCAGCCTGAGCCCTCCCGCTCTTTCCTCTTCCATGGATTTATCTTTCCCCTCGAACACAAAGCCTGCTAGTTATCCCACGGCGGAAGCATGAGCGGCATGCCAAGGAGGAAGCCCTGGCTACAGCGACTTAGGGAAGAAAACCCAGGGCAGGCCCATGAGTGCCGAGGCTGGCCGGTGGCCCGAGCCCAACGTGCATTAGGACCTCTCCAGGGAAGTGACAGGTCCACCTGGAGGGCTCTTTCACCTGGTACTCGAATTTACAGCTGCCCTCATTTCCTTTCAGAGGAGTTGCTGTGTGGAAAGGAAATTTAGGAGAGGATAACAAGCGCTTGTGCTTATTTAGACACAATCTTGATGCTGCCTTAGCTGGACTGTAACGTCGAGTAACCAGGGAGATAGGGTCTCCAATACTTTACTTTTTCAATAGGAAATTGATACAGACCAGTGAGAAGGCAGCTTCTCCTTTTCACCTTCTTCTCCATTCGCTACATGGTATTTTATTGTTCAGAGTTTCTCTGGACAAAGCTAGAGCTAATTTCTGTCTCTAATCCTGGGCACTGGCCGTTTGAAGCAGCCAAAGGTGCATTGACCAGGACTACGTGCAGCCCTTCCTCCAGTGGGACATAAGCAGGGGTTTTCTGTGGACGTCTTAGTTGCATGACATTCTACTGTCAGCTGTGGAGTGTTCAGGTATGCTACCTCTTGTTAGGTGTGCTTTTTGCTGTTTTCTTTATGGAGTGCAGGGAGTTTCCTCCTTTAATTTCTCAGTTACCTCAATGTAATCACACATGTAAGAATCAATTGTGGCTATTTCTGTCCTTTATGCATGTTTATTTCCATTTAAACATGCCATTGGTTTAGGACTTGAAAATACTGCGTCCTGAACTCATTGGGTTAGTAGTGTGCGTCCCATCAAATTTCCAGCCTTCTCCCCGTGAAATCTTGTCAGCACTCTGGACAGATCTTTCAAGTTTCTTATGAGAAAAATGTACATAGCACTTCCTAAATAACAGCTTCTCTTAAGAGAAAAAGCTTTCCCTACTCATTTACACTCCACATGACAAAATATACAATCTAGATATTTTAATTGCACCCCCTAGAGGTTTGTGCTATCACACGGGAATGTTTTGGTTGCGGGCTACACACTCACAAAAAGCCCAAACTCTTCAATGTTCACTTATGAAAGGATATGTCGAGATTATTTGGGAGAGGGAGTTGGTATTTGAATAATCCAAGTTCCTCACTTTACTTCCATAGGTAGACACAGGCCTTTACTATCACTTTATAGTATACCTTATGGACATGATGACAAACACCCAGGGGGAAATTGAAAAATTCACTCATATCTATTATATCCAACCAGCACAAACTATCCGGACTTTGGGAATACTTGATTAACTACATACCATTTTTAATTTTGGCTCTGATTATTAACATTGTTGTGTTTCATGTTAAAATGACTTATCTCATCAAAGGTGCTCACTTTTGTGACTAAAGCATTTTAATAATTCTGCTTTTCTTATTTCTTTCCAAAACCCATTTAATATTTTATAGGAGTCTTACTATATTGTCTTTTACAGAATGATAATTTTGGTTAGAGAAACTAAATTAAGTGTCAATAAAAGGTAGGTGGTACTACAAGTAGAAAATGTGAGATGAGGTTGATCATTAAAAATATTGTATTTATTTGTATACCAATTTTATCCCAGGTTTTCTATCCTCATGGGATGAAGACAGAGCTATAACCAAATATTTTTTTCTTATATATTCTTATTGTATTATGTATATGTACATGTGAGGTACTTTTCTGTGTATCTCGATATAGATAGATAGATCATGTATAAACCAACTTTATAAAATATTAGATACTACTTTTTATATATGTTGAGATATATATATGTTATATGATAAAGCTGATTTGGCTGGTTTAGAGGTTGGATATATTGAAGATGTATTATTACAAAGCAGGAAGATTCTGCAGTTTAGAAATACGTGTTATGTGTTATATTCATATTCAGAGAAATATTAATTCTAGTCATTTTAGTCAGTGAGTGAAGCTTAGGAGAACATAAGAAGACATGAGCATCAAAAGAAATATTTTTAGTGCAGGATGTATTTATATAACCCAAGAAAAGAAACTTCAATTTTCACTTTTGAATTTTCAATTATTTGTAAATCAGATAATATCTTGATATTCCTTTATCTTAGTTGTTTAAAATGTGTTTCTAAAAGACATTAAAGCATAGGCTTGCTTTCATTTCCTTTAAATTCATAGGAGATGAAAATCTATATTTTACCTTTCTGAATCATCTTTAAACTGTATATAACTTTTGTCAGAAGGGCCATCAGGCAAACGTCCTGGTGCAGACTCATCCCTGCTCTAATAACTACTATTTATTAAGCACATCAGGCATCATGCTAAGCAGTAGGTATGTTATTTTATTTAATTTTCATATCAACAATACAAGACATTATTTGTTTTTCCTTTTCAGTTATAAAAACTAAGTTTTTTATTCTACTGTCAAAGAACAGGGCATAGTTTATGCAGTGTTCACTGTGGGTCACTTTATTTTTATTTGTGCAATTAATTCATTATACTTATTCAATAACATGTACTGCTATAACCCATCCCCTATTTTGAAAATAAGGAAACATATATTTCATTCATATATATGTGTGTGTGTGTGTGTGTGTGTGTGTGTGTGTATATATCTTTTACCATATATGTAAAAGACAAAAATAATGGAAATACATATATATACATATGCAAAAGAGAGAGATTTGATTTGTTTGGCACTAAAATTTACCCGGTTTCCTTTGTATTGAGCTGCCTTACTCTGTGGTGTGGCTAAACACTAAACATTATGGGATTATTTTATTGTGGTTTCCAGTGAGTTGTGGTATGATTGGAAGTACAAGCTCTGGCTTCAAATTGCCTGGGTTTGAATCTCAGCTTTGTGGCTTACTACTTGTGTGACCTTAGGCAAGTTACTTAAATTTATGTACCTCAGTTTCACTATTTTCAAATTGGGGGATGGGTTATAGCAGTACATGGCATGGAGTGAATATGATGAATTAATTGCACAAATTAAAAAAAAACAATAGGTGCAGAAAACCACCATGGCACACATAGACATATGTAACAAACCTGCACATTCTGCACATGTATCCTGTTGTTTTTTAGAAGACATAAAGAGAAAAATAAATTAAAAAAATAAAGTATCTGACCCATAGTGAACAGAGCATAAACTCTCAATCCTACCCAGGCCTTTGGATGTCGAGTTTTCTGTGTTTCCTATGGTATTACATTTAATGTTTAACTGCCCTGTGGATTGTGTCTTATTTTTATTTTATGACTTTAATGATAAAACATAATACTAACATAGATTAAATAACTTGTCCAATGTCCCACAGTACAAACAAAGGTGACAAAGCAGGTATTTAAATCTAGGATCATCTGATTTCCAAACTTTTATGATACTGACCTACAGCTTACACACATATATCAATTTTTTTGAATTCTACTAATTTTGAGTCAGCAGCCCTTCCTCTACAAGGGAATATGCAAATATCTATTTTTCTCATATATTCAAGAATATTTAAAAATAAACATGCAAATGCTTGAAGATAATCAGAAATCAAAATAATACATAATTGCTATCTCAAATATCTCCTTTTTTAGTCAGACTGTAGAAGAAGTGTAAAAGAAAGACTTAGATGCAAAATATATATTTTATGTATATATGATTCTATTGGTCTTGCAAATATGTCAGATTCAAGAAAAATTCTCTAATGATTAGTTGTTCACAATAATCCTGGTTCAGGCCATGGGTTTTAAAATTTTGAGTATAAATGTTCTGAGGAAAATGAAAACTTGTAATCACAGTGATAATAGTGAGCACTTTAATAATGCAACCTTCTTACATTCATTATATTTTACAGAAGAATAATCAAAAATTTTTTTAAAAAACAATTTGTCTAAATGCATAGTAATGTAGAATTATTCAAAGACATAGAAGTAAATAATACGCTTATATCATTTGTTTAAAAATAAATAAAATTATGAAAAATCAACATGTAAATTACTTTATAAAGTTATCGTTATTGTTGTAGTCTTGTTAAAATTACAATAAACTTTGCATTTCCTATCAAAAACAGCCTTTGATTTGGGAAGTATATCGTAGGATACTCTCCTCACATTCATTTTTTGTAATTTGTGATACTTAGAACTATGCGTATTTAATGTAAGGTAATATCAACCTTGACTCTTACAGCTTAAATTTGTCTTTCTCAAATTGAAATTTCTACCTTTTCAACAAGATAATACAGACAAATAACTATGTAAACATTGAGTAGGGCAAGCCTATTTCAACCGTCTCTCCTTAGCATTATTTGGAAGTTTCAGGTAGAGAATTTGTAAGACTGATGGGTCCAGATGATTGGCTCTTAGGTATGCTCTTCTTTCGTGATTATGTCAACCTTGCCAGGATTAACTTTCATGTAAATTAGTGTTTTTCAACTGGAAGCGACTTTGACATACAGGCGACATTTGCTAATATCTGAGGACATATTCGTTTATCAGAGCTGGGAGGGGATGGCATTGTCGTCTAGTGAACAGAAGCCAGGGGTGCTGCTAAACAACCAACAGTGCGCAGACAACATCCGCCCACAACAAAAGATTATCCACTCCAAAATGTCAATAGTGCTCAGGTTGAGAAACCCTTATCTAAATGATGCTAGGAAACAGAGTTTCCTATATTTACTTGATTTGTTTGTATGCTTTCTGATGAATTTTTGTACATTACATAAGAATTTAATGGAAAGCAGAATCTCCAAAATGCTTTGCAATCAATGCATGAGGTTTGAATAACCAATTCACTTGTTTTTTGTGGGGAGACCTCATCATTTGTTTATTAAGTATGGGCTTTGGAGCCAAATATAGTTGGATTCATGTCCTGGTTCTGCCATTTGTTATAGGTTTGATACTTTGGAGAAGATTATTGACTTCTAAACTTCGATTTCTAGAGGTAGTAAGATAGGTAGTAATTATATCTACCTTACAGGGTTATTGTGAGTCTTACATTAAATAATTATTATACATTATTTAACAGAAAGAAGGCACTTTTTAAATATTATGTATTAATAAGTAAGTGGAGATCAAGTTATAGAAATGTAAAACCACAGTCTCAAGCATTTAATGATAGGTAATGTAATATATAAATAATGCTTTACAGTCTTCAGAGGTATACCCTTAATAACAAGAAATCAGCTGAAGGCTACAGGATGGGTAAAGGTCTAAAATCCCTGCTTTATAATTAAACTGAGACTAGTTAACAGTGGATTGCATCATGTTTATTGCTTTGCTGTAGAAGGCTGTTCCAGGTCTTCATAGACTGCTAAACCACTTGTTTCAATGATTTACAATGATTTAGTGAGCTCTATTGAACTGCCAGAACTTTTTAATTAATGGATAAAATTACAGATTTCATCTTTGTACAATAGTGTTTTATGGGCCTTTTTTTGTTGAGGGGGTTTCAGTTAAAATATGGCCTATACTTTGTGGGGCTAAACAGTGGGGATGCTGCATTTTCTTGTTTACAAGGTCACAAATGTGTGATTGAGATAGTAATGACAATGGAGCTTTCCTCAGACTACAGGGTTCTCTGTATCATTGCACCTCAGACTGTCTCTTATCTATGGTATGCACTTGTTTTCAGAAAAATATATCAGATGCGTTGATGGCATATGCAATATTGACACCCCTGACTGTTTGTGATGAGGCCACTGATCAGGCAGAAGAAATCATTTTACTGTTTATGTCCTGAGCTGTGTGATTTGCTTGTGTGGAGATTAAGTTATATAAGAGACATCTGTGCCAGAAAGATGGTCAGTATTTTAGAGGATTGTTGAAAATAAAGGACAATGTGAGCTGTGAATCTGACTATAGTGTAGATTGCAATTTATGGCAAAGTTTATCCATTAATATCTCTTTTTCATATTCATTTAGGATATAATATGAGAACGTGTGGTTACCTGATGTGAAATACTTTTGTATGTATTTAAAATATGTATATTGTTTTCTATAATGTGCTAGTAATTAATTTACTATGCTAAGGACCCAGAAATATAACACTGAGTAAAACATACTTCTGAAAATAGATACTTGAACTAATATACTATATAATCAAACTATTAATACATTTACCCACTTTTTAGTGAATTAAATGTCACCATATTATTAGAGTGTAGATCATAACATTTTAAAAGCTTTTTTATCATTACAAGAATTAATGCCTCCCCATTATCTATAGGATAATCCTGCCCCTTTATTTCTACTGACATATTATCCCCACCATCTAAAAGCTATAACCTAAAGCAAATAATTTATTTTACTTGACACTTTGTTTCCTAATATAAGAAATTGATGTTCTTAGACATTTCTAGAAGTATTATTTTTAGGTAGACGTGAGATCAAGAATGAAAAAGGGCTCTTTACGCTGAAAATAAAGTATTATGGTATTTTTCTTCATCTTTTCTTTTACTAGACACTTGTTAAAATAATGAATGGATCTTGTGGTGACGTTGCACAGGAGAAATCTCACCACAAGGAGAAATGGCCTTACTCAGGAACTTATATAGAAGCAAGAGAGAGTAGATCCTCACAGAAAGAATATTGGATAGTTCTCAGAATTGATGATGTTAATGAGACAGATCTTGGAGTGAAGTTGATATCATCTTTTATATTCTATATTCATCAATTGTAAACTATGAGAAACATTTATGCCAGAAATATCATCTTTAAATAATTGTGCTACAAAGATACTTTCAAAAGCAAGCAAAATGCAACATTGTTTACGATATTAAGACAAATCTATAAATAACCTTAATATCTAACAATAAGGAATAATTAAATATTGGTACACACATATAATTGAATGCCATGCAACTGATAAAATTAAATAAATGTTCTAAATGTGACTCTTGGCTCTGCTACTACCCACTTGCTTGGGAATCTGGGCCAAGCCTCTGTATCTCTCTGAGCCTCAGTTCTTTTCTCTGTAAAATGTGCATACATAACTTATTTTACAGTTTGTATGACAACTAAATGTCATTTCATGTGAGATACTTAGCAAAGTGAACAACACATGATATGCCCTCTGTATATTTTAATTGTTGTTATAATTGTCCGCATCATCCAAATGAACTGATATGAAAGATATTTATATTATACAAGGAAAATAAAAATATATTATGAGAGAGATTTCATATTAAAATTTTATTTAAATAAAAAAATAAAATATTATAAGCTTAGAAAATTGTATAAGAGCTGATACCAAGTTGTAAACTATGATTAAAATTGTGTTTTGAGTGACATTTTGTTGAATTCAAGTCCCAGGTCTGCTATGAATCATTTGCTTTCCATGGATCTCAGTTAAATGGAATCATCTCCAGGGCCCTCTCTAGTTTTATGATGCTATTTTCCTTAAACATCCTACAATATTAGCTTGGTAATGAATACTATAAGAAAGTATAAATAAAAAACTGCCATGTGAGCTTGGAGGATAGAGCAAACACTGCCAGGTGAGGGATATGGTAATAATTTAGGAAGGGACTATTTTTAAATATTAGCTCATTCAGTACTCACTAAAACTCTTTGGGGTAGGTACTGCTGTCACTCCAGTTGCCAATAAAGGCTTGAGGCTCAGAGAGGCTAAATGCCTAAGGACACACCGCCAATCAATGGCTGTGTCAGGATTCCAATTCAGGTCATTGGACTCCAAGCCCATGCTCTTAACAACTCTGCCATGAAGACCATTGGAACAACTGCATATCAGGGATCAGAAGCAGCATGTGCAAAGCCATTGGAATAAAACAGTGTATACTTGGACAAGAGCCTAACGACTAATAGGCTCCCAAGGAGGAATGGATGGAGGGAGATAAGGTCTCAAGGGAGAAAGCTGCAGAAATTTAGAAAGCATATCCCTCAGTTCCAAATTAAAAATAATAATGAATAGTAAATATGTTGTATTACTATATTTATAAATTTAGAAAACACAGATGAAGACAAGAAATAAAATCAAAAGTACTATATTTTTACTATCCAGAGAACACTCTATTAATGTCAATGTATATGTTTCCAGTCTTTATGTATGCATACATACCCATCCATAATATTTCTTGAGAAAATCAAAGCATACCATCCCTTTATTTCTGCATGATACAACATGAATACTTCACATTTTACTGCTTCTCTCTCCTCACTTCACAAAAGGAAGTTTCTATTCAAAAAATCGTTCAGTCTCCTTTGCTGATTATTCCTTACCATTGAACCTTGGAATTCCCTGGGGCACAATCTCTGGCACTAGTTTCTTTTCTCTTTTCACTTCCTCAGTGATTTAATCCAGTTTCACGGCTTACAAAAAGGACTTCTGTATACTCACACCTTCCTCATTTTATCTCCTGTTCAGACCTCTCTTCAGAATTCAGCCCCTTACATCCGCCTGCTCATTCAATGATCTCTTCTTGAGTTTCTAGTATGTGCAACTTGATATATCAAAATTGAACTTATGTTGTTTTGTTGTTTCTATCCATGTCTTTGCCGCAGCATTCTCCACCACAGCCGATGCGACTCCATCCTTTTTGTGTTCGGGCTGAAAATCTTGGCGTCCTCATTGATTTTTCTCTTTCTCCAACATCCCAAGTCAGCTCTAATAGCCAATTTGTTCACTCTACCTTCAAAATATATTCAGAATCCCAGCAGTTCTCACCACTTGTGCTTACCGTATCTCCAATCCAACCACTATCATCTCTCTCACCTAAGTTAGTGCAAATTTCCTAATTGCTCCTCATTTTCTGCCTTCGTGCCCTTATTCTTGTTAAAATTTTAGGTAGAATGTGTTCCTCCTCTGTTGGAATCCTCTCAGAAAAACGTTCTCATGAAATGTTAAAGCCAAAGCCTTTTAAAGTCCAAACAGGCTCAACATCACCACATTACCTCTTGTTCTCCATGTCTTCCTTTCTCTGCATTTTAACTTTTCTACAGCCTCAAGAGCCTGTTTGCTACTCCTCAGCACACTAAACATTAAATCTGTCTTAGGGGCTTTGTATTTGTTTTATCCTTTACCTGGAATGTTGTTTTTCTAGAGATCTGTATGACTCTGTATTCCTTTAATTCTTTAATCCTTTCAATTCTTTTAGCTATTTACTCAAATGTTATTTTTTCAGTTTATGTTCCTTTGGCCACATTACTCAAACTTTCCTATATCTCTGGCACTTTCTATACTGCTTCACTGCATTTTGTTTTTTTGCTTGTAGACACTCACCACCATGTAGCACACAATATTTTACATATTTATTTTGTTTCTTGTCTGGCAAACCCTCTTCGAGTATAGGCTCCATAATGATGTGACTTTATATCTATTTTGTCCATAACTGGATCCTTGGGGCATAGAAGGGTGTGTTATTCAACAAACATTTATAGAAAACACATGAGTGATGCTGATAGATTTGATGTATTCCTTTCAGGTCTATTTGGAATTTATACTCTATGAATTTCTTGTATTTTGATTGCACATAAGATGACTTTCTATTTAGCCTTACAATAATCTGAGTAATAGCACAGTTCTTTCGCATTCCTATGTCATATTTTTTTAAAGTATATTCCAGGTATCTAAGTTCATAGCTAATTATGAAGCATAATCTGATGAGCCATAATTTGGGGTGGATATCCAGGCAATGTAAATACACTTGTACTAGATAACCTACACACTGTACCTTCTGTGTCTCTATGAGCTGAATCATCTTTTCCCTGGAATGCTCTTTACTGTATAGTTTGAAAGGCGACTCCTGTAAGATTCTATATCTCTTGGATGTTCAAATTGTGTCTGGGTGGCCCTTCTTGTTTTCATGGACATTAGCAGTATCTTTCATTTTTTTTGGTAGGAAGGGGCTGTGAGGCAGCAAGGAATAGTTAAAACAATGTGTTATAAAGTCAACAGGCATAGACATAAATTCTAGCTCCATTATTTTCTAAGTGATCAGCTAGTTTTTAACTTATCAAAACCCATTACATCATTTGTAAAATGAAGGTAATAAAATAATACAGTTCAAACATCCCAAATTCAAAAATTAAAAATCTGAAATGCTCCAAAATTGCAGCATATTTGAGTACCCATTTGACACTCAAAGGAAATTCTTATTGGAATATTTCCAATTTCACATTTTAGGATTTGGAACGCTCAAGAAGTAAGTAAGTATAATGTAACTTTTCCAAAATCTGAAAGATTCTGAATCTGAATTTTGGTCCTAAGCATTTTGTGTAGGGATTGTTCAACCTGTACCTATATTTTAGGGTTGTTATAAGGATTCTTGGTATACATATGCCACACATACGGACACACTCAAAGACATAGCCATTGTGTCAGAAATCTTCAGTGTATAGAATGTACATGGAATATAGTATCTTCCATGGGAATCAGATACGTTTTTCTCCGAAATATATAAGCCTTGCATATGTCTTTAAAAATAAAGTACCTAAAACATTCCTTTTTGCCCTCTATGACATCATTTACTCTCACTTTATCTTCTTACTTTTTGGGTTGACTCCTTTTCATAGCTGGCTTTTCCCAAATCTGGCCCCTCAGCAGAGCTTATTTTTTAGCTGCACCTTTGCAATATTTATACTTCCTCTCCAGGCGATTTCATGCATTCTAAATATTTTATATATTGATGATCCTCAATTTGCATGTCTAAACCAAAACTCTCCCCTGAGTCCAACCTTACATATTCACTTTCCTGTTTGACATCTTTACCTGGATGCCTCCAAGGCATCT
The DNA here is from genome assembly GCF_000001405.40 of Homo sapiens. Lineage (NCBI taxonomy): Eukaryota > Metazoa > Chordata > Mammalia > Primates > Hominidae > Homo > Homo sapiens. The sequence continues at coordinate 36,535 of NW_019805495.1, forward strand.
CAAATTTTGCATTTTCAAAAGAAGATCATTAATTTTCTTCTGCCCCTCACGTGTTTATGTGCTAGTCTATCCTATCTGTATTAATGCTGTCAAAATGCACTAGGCTCTCAAACTAGAAGCTAGGAGTAGACCCTGATTCCTCTCTCTACCTTACTACTCACATCTAGTCTATCAGCAAGTACAGTTGATTCAACTTGGAAAATATATCTGACTGTGACCACTTTTCTCCATATCTACTGTCACCAGTCATAGAGAAGTCACCATCATTTCTTGCTAGATTTTTACAGGTTTCTTTATAAGATTTCTTCAATTGATTATCCAGGAAAATGAGCAGCCAGAATAATCCTTTCTAAGATTGAATTGTTTCAGTCATTTGCTTAAATCTCCTCAATGGCTTTCTGTTGTAATTAACATTATTATTATTATTTTTTTTCTTGAGACGGAGTCTCACTCTCTCACCCAGGCTGGAGTGCAGTGGCACAATCTTGGCTCACTGCATCCTCCTCCTCCCAGGTTCAAGTGATTCTCCTGCCTCAGCCTCCTGAGTAGCTGGGATTATAGGCGTGCACCACAACATCCAGCTAATTTTTCTGTTTTTGGTAGAGACGGGGTTTCACCATGTTGTTCAGGCTGGTCTTGAAAGCCTGACCTCAAGTGAACTGCCCGCCTCGGCCTCCCAAAGTGCTGGGATTACAGGCGTGAGCCACCGCGCCTGGCCAACATTAAAATATTTTTATAAGAGCCTACAATGTCCTACATGGCCTGGACCTTTATTGCCTTTCCATCTTCATCTTGTATCATCATGCCTCCCATGTTCTTCATGTTGTAGACATATTTTTTATGTGACTGCCTTTTTTTCATTCTTCTGTATATTTTTCTTTTTCTTTTTTTTGAGACGGAGTCTTTCTCTGCCGCCCAGGCTGGAGTGCAGTGGCACGATCTCTGCTCACTGCAAGCTCCGCCTCTCGGGTTCACGCCATTCTCCTGCTTCAGCCTCCCGAGTAGCTGGGACTATCTTTTCTTTTTTTAACTTTAATTTTAAGTCTTTAAAATTAAAAATTCAGGGGCACATGTGCAGGTTTGTTACATAAACTTGTGTCATGGGAATTTGTTGTACGTATTATTTCATCACCCATGTATGAAATCAAGTATCCACCAGTTATTTTTCCTGATCCTCTGTCTCCTCCCACCCTCCAGTAGGCCCCAGAGTATGTCGTTCCCCACTATGTATACATGTGTTCTCATCATTCACCTCTGATTTACATGTGAGAACGTGCAGTATTTGGTTTTCTGTCCCTGTGTTAACTTGCTAAGGTTAATGGCCTCCAGCTCCATCCATGCCCATGCAGAAGACATGATCTCATTTTTTATGGCTGTATAGTATTCCATGGTGTATATGTACCACATTTTCTTTATCCAGTCTATCACTGATGGGCATTTAGGTTGATTTTATGTTTTTGCTATTGTGAGTAATGTTGCAATGAACATATGTGTGCATGTGTCTTTATAATGGAATGATTTGTATTCCTTTGGGTATATAGCCAGTAATGGGATTGCAGGGTTGAATAGAATTTCTCCAGTGGGAGTATAAATTAGTTCAATCATTGTGGAAGTCAGCGTGGTGATTCCTCAAAGACCTAAAGACAGAAATACCATTTGATCTTTATTTTTCTTTGTATTCACCATGTTTCAGCTAAAGTTACCCTTTAGAATACCAATATGTAAGGCCCACAAGTATAGGGAGCTTGTATATTTTGCTCATGCTTGAATATTCAATGCCCAGGACAGAATTATAGCATATACATACCATAAATATTTGTTAAGTGAGTTAATGAATAGATGGGGCATGTTAGGTGCTCAATGAAAGATCATAATGATACTTACCAATGTATATTATTACAGTTCTTTGATACATTAGTCTCTTTCACTGAATAGTTAATAATTTTTTGTTAAATAAGTAACAAACTTCGCATAACTTCAAAAGGCAATATCTTAGTGTTTTAATATGTATACTGTATCTCAATATGTAGAGGTTTCATAGAACAACTTAAATGAATAAAATGAATGGGATTGATATTTCAGCCACACGAGCCTGACAGGACACCAGGTCTCTCATATCACTTTGATATTCTTACATAAAAAATGAGTCGTGTTTTGTTATTTGTTCACCCGCTAACATTCTTATTTAATAAGAAATTGTGCTTTCTTTAACTTTAGATATTTCTTTTTGTCTGCAGCAGAATTCACATGACCATGAGAATAATTATTTTAGGTCTTGGGTCTAAGGAAAGTGAAAGAAAGATTTGGTAATATTCAAATGACTTGCCAATGAAAAATCTAACAGTCTTCATTTCTTCCTCTGTATCTACAATGCCAACTTTCGTACCAAAACTAGTTTTTTCTATATATTCACAAATGTCCAGTTATTCTGGAACATCTGGTTATTTGATGAAATATTAAAAAGTTTAGCTTTTGTCACTGTACATAGGAAGACTTTCTCTGTTGCCATAGGAAACAGTAGAAGGAAATAGTGAAAATGATGGTAGGAGTGATTAGATACATGATTCAAGTTACATTCATTTTGTGTCTGGACTTAACTTTTTGTAGATTTGATGACCTTTGAAACCATTAGTATTCTTGTAAAAGTGCGATATTTACATACATTCCTGAAGAAACATCACCTGTTTTTGAAAGTCGGTGCTTAGAAAGTTAGTCACTTTAAAATAATTTGAGATCCTTGGCTGGCAGAGTTGATAACAAAATAAGTCTCTTACACAATTCCCCTAAGTGATCAAATCACTAATTTGTCCGTTCTCTTTTACAAATTATGCTAGAATTTGCCATGGAAAATTTGGGACAACATTTCTTTCTTCCCAGGAATTTAAATTGAAATAGATGATGACATTCATAGCTATACTAAATTTCTACCTGGCAGAATAGTTCCAAACATACATCCTTTTAGCCTTTGAGCCTTAGTGATGTGGAATTTTTTTCTGGATCAGGGCTAGAGGACTGATTACTGTGAATTGTATTGCAAGACTCTGTACAGTTTATTTAACATGAAACACCCACCTTTCTTCATTTGTTTTTGTTATGTCATCCACATTAATTAGACAATACTTATTTATTCCTGAGAAGATTATTCAACTTGCTTGACATTGTATTTGGAGAGAGGATATGTGGGGTATTTTTGAAAAGATAATTTTATTTTTGTAATTGCATAATTAATTACATGCTCAAGGCTAAAGATTTCAAAAGGAAAGCCTAATGAAAATTTAACAACAGTTATCCACACTTTCATTACCAAGAGATCACCAATGTTTAATATTCTGGGGTGCATACTTCTTGAAGTTTTCTGTTCATGGCGTAGTTTTGCTTCTAGGATGCTCTGTCATCTCTGCCTGAGAGTACAATACAGTTCTGCCCGCCACACACAAGATTTGGTTTTATGTAGTGCAGGTGAACAAAAAAATACTATTAATCTAAGCAAGGCAGGGTCAAGAAGCTACATCAGCTGCTTCATCAAATCACAAAGGAAGCAGACAAAGGAAAGTCAGAAACGTTTTTGAATTATTTTTTCTTTGTTATCTGCATCATCAAAATGTTTTCTCTGCTATAATGGATTATAGAACTTCCCCAAACTAGTTGCATTTATGTTTGTTAAAGACCCATGTTATTTTTTTTTTCAGGTTTAGAAGATCATGACCACATGGATCATCTAACTAAATGGTACATGGGGACACAATGGTCCTTTAGAGAATACATCTGAATTGCTGGCTAATTTCTTGATTTGCCACTCAACGCAGGACATCGCTTGTTCGTAGCTATCAGAACCCTCCTGAATTTTCCCCACCATGCTATCTTTATTAGCTGGAACTCCTGTCCTAAAACGGTCCTTCTGTTGATCCTGTCAGTCTTACTTTTGAAAGAAGATGTCCGTGGGAGTGCACAGTCCAGTGAGAGGAGGGTGGTGGCTCACATGCTGGGTGACATCATTATTGGAGCTCTCTTTTCTGTTCATCACCAGCCTACTGTGGACGAAGTTCATGAGAGGAAGTGTGGGGCAGTCCGTGAACAGTATGGCATTCAGAGAGTGGAGGCCATGCTGCATACCCTGGAAAGGATCAATTCAGACCCCACACTCTTGCCCAACATCACACTGGGCTGTGAGATAAGGGATTCCTGCTGGCATTCGGCTGTGGCCCTAGAGCAGAGCATTGAGTTCATAAGAGATTCCCTCATTTCTTCGGAAGAGGAAGAGGGCTTGGTGTGCTCTGTGGATGGCTCCTCCTCTTCCTTCTGCTCCAAGAAGCCCATAGTAGGGGTCATTGGGCCTGGTTCCAGTTCTGTAGCCATTCAGGTCCAGAATTTGCTCCAGCTTTTCAACATACCTCAGATTGCTTACTCAGCAACCATCATGGATCTGAGTGACAAGACTCTGTTCAAATATTTCATGAGGGTTGTGCCTTCAGATGCTCAGCAGGCAAGGTCCATGGTGGACATAGTGAAGAGGTACAACTGGACCTATGTATCAGCCGTACACACAGAAGGTGAGTTTCCCTTGCATACATCGAGTATATATTATTATGCACTCAACAGTTAAAATTTCAGGTTTGGGAAGAGTAAACTTTTCCTAATTATTTTGGATACTTTGAATTGTCCCAGTTATACCAGTACTATAAGAACAGACTGGATGGCATATATCTAGAGAGACATAGACTTAAACTACAGAAGGGTGTATGTGGCCAATATTTGGTGAAATATAATTTTGTTTTAATTGTGAATTACATTATTTACTTCTGCTATACTGATGCTATATTATACTTCTGCTATAATGATTTTTTATATTCATTACTAGAGGTTTTTAAGTCTCTGTATCTTCATTGAACACCTCACATTTTTGTCATTTCACGATTGTTCTAGGTGCCTATTGTTTCTAATAGTGAAAGCAAAGTACACATAAATACATAGGACTGAAGGTAGTAGCCAGTTCTAACCCAGGTGTGTTGTTATAGAGAATTACCAAAAAGTTTAGTCTTACAGCTATTTTTTCAGAAGAATTCATGGTCAAATCCAAAATGGAGATAAGAATAAATTAATTTTATCCTTGTACAGAACATATTTGAGAAGTATAATTTTAAATAATTCAACGTTTGCTTTAAAATTTATTGCTTCTTTGTGCTCCAAGAGTAGTGAGGAAAGAAAAATCTGACTGATGTTTTATAGTAGTGAATAATAAGTAGCCCTTTGTTTTTTATGGTGTTTTAAAAATCATTAGTTCTTGACCATGGCTGTTTGGAAAAAATTTGTTTTGACCTACAGAGGTTGTGACCCAAATGGGCAGACTCACTTGTTATGCAGCTCTTCTTCTAGAAAAACAAAATGTGTATATTAAACACTATAGAATACTGAAGAAGATACAAAATACTTTTTATAAATCATCAGATTATTGTATTTGTGGAGATTCTTAAAATTCTGCATTAACATATCAATATAGTCCAAATATTTTGGTCTGGTAAAATGTGGAATTAAGTTACTAACCCCACTTCAGAGGTTAGGAATATATTTATGCAACACATATTATGCACAAATACATACGCAAGGCTCTCTGACCGTCCTGTGAATGATAGCCCTTTGTTTTCTATATCACAGACTTCAGTGGGATTGCAATCTGGCAAAGGAGATGAGGCATGCACAAATACCTATATAATCATAATTCAAAATGACACAATGTTACAAATCTGACTCTAAAGGAAATTGATGGAGAAAAAAATCACCTCCTCCTCTGTGTTTACGGGGATCATGGTGGGAATCTTACAGAAGGAAATGGAATTTGACAATTGAAATTTAACAATAAAAATACTGACGGTGAAAATTAGCAGGGATGGCTTTCAGTGAAAAGCATAAGAAAATATGACTAGGTGAGAAAGTAAAAATGTGTCTGAAAAGGCCAATTATAAAGGTATGTTTTGGTTTGCTTCAAATAAATCATGCATTTTATCAGGGACTCCCTTCTAGCTTCAGAAGATCAGGGCTTGGTCACGGTGTGGCAAATGCTAAATCAATTGTGCCCCAAGGGAAACTCTTAGTGACGACCTTTGGCTTTTACTACTTTAAACTGTTGTTTTATCCTGAATTTACCCCAATAGCAATCTAATAACCTCATAAAATAAGTTATGATGCATTCAAACAATGCATTATCATTTAGCTATTAAAATAAATGAGACATTCTATTAGGTAATGATTACAATTTCCAAGATCATCTTAGGTGAAAAAAACAAGGGGCATTTCCGTATATATAACATTTTATTTTTTCTAAAAGGCGTTTTTATACAAACAATTTGATTGGATATTCATAGAATTGTTCTCAGAGAAGAGCAAAACTACTAAAAGTTGCTGCTTCTGAGAAGAAATCTAAGTTAAGAAATGAGGTGGAATATTTTATGCATAATTTTTATATACATACACTTTAAGCTCTATATTAAATACATAATTTACCTACTGAAATATAACAATTACATGAAAACATTCTATTTGTGGGCAAACAAAAGACAATAGAAATTGCAATGCCAAATTCAGGCAAAATATTTAGGTTGTACCACCAGGATTCAGGAGAGAACAAACCTTGGAATTGGACATTCAAAAGTTGGAAGAAATACTCCTTTGCTTACTGTTTATGTGGTTGTGTCAAGAAATATTTATCTTGCTTTGATCCCAAGCAAGTAGGTGGATAACGAGGTTATGTAGTGTTAAGTCTTATGATTTATCAGTACAAGAATGGCATTGTAGGAATTTTCACAAGGTGAAACTCACCTCCAGGATCAGAAAAGTGAGAGTCAAACAGGATACAGCTTTGTTGGGTACTGTGGGAACTCTCTAAGGTCATGCTTTTTTTTTTTTTTTCCGCTTGGTTTTTCAGAAAGTCTTGGTGGGATCTTCCATGAAATGATAGTGTCTGTTATCATCCAGTCTCTTTCTCTCACTGGCTTGAGGTGATTTTCTCTAGCATTAGGAGAATTAATCCCAGTACTTGATAATTTATCTTCATATTCTTATAATTATTCTCCTTTGTTCCATCAATATTCTCTTTCTTGAAGAGTATGGAAATTTCCAAATGCTTTCACATGAACCATCAAGGTCTGTGGTCCTATTTTCAAAAAAACGTTTTTTCTCCTAATTGCCTATGTATTTTATACTTAAACCTAACCACACTGTGTCACGGGTACCACAAGATGTTCCTTCAAGAAAGCGTATGTCATCACAGAATTCCAGAGGAGTGTACAAGGAAAACTGGGTTTCAGCTTCGATGTTAATCTCTTACACTTGCTATTTCCTGTGATTTATGGCTTTAGCAGTCTGTGTGACTGGGTATTTACTGTGGCTTGTTCTATTACACAGAAATTATGCCTAGAACTTGTAGCCAAAGAGATTCATAGTATAAAACAGAAGAAGAAAAAAAAAAGAAAGCATTTTTTAAAGAGCAGATCAAACTAGCTCTTCAACTGGGTAGAGGAAAGGAATATGCAATGACTCAGAAGAAAAGTAAAATCACTTCTTTTAATGGAGTCAGAACTCTCTCTGCACTAAGGAAATGTAAAGGGTCCTTTGCCTTAGTACTTTTGCAAACCTTGATACATGTGCCCACGATGACACAGGATTGATGGTGTTTGCCCATTTAGCAATGTGGCAGATTGCATTGATGACTTCTACTACTGGCGCCTCTGTATTCACATCATTTGCTTTTGACTTGATAATTCCCTTTTACTTTCATGTAGCACTGGCCTTCTGACACTTTGACCAATAGCACTTGGTTGATGTGAGAACTTTCTTCCTAGTTTGTGTTGGAACCCTATTGTTATCCTGTGAAGTATGAGAGCACCCAGGTTTTCCAAATGAGTGCATCTTAGACCAGTTGACCTCAAACATGTGAGAGCGTGCAATGCAGATCAACAAAATTGCCTTTCCAACCCACAGCTAATTGCAATCACATAATTGAGCCCAGCTGAAACCCTCAACATTACCCAGCTGACTATTATTGTGAGCAATTAAAAATGCCATCAGGATGGAGTCCAGTATAAACATACTCATCCCTCTCACTTTAGTCTCTAACTTCCCTCCTCCCAAATAAGATACTACTGCTTAAACTTCAAAAGCAAAAAAATAAATTAACATGCATTAATATTCTTGAAATTTGAATATGAAATAAAATAGAATATATACTGTGGACAAGAAGAAATATTTAAAATGCTTTGCCTATGCTTCTGTGGCTAGAGATGTGATAGTTCCCTTAAAGTCTGAATGTTTCAAATAGTTAAGCACTTGAATATATTTCATTATTATATTCTTTACCTTGATCTAGTTCAACTTCATTGAGAAAAGTAATTATTGCATTGTGTTTTATACAAAAAAAATTTTATATTGTACTTTCTGGGTGATTGACAAGATTTCACACTTCACTAGTTTTCCTGACTTTAGTTGAAAATCTACAGTATATCCACAGGGCCTATTAGAGTGCCCATCATATAGTATGTGCTCAAAGACTATTTGCTGAATAGAGGAATTTGTGTTAGTAAAGTAGGTAGCTCACTATTTATGACTATAGTATGTGGATAAATAGCAGGCACTTGTAAGTTTTCAGTTTTGCTTCTTTATAAAAATGAGGTGTCAAAATGACTCCCTTGATTAATTGTAAAATCCTGTTCATGCTACACTTCATTTTTTGTTTTCACTGTTTCTTGAATTTATTATTTCTGTCTAATGACAGGAATGTTAATTTGTTACAGCAAAAAACAAATCAGTGATGTTCTGAGGAGAAAAATGTACCAATAAATTGTACTGGTAGCATACATTATTAAAAATATGGTCTTCAGGTTAACCTAGAGATTGCAATTTCAGGTTATAATATGACTTCCCATCAGTTATTTACTTAAAAATGTGATAACAATCCAGCTTTGATTGAAGGACCTTCAGTATGATTCATAGTCTATATGCTTGTATGACTTCTAAAAAGTGCACTTTTACCATCTCAGCATTTCTACTAATTATCATTATACAAGACAATTTAGCTTGGAAAAATAATAGTCTATATGCTTGTATGACTTCTAAAAAGTACACTTTTACCATCTCAGCATTTCTACTAATTATCATTATACAAGACAATTTAGCTTGGAAAAATAATAAATGGCACTGTGGAAGCTACTGAATAATTTTTAAAAGGACTTTATTTTGTTTCCCCAGGAATTGAATAGTGCTGAGAGTTAAAACAAATTTTGGGATGATCATGGTAATAATAAAGACACATAAAGTACTATTCCTTCCATAGAATGTGAACACTGTGTCTCAGGCCAGCATTTAATCTTCTGTATTTTACGGTTAAGGAAACTAAAATAGAAAGGTCACATAACTCTACCTTGCTTGTCAGATAATTAGTTGCAGAGTTGTGTCTTGGAACTCAAGATTTCTGTCCAGAACTTGGTTTCCAAAACATTGCTGGAGATTATTAGTCAGATTCCTTTTTGCCATTTTTCTACCCCTCCATTGCATTGTTTTATTCGCTCTCCCTTTATCTCAATGGCACCAATATTTCTAAACAATTGGCTGAAAGTGTTAATAACTATCTGAAATAGTAGAAGGGACCACAAATGAAATAATTCATCTAAAAATTAGCCTAGACAGGAGAATTGCTTGAACCTGGGAGGTGGAGGTTGCAGTGAGCCAAGATCACGCCATTGCACTCCAGCCTGGGTGACAAAAGCAAAACTGTCTCGAAAAATAAAAATAAAAATTAGCCTTGAGAAATAGCATGATCAATTTGCTCTTGATCTGTAAATTAGATGAAGTGCTCCTTTTCCTGGGTCATATCAAAGGTTTGCGGAAGCTCTGAAAGATTTTCCTTTGCTCCACAAAAATTCTGAAAACATGAGATCCCCAGAAATCTTTGAAATTATGGATTGATTGTATAATTATATTAGTTACCACTGACTTAACAATATATACAATTTAGAAGATGCAGAAACTTTTAGGGGAATTCTTTAGTAAGTTGGATCATGGATCCGTAATCTGGGAAACACAGTGGGCAACTCTAATTGTAAAGAAACAGTTTTTCATATTCATATATCACTGTCAGAAACTTCATTGCTAACAGTGAAAAAAATACAGATAGCTCTGGAAGGAGTGTTTAGAGGGGCATTCCCTCCTCTTCCCTTTCCAGAAGGAACAGCCTATGGACTCAGTAAATAATTTCTAAGAGAGTTATTATTGCCTCTTTCAGAGAAAAATATAGAGCTTGCTGACATATCCACATGTGGTTTGGGCAGTGTTTCTTCTATATTCAGATTCATTTCTGATGATACAATTTCTGGCTTAGACTCTGGCTCACCTATAAGAGACTAATGCCTGGGATAGCATCCCACCTTCCTCTCTCTTAGGCACCATTGCTGTCATCAATTGCTGAAAATACTAGAAAACGCCCACAAATACTCCATGTCCAGGATGACTAAGCTGAGTTAAAAGGAATTTTGTTTTCAGCGGATTTCACTGCACTGCTCCCCCATAATGCACAAATATCTCTGGTGATGTGCAATTGTGGACACTTCCACAGTTCTAAATAATCAGATGCTTACCTAAATGTGAAGATCATCTCTTAGGATGTAGCCTATCAGGTATTCAGTATTTACCCTTCTTATGGATGGCAGCCGCACACATGCATGTTTTCCCTTGGTCACTCTTATTCCAGATGTCATTAAAACCTTTTAGCTTCTAGGTTTATAGTGTTCAGCCACTTCTGTTGAAGTTGCTTCTGCATAAGGAACCCTGGGGAATGAGAGGGCATGCTGTGAGATGTTTATGTTCCAATGTACAGCTTGAAACACATAAAACACAGAATGAAAAGCAAATTATGCACAGTAAATTCTGCCCAACATAAACTAAGCAAGCATATAAGAGAAAGCAAGAATAGAGATCCTCAAAACTCTCGAGGGAGTATCTTGAGAATTTTTTTTCTTCCTTCCCTCCTCCTTTTCTTCCATCCTCCTTCTCTTTCCTTCCTTCCTTCCTTTATAACTTCTTACCTTCCTATCCTCCTTCCCTTTTCTTTGTCTCTCTCCCTTTCTCTCTCTCTTTTTTTATTCTTTGAGACAGGGTCTCTCTCTATTGCCCAGGCTGAAGAAGAGTGGCATGGTCATAGATCACTGCAGTCTCAAACTCTTTGTCTCAAATGATCCTCCTGGTTCAGCCTCCCAAGTATCTGGGACTACAAGCACATGTGACCACGTGTGAATAATTTTTATTTTTTAATTTTTTGTAGAGATGAGGCCTTATTGTGTTTCTCAGGCTGGTCTCAAACTCCCACCTGCCTTGGCCTCCTGAAGTGCTGGAATTACAGGTGTGAGCTACCACAATCGACATTGTCTTTCTTTCTTATTTATCATTTTTCCTCATCTCTTTTTAACTGGAAGTGTTTTTGTTTTGTTTTGTTTTGTTTTTGTTTTTGCAGGCTCTTCTGTCAGTCTCGTCATTATCCTGTTAATTTGATAGTGAACAGATAAAATATGAAGATTACATTAATACTATCTTGGAGTTGGAAAAATAAGTTAAAATGACTAACTGTGCTAAAAGTAAGATAACTGACATGAGAACTAAGGATTTTACTCTGTGACTCCAAGAAAGTCACTTCAACTCCTTGCATCTTTTTTTTTTATATACAAACAGGCACTGCAAATAATGTTCATACAGATTTCTTCCAAGACTAAGTTTCTGTGACTTGCTATGATCAAACTTCTGCAGACTACAGCTGGGCTACATTAAATGTTGGACATAGGGTGGGCAACATAATAAGGCTCTGTCTCTACAAAAAGTAAAAAAAAAAAAAAAAAAAAAAAGAAAAAGAAAAATTAGCTAGACATGGTGGTGTGCACCCAGCTCCTTGGGAGACTGTGGCAGAGGATCACTTGAGGACAAGAGGTTGAGGCTGAAGTGAGCGAAGTTTGCACCACTGCACTCAGCCTGGGTGACAGGGCAAGACCAATATCAAATGCAGCCAAGCAGGGCCTGTTCAAAGGAGAGTAGCCCAAATGGTTATGCAATTTGAAATCATATCCTCAGAGAATAAATTTAGTAGAGAGAAGACAAGACACAGCAGGGCCCTGACTGCTACCTTTAGGTATCTGATATATTTACATATTTTGTTTATTTAGATATTTGTAAATTCAGGTGGAAAAGAGCTAGGTTCACTCTGTATGGCCAGCAGTTGGCAGAGACAGCTAATTACTAAAATACAAGAGTAACAAAGTATGGTTTAATTAAAAAAATTTTTTTGTTGTTTATTAGCAGAACTGTTCAATAAAGGAATTGCCTCTCTTAGGAGGTAGTGAGTTAGTTCTCTGTAACTCCTTGTGCACAAACCTGGAATGGACAATCACTTGGAGGACTCTGGAAAAATGGACTTAAACCTCAGTTGAGGAAAGAACGATGTTGGACTATTTGTTCTTCTGATAATTCCCAATGTTGACAATCAGTTGCCATTGGGATCTTACTACTTTGTGAGTTGAAACATAATCACTTTATATATATATATATTTTTTTATTTTGAAATGGAGTCTCAATTTGTCACCCAGGCTGGAGTGCAGTGGTGCGATCTTGGCTCACTGCAACCTCCACCTCCCAGGTTCAAGCAATTCTCCTGCCTGAGTCTCCCAAGTAGCTGGGATTACAGGTGCGTGCCACCATGCCCAGCTAATTTTTTTGTATTTTCAGTAGAGAGGGGGTTTCACCATGTTAGTCAGGGTGTTCTTGATCTCCTGACCTCATGATCTGCCTGCCTTGGACTTCCAAAGTGCTGGGATTACAGACGTGAGCCACTGCACCCGGCCACATATAATATATTTTAAATTTGGTTAGTTTGTTTATTTCATAACACAGTCTGATAAAGTAACCATTTTAGTAGAATGGACAAGGAAAGAGTGATTTTTTTTCTGCAGCTAAAGTTAGTGGCAGAGTAAGGATTTAGATCCAAAGCCAACTCCTTTGAAACAAATCTAAATCTCATTCCTTTACATTGGAGTAGGTGTGGCTCCAAGGAAAAGTAGAATGGACATCACCTGGTTCTTTTTCCTTCCCTGGGAAACAAAAAACCCTATTTGTTTCTCCACTGAGAGTATCTTTTGAGCATATTTTTGTGTCTTTTCATCTAGCTTTGAAAGCAGCACCTTTCCTTGTTCCCATGGAATGGGTTAATTATAGTGAAAAGAAAACAAATTAAGGAGGGGGCCTGTGGTAACAAGTTGACCTCAACGAAGACCTCTTCGTGAGTCTGATGAAAAGCACAGACTGTGCTTGGTTGTTTCTATTTACATCTCCATCACAGGCTCCACACTCTGTCCTTCAGATGCCAATAATAGCAGGAAGCAATATGGTACAGAATTTTTTAAGAGCTGGAGGATATATTGTTAAATAATGTAGCCTTATATATGAAAGGCAATTCTTTGGAATTCATCAGGGTTGTGGGTTATGAAATCTCATTTTGGCACATTTGCAAATACTCCAGAAAGATTTATCAAACATTCACATGTTGAATTGAGGAGATGTTTTGGCAAGAGGTGTAATAGTCAAATACATTTATTTTAGGGGACTTTGTAAAGTGACTGCAGCCCAATGTTACATTTACACATTGATTTTCACACACACACACACACACACACACACAATGAGATTCTAAAGAAAGAGATTATCTAGTCCGTGTTTTTCTTTTTTTTTAAATAGTGGATAACTCATAAGTTATTTGTAAAACCAATTTAGAGGGTTGAAATCAGAATTTAATAGAGAATACATTAAAATAGACTAGAGTAAAATGTAAATATCAACATGTATTACATCATAGGTTAGATATTTTGTAAATTTCACTTTAGTTACACATAGCCATAAATAGCCTGTGGGTTATCATTTAAAATATATTTCTTCTGTGTCTTGCAGCTAAAAAATTAAAAGTTTAAAAGTGACTTACTCTACTTCTCTTTTTCACTTTGTTCCTAAATACTTTTCTAGAGAAATGTAACCAATACACATGAATTTATTCTTCTGTGACAATGTCATTTAATTTATATTTTCTGGAGTGATGGGTTTATGTCTTATTTAAAACAAGCAAAAATTTCAAGGCACCCATGGTAGGAAATGATAGAAGCATCGAACAACTATCTCTTAGGGCAGGTATTTTTATCTCAATTTGATAATAAGGAAATTAAATTTTCTTGTCCAAAGTCCCTCAACTAGCAAGACTATTAATCAGTATTTGTACTCAAATTTGCCTGGGTTCATCCTACTACTTAAATGAGAATTATTTCAAAGGGTCAAAAATCAGATTCCAAAGATATATTTGCAACAAACTGTGAATTTAAGTTATTGCACTGTAGGTTACTCATTGAACAATTATACCAATTATGTAAATAATTGGTATAATTTTGGTAAATGGTATACGCATCAGGATAGGACAATGGAGTGGATACTAGACAAGGAGGTCAGGGGAGTTTCTAGTCCTAGTTTTTATCAGTGATAAAGACAGCCTGGGAGCATTTTAATTTTTAATATCCCAATATAGTACACTAAGAAATAAATGCCAAAAATATTATTATTTTGACATTAAACATTTACATTTAACAAATTAACATTTCTAACTCCCCCCCCACACATACACAGAGACATACAGGTACAAGCACATAAAATATAAGGCATTTGTGCCATTTACAAGATAACTTTTTGGCTATATAAACAAGTCATAGTACACCACATGTGCACTATGTGTAATAAGCCACAAGTTTAAATATATAAAGTGGCAATCTTCCACTATTCTCTGAGTGTCCCAAAAATTATATGAATAATTTCATTTGATATATAGTCAAGTCTAAAATTTAGACTTCTTTTGAGAATGAGAAGCTTGGGCCAAATACTATGGGTAAAATATATTATGGTAATGTATGAGAGTGTGCTTTTAAAAGTATTATAAAAGTAGTTTAATGAAATAAGTAACCTACAGTGCAATAACTTAAATTCACAGTTTGTTGCAAAAATATCTTTGGAATCTGTTTTTTGACCCTTTGAAATAGTTCTCATTTAAGTAGTAGGATGAACCCAGGCAAATTTGAGTACAAATACTGATTAATAGTCTTGCTAGTTGAGGGACTTTGGACAAGTACATTTAATTTCCTCATTATCAAATTGAGATAAAAATACCTCCCCTATAAGTTTGTTTTGAAAACTAAATATAAAGCACTTAGTATCAAGCTTGGCACATAGAAAACATTCAGTAAGTATCTTCTAAATTTTCCTGCCAAGAACCTGTCTTGCCTTATCTTGGCCTTGAAGAAAAAAAACGTAAATGATGTTTCAATTAATTGTTGCCCAGTCATAATTGACAACATAATGGAGTGGAGAATTGGTCAGGAAAGTTACCAATATATGTAGTGAGTTTTAGACTCTTACTAATTTTCACTTTAGAAGATAAGTTTGCAATTGCACGAAAAAGGTAGGGTGCTTATTGCTTTGGCATAAGTACAAATACACCCCACACTTTCCTCCTCCAATTGGTGATGTATGTTGAGAGGCATTATGCTGTGGTAAGATGAGCAAGGCCTGGACAGTTCCAGAGCTGTGAACATGGTTATCTTTGATGTGCGTGGGTGTAGGAGATGAAACTACAGGGGATTAAAGATGGAAACTTAATGCTATACTTCAAGTACTTTTGAATTCCTTTTTACATTTTCAACAAGCATAAGCAAATTTTATAGTGAAAAAAAATAAGTGCAAGCAGTAGATAGATAACTTCTTTGTAAATTTCAAATTGGACATGCTCATGTGCCTTTACTTGTCCAACTAGAAACTTTGTTAATAGAAGCAAGTTGTAGCACATTGAGATATGCCATGGGCCTGAGGTTAAAACCAAAAGAAATAACATGGACCCTAGGAAATAGGCAGATTACATTTAATTGCTGCATTAGTTTGAAAACTAAATTAAATGCTCTGCCAGATTGTTGTAGTTCCAATAATAACAATGAATATATACCTTATTTATCAAGTGTTTATTTTCAGAAATTGTAAAAGTTCCTTTATTCTATAAAGTGATATCAAGGTAGATTTTTGTGCTGTTATTAATATATTATTAATACTACCTGAAAGTCAGTAGTCTCATTCATAGCTGCAATGAAAAGTAGATAGAATAAAACTAGAATGAAAAGATATTTCTGCATTCCTTTCCTCAAGAACAATAAAAATATAATTATTTGTATTTTTAATGATTTCTTCAGAAACTGTCTTCATATTACTTGGTTATATACCCTCTTTTCAACTGTCATATATTTGACCTTCACTAGATTTGGGTTAGGATTTCAATCCTTGACTTTCCCTAATAAAGTTAGAGCACCATTTTTGTTAATGAAAAATATATTACTGAATTACATATGATAGCATTTTATCCTTTGAGAAGCTGAAAAAATATAAAAGTTAAGTAAGACATACTGAAGTACATGTCAGTTTAATTTCAGTTTTATGGAATTAGTGAACATGTACCCTAGAACTTAAAGTATAATTAAAAAAAGAAAAAAGCTACAAATGATGTTGACAATATGTTTTTATGGAAATGATTTCATAAAACAGGAAATATGTGAAGACAGAGAAATATACTATCTGGCTATATTATTTGTAATGAAATTGAATTTTATTGTTTTCAATTCTCAATGCATTCATTCATTTCTTATAATTTGGATGATTGAGAATAATTGATATGAATTTTTTGCTCAGAGGATACAAAAACATGTAAATAACTATAGATTCCATTATATATTATGTTAAAACTATAGGTTTTATTAAAATACATATGCTAAAAATCAAGCTTACAATATTATACGACTTTGTATTTATATAAAATTGATAACAGCAAAGCCTCTTATACCTAATACATTCCCTCCCCCCCGCCCAAAAAAAAAAAACAGATTTGAGGGCTTGGTAGTACTTTAATTTGACAAGATTTTGAACTTATAAAAATAACCTAAAACTTGTGCTTTGAGAGAAATTTTTGGACAAAATATAATTTTCAATGAAATACAGATATTTGCATTTCAATGCAAATATATAGTCCAGGAAAGCACACCAAATAGAGCTTGAGGTCCACGTGATACTACCACAAACAAATTATTTTATTCATTAGTCTACAAATATTTATTGGGTAGATAGTCTGTACTCAGCTCTGTGGTAGATACTGTGGAAAAAGTGAAATGGAAGCACTTGCTAGCACATGAGTTTTCTCAGATATATACCAAGCCATGGCTCCATAAAAATAGAACATTTCCCCTCATAGAAAGAATATGTTCATATGTAAGCAGAAACTCACAAAGTTATCTATATGGCAAGAGATGAATAGAATATGTATGGATAGCTTTGGTTGAAGTAAAAAAAAAATTGTGTTGTGTTTTTGTTTAATACAATGTTATTTTATATCATTTAGAGCACTGTAGATGGTGTAGTAATTCCTTTTTGTTTATGCTATTGAATGGCTCTGATTCAGTATGAAGATCATCAGTACTGTTCCCTTTGAGACAGGAAGTCTGAATTGCACACCATTAATATCATTTTTTAATGAAAGAGTGAGATTTTAAATCTTCCACACTGACAGATATAGCATACAACTTTAAACAATAACCTATAAAATCCATAATAAGTAATTAAGATATTCTCTGGCTTATTTAACAGTGAAACAATTTATTTTTAGGACTATTCGACCTCTCATAATAATTATCTAATTATCTGTGTGGAACTATGGAAAGACTTAAATAAACACTTTTTATATTTTAACCGTGCTACATTTTTCTTGGTATAAATTTAACATCTTTGACTGAATTGATTCATAATCTCA
Organism: Homo sapiens; assembly: GCF_000001405.40. Classification (NCBI taxonomy): domain Eukaryota; kingdom Metazoa; phylum Chordata; class Mammalia; order Primates; family Hominidae; genus Homo; species Homo sapiens. The sequence continues at coordinate 54,431 of NW_019805495.1, forward strand.
AATGTTTCTTGGTATCTGTCTCTTTTTTGAAATTCTCAATCTTATTTTTATTCCTGTTTTTTTCTGAGTCTTAGCCTTTTACTTTTTCTCTTCTTTTGAATAATCAATATAATTGATGGTTGGGTTGAATTGCTTTCTCGTATTTGGAATGTACCTTTTTTAAAGGAGACTGCATTATTTGTGACTTTGGAGATTAGTAATTTGAGTTTGTTTGGCTGGAAATTTTTCTCCTAGCTTCAAAACCTGTTACATACTTTTGCTTTTACCTTCAGTCTGTCAATACATGGAAAATTGATGCATACAATTTAAAAATTTGAAGAGGCTGAAGAGAGTATAACACTTGAGCCATTAGCTGGATAAAAAAATGTCCTTTAGAAACACAAAAAAGAAAAATTTAAAAATTCAACATTTTATATATGAAATACTAAAGTGGACATGAGTGGAGTTTTGCAGATTGTACACAATTTCTAATCATAGGCAACTGAAATAAATTTTAACCATTCCCAAGAAAGAGCAGAAATTAATGCTGAAGTAATTCAGCTTGAATATGTAAAACTTTGTTTCTGATACTTTTACAAAATAAAAACAATTTGGTTTCAAGGTCAGTGGAAAGAGTATTAATCTTGGAATTGCTCTGGAAACCATATTTTATTTTCCACTTTGGGATGACCTTGGGCAGCTCACTTAACCTTTATAAATAGACAGATCCTCATTTGCAAGATGACAGATGGCTGTACCTGCACTTTCTGTACCAATGTTTTGTTATGGTGGTCAGTTGAATAATCAGTTAATGCACTTTGTAAGTGTACGACTGCCTGATAAATTAATTATTAAATGAACACTCACTATGTGCCAAGATCTATGCACTTGGACTAGGCTTTTAAGTTTTCTTACAAAATATTGAGTACAGTACTTTGGAAATTAGGTGCTAATCAAAGACTTCATTAATGATGTCTTTATAACAGCAAAAACAGTGAGATATTGATTGGCTGGGGGAAGAAGTTAAACTCCTTTTTCACATATTTATGCTCCATCAGTAATTAACAATATTCATAAAGTTTCAGATCTGGAAGGGACAGATCTGAGAGTTCCAGCAGTGGGAGCTCTGAGTAGTCATCAAGAAAGAGTGCAGACATTGAATTCAGATACACTTGGGTTTAAATACCAGGTGTTATCTCATTTGCTGGTCCAACACTATTTGCTGTGGAAATGAAGCAAGTTCCCTATGCCTAAATTACCACATTTCAAAAAAGGGATGATTATCAATATTGTTGGCTCATAGGACAGTTGTGATCATTAATTTAGCATAATACTTGGCACACAATAAGGGTTCAAAAATGTTAGTTCCTGCCAGTATTTGTTCTTTTTCAACCTCCTCATTTTTAGAAAAGCAACTCAGGTCTAGGAAATTTAAGCAACTTGTCTAAGGTCACAGAGCTGGTGAGTAGGAGTGCTTGCACAGAACGAGGCTCCTGGTGCCAGGGTACTGTTCGGAAAATATGCTTAACATTCAGATAATATTTATTTTAAGGCACTCATTCTCACAACAAATGTATGTTCTATTATAATTGAAATATGTATGTATATATATTATATGCTTTTTTTAGTTTACTGTTTTTATCACTGTGTTTAAGGACATAGATCTAGACTCTATGGTTAAATAAACTAGAATTTGAACAACTTATTTAACCCTTGTAAATCTCAACTTTCATCAATTGTAAAATAATTGATGCTGCTACTGCTAGAAAACAATTACATGAAATTTACCAGGTGTCCAGGCAGTTTTCTGAGCACATTGCATTCATTAATTTATTTAAACCAAGTCACAGAAAATGAAAATAATGGTAAACAAACATCAAATATTTATGCAAATTAAATTAATAGTATTTTAAAAAATATGTATGCAATATTTATGATGTATAGTATATAATAGACAGTCAATAAGTGCTATCTGTTAATACTATTTTTCTTATTTTTGTTTTGGCCTAGCCATGATTTCAAGTGTAACTTCTCAAGTCCTTTTTTTGGATTTTGAATTATTCTCCTAATATTCTGGTGTCTGAGAACAACTTAAACTATATGTATTAAGTGAAAATAAGGAGGATGCAAATAATATATTTTAAAAGATACATGATTTCCAAATATAAAAGTGATTTAATAGCTAGGTATTATTTAACATTTAGAAAAGAAACAAGAGAAGAAAAAATTTTTAATTGCTAATATTGCAACAGAAATCAAACTTTTCAACATTTTATCATCATTTCTAATTATCTTATGCACAATTTAAAAATGCAGCTATATACATAATATTGGATGTTTTTGTTTGCATTTTTTCATTTTACTGAGCATTGTAAGGAGCACATTTTCTCTTGTTATTCATACTTTTTATGGACATTGTTATTCGTGGCATTATAATATCCTATCTTTTCTCCACAACATTGCCAGTTGGGGAGCCCTCAGAGTCTTTTTTATTTTTCACAGTTCCAAAAAGCACATAAAGGAATATAAATATGTGATATTTATCTCTGCATTTAAAAAATCTAATTAAATTAATAACAACAAAAACAAAAATAATCAAAAAGATTAGATTCTTGTACAACTTGAAAATATATTAATAGTTTTTAAGATTTATTATAACGGCAATATTGTAAGTGTTTTAAATAAATAATTGCTGGCATAAAAAGTTTAGGTAGTATAAAAACACTCATCTTATTACTGGCTTAAGAAAGAAAACTTTGTGCCTATCCTTTCCCATGGATAACCCACTTTAAGTTGCTTTTGAAATAAAGTTTTTGTCTTACAAAATATAATTTTGAAGTTTTAAATATATAATGTGTCCATATATCCAGAGTAAGATTTTTACTAAAATTTGTTAGACCTCAACTCTAAGGTAAATCATCCTTTAATCTTTCTTCATAAGTTCTACTCTTAACTCTACAAGTAATTTTTATTTCAACTCTTCCAATAATTTTTTAAATCATCTAATTGGATAAGTTTTCCCCTCCTAGACACATTTATATTTAGAATCATGTTTAGTTTTACTTCCACCATGGACTAGTTAGTCAAATACGCATGTAAACTATAGGGTGTTTGTCCATAGTATTAGAATATTTTACCAATAATTCAGTGTTCTTAAGTATGATAGGGCATAAGATCATAGAATTTTGAATTAGATCATCTGTTCCTAAGATTCTCAATTTTATACTAACTTGAGAACATCAAACAACCCATCTTAAGGACTTTGTTTTTATATATTTTTAGAGAGTTATTCTTTAAATATATGATTACTTTTATTGTCATAGCTAATACTAACTCCTTAATATGTTCCAGCCATTGTGGTTCTATTTTATTTAGTCCTTACAATAATGCTATGAGTTAAGTACTTTTAATTACCATTTACCAGATGAGGAAATGAAGGCACAAAGACATTAAATAAAAGAACGTATTTATCAAAGTGCTCCCTGAGAAAGTCAACCTCACATGGCCTTATGATTGTTTCTGTCTTGCTTTTTCTCCTTTTGCTGGAGAAAATACTTCCCCAGGATGGATGGTGTTGATATTTTGAGATTACCACAAAGCTCTGTAACCACTGATAAAGCCAAAGAGACACAACATATTGTATAAGAAAAAAACCATTTGGGCTCTCTTATAAAGGCCAATCATTCTGAAGACACTTTTATTGAAAAAGAATTTTACTGGAAGAATCAGGGAAGATGTAAAATATCCAAGTTTTATCATTTAGGAAATACATTAGGATCAGCTGATCAAAAAAATGTGTTTCATACTTGCACCCATTGTCATTGTATTATTTTGAAAAAAGATGAATTCTGGTTAATAGATTTTATACTAATGTCATGCTTGGTGTGTTGTTATTGGTGTCAATTTTAGAGTTCTTAAAGAGAGACAATGTCTCCCAGAAAGAAGGAAAATGCAAGAATAACAATGTATAACAATATAACAGGAGTAAAAAAAAAAATATTGTGTAATATAACATCTACAGTTTTTGTTGTCTCTTTTGTTGCTTCCCGTGGCACTGTTTCCCCGGAAACCCAGCATTCCTTAGTGTCTACTACCCAGCTAACCACCTTACTGTGATTATTCAGCAAGGAAGTTTTGTAAACAATTTAGTAGGAAATCTTGAATAAGAGATGTAAGGACTTTTTAATATAAGGCATTTAGGAAATAAAAAGTTTCAGTAGACCTCATCCTTACCATGCGCAACCACAATGACTCCTGTAAAATCTCATTAGGGATGCATCTGGAATAATCAAGTATACAGCATTCTTGTGTTAAGAAAACTTGAAGAAAGCCTCAATAAACTCAATGCTTAAACTTTAACATGTGTAATGTTAATGTTCAGAGTGCTTGTGATAGAAAACTAGAAAAGCATTCTATAGATTTATTGAAATATATGCTATACATATGTATATGTCCTGCTATCAAATTATACCAGAATCTGAAGAACGAAGCACTAGTATTAAGGAGACTTAAGTTTTCTATCAACCTTCTCACTAAGTATGGCTGAGTTAATTTATCTGACTTTGTTATGTCACTAATTATCACAGCTTATTTCCTATTGTATTGAGTGATTCCTTCAAATATTATACTGACAGAATAATCCAAGAAGTTTTTTAACAGTGTTTCTACCAGATAACTTGTAGTTTTCCTTTTCTCATTAACATGTTAAGCTTATTTGCATTACAAATTCTATAATGTTTTGGTTAGAAAAATGCCCATCAGTGATAGACTGGATAAGGAAAATGTGGCACATATAAACCATGGAATACTATGCAGCCATAAAAAAGATGAGTTCATGTCCTTTGCAGGGACATGGATGATGCTGGAAACCATCATTCTCAGCAAACTAACACAAGAACAGAAAACCAAACAATTCATGTTCTCACTCATAAGTGGGAGTTGATCAATGAGAACACGTGGACATGGGAAGGAGAACAAGGAGGGTCTGTAGGGGGGTAGGGGGCTGGGGGAGGGATAGCATTAGGAAAAATACCTAATGTAGATGATGGATTGACGGGTGCAGCAAACCACCATGGCACGTGTGTGTATACCTATGTAACAAACCTTCATGTTCTGCACATGTACTCCAGAACTTAAAGTATAATTAAAAAGCAGAAAAGGTTAATTTAATTTTCTATTACTAACAAAATGAAATCAACCAATTCTTTTAGAGATGTACTGAGGCATCTTTCCTTTTTAAGATCATTACATTGTGTGTTTATTAAGGGTTACCAAACACTTTCGTCATGTGATGTATGGCTAAAAATTATAGTACTTCAAATGTGTTCTGGATTTGTTTTTGTCTTTCTGACAAGGTCTTATTCTGTCACTCAGGCTGAGTACAGTGGCATGATCATGGCTCACGGCAGCCTCGACCTCTCAGGCTCAAGTCATCTTCCTGTGTCAGCCTCTTTCTCAGTCCCTGATCTAGAACTAGAGGTGCACACCACCACTCCTGGCTGATTTTTTATTTTCATTTTTTGTAGACACATAGTCTCACTATATTGCCAAGGCTGGCCTCAAACTCCTGGACACAAGTGATCCTCCTACCTTGGCCTCCCAAAGTGTTGGCATTACAGGCACGAGCCACCATGTCTGCCAAAATTTGATACTTAAATTGTTAAAAAACAGATAATAAAAATTGAGATAAGTGCTGCGTGGATGTTAGTTATAATTAACGAGGATGTAGGCTTCTTGTAGTAAGGGTTTGTCTTAGTTTGTTTTGTGCTGCCATACCAGACTACCACAGACTGGATTATTTATAAATGGAAACGTATTGGCTCACAATTCTGTTGGCTGGAAAGTCCAGTAGCAAGATGCTGGCAGATTTGATGATTCTAAGATAGTGCCTTGAATGCTGTGTTGTCCTCCTGGAGGAAGAAATACTTCATCTCACATGGCAGAAGATCCAAGGAAAAGAGGGCAAATGGGAGCCTAATTCATTCTTTTAAAATGGCATTAATTCTACAAATGAGGGGAGAGCCCTGATGGCCCCATCACCTCCCAAATTCCCACCACCACAAGGGCAAATTTCAACATGTGTTTTGGAGAGGATATTCAGACCATAGCAGTGATATTAAATTTCTTTGACATTGTTCATAGCAGTTGCCATAGTTCTGAGTACATGGAGGTCAAATAAATACATACTGAATTATATTTACTCAATGTTGAATTTAAATATGTTCATATGTCCTAATGAAAACAGAAGTGCTAAATAATATGAAAGTGTTTCCTTTCAGGATTTAGATGTCACGGTCCTATTTTGTAGACTAGACCAGGGTGACTAATTTATGAGAGCTTGGTCAGTACTGCAACCCCAGGGTTAGGATTTTTTACTTAATGTCGAAGTGTGAAAATCAGAAACTTTGTCATAAACTATATTTATCTAATAAACCAAACTTCCTAGTCTTCCTTGTTTCAGTAGCCTGTTTGGCACTGTAACTTAGTAACTAATTCCTTCAGGCTTTGAAAAATATTTGAGTGAGTAAGAAAATGCCGGCCAGGCGCAGTGGCTCACGTCTATAATCCCAGCACTTTGGAAGTCTGAGGAGTGCGGATCACGAAGTCAAGAGATCGAGACCACCCTGTCCAACATGGTGAAACCTTGTCTCTACCAAAAATACAAAAATTTGTTGGATGTGGTGGCATGCACCTGTAGTCTCAGTTACTTGGGAGGCTGACGCCAGAGAATCATTTGAACCCAGGAGGTGGAGAATCGTTTGAACCCAGGAGGCTGAGGCCAGAGAATCGTTTGAACCCAGGAGGCAGAGTGAGCTGAAATTGTGCCACTGCACTCCAGCCTGGCAACAGAGGGAGACTCCATCTCAAAAAAAAAAAAAGAAAGAAAGAAAATGTGGTACGGCTTTGTGGGGGTGGCCAGTGAGTAAGCATCCAATATAAAAGAGAAGGCAAACACCTGGAAAGAAAAACTTGTCTCTGTCTCTTGAGAAGGTGGGGTGAAGCCCTTTTTCTTCTGTCCCATGTACAATCATTTGACCATTCCTTACTTCAACACCTCTACTTTGTCACATGGGTTACTTAAAACATATGAGTTCAATAGGTTGTGAAATACTGTGAGAAGACAGAAATAACTAGTCATAAGATTAATTTTCCAGGTTGACTTTCCCTGTTGCCCTATGGAGTTCTCTTTTCTTAAAAGTATTCCATTTAAAGGTAAAGAAAGAGTGATTAATCTAATATATTCCTTTTCCTTCCTTCCAGCAGGGCTTAGAATATGAGAAATAATAGTAGATTGCATACACTGAATGACTCTCATGTGTTAGTATTTTCATATATAGAATCTCATTTTATTTTCACATTGTCTTACAATGCAGATATAGTTGTCTTTTATAGGAACCAAGGAAACTAAGGTACAGAGAAAATAAGTAATATTACAAAGTCACAGTAAACTTGAGACAAAATTTTACTTTAGATATTTCTGACTCCAAAGACTCTTTCTATTACACCATGCTATCTATATTCAGTGTTCCAAATGCAGATGCTAAAGAAGTATAAAGTGTCTGTATGAAACCCTGACCCTCAATTCTACTCATGGAGTCAACTACTATTGGCAGTTTCACATTAAATTTTCTAATTTTTCTCTAAATTTTTTCCCCTTTAGTTTTACTTTAGGTTCAGGGGGTACATGTGCAGGCTTGTTACATGGGTAAATTGTGTGTTGTGGGTGTTTAGTGTACAGATTATTTTGTCGCCTGTGTAATGTGCGTAGTACCCAGTGGGTAGATTTTTATTCTCTCCCTCCTCCTACCCTCCACCCTCAAGTAGTCCCCAGGGTCTATTGTTCCCTTCTTTGTGTCCATTTGCTTTCAATATTTAGCTCATCCTTACAAGTGAGAACATGTGGTATTTTTCTATTCTTGAGTTAATTTGCTTAGGAAAATGTGTGTTGCCAAAAAGGGCATGATTTTGTTTTTTTTTATGGCTGTGTAGTATTTCACTGTGTATATGTACCACATTTTTAAAATCTAGTCCACAGTTGATGAACATCTAAGTTGATACTATGTCTTTGCTATTGTGAATAGTGCTGTGATGAACATATGCATGAATGCATCTTTATGGTAAAACAATTTATATTCCTTTGGTTGTATAACCAGTGACAGGATTGCTGGGTTGAATGGTAGTACTGTTTTAAGTACTTTGAGAAATCACCAAACTGTTTTGCATAGCAGCTAAACAAATTTATATCCCTACCAGCAATGTCAAGTATTCTTTTTTCTATGCAACCTTGCCAGCATAACTTTTCACAATCCATTTCTTTTCCTCCTTCCCTCTCTATCTTTATATTTTATTAAATCATATTTGAACAAAAATTAAGATTGATTTTTGCACCTTCTTTTCTGACTTAATTTAAAAAACAATAATAATATATCATGAACATGTTTTCAATTCCATCTGATGCATTTTGTAAGCGTAGATCACTTCCAGGTTATTGTGTAGTTCCTATTATTGCATGCTCCTTTATAAAGAGTGTAGAGTATTTTCACTCTCACTGAAGTCTTTAGCAATATGACCTATCTTTACCTTTTCATGTTGTCTCTTGTTGCCATCCTTAGCAACTTCCAAACATAAGTTTGCTGTCCATCTGAGCCACTGAGCTTACAATTTATTGTCAGCCACCAGAGCAAATCCAGTCTAGTGATATCTCTTGAACAGAGTTAAGGTTGCTTCCTGGTAGTTAGAGAAACAAATGGAGGTTTTCTTTTCGGACTAGAAAAGGATGGTTCATAACATTTTTTTCCTTATGCCACTACTCCCACATCCTCACATTACAAGATACAGAAGAAAAAATGAAGCCAATATAACGTGAAGATGACTTTCTAGATTTCATTCTTACCACACCTAATTTTCAGCTTCTCCTGCTAACTAACATTTTATAGATTTGTGGCTCGAGGCGGACATTAAGAAGATATAAATAAATCTTTTTTAGTGGAAAAATTGTCTATTAGTGGTGTAGAGCTCATTTGATTACCTGTCCTTTGAGATATTCACTTGTTTAACAGTCAGTTATGGTTATTTAGAGAGTCTACTATGAAGCAAGTCTGGGCCAAGGTGTAGATAATTTGTTAGCAGACTGTGAAGGTCCAATATTATACTGCAAACCTTGATTCATACTTCAAGCTTATTGGCCAAGGTATTAGATATGTTTTTTCCAGTAATAAACATAAGAATTGAAAATATGTCATTGAAAGTTAGACAAAGTAGAAAATATTTGTTTCCCCAACATTTTTGGCCATAATATATTGTAATAGAATACATATATTTTCTGTTATTTTGATCTTGAGATCTTTGAGCTAAAGAGGCGATACAATATACATAAACATCCCTGCCAGTATTTTATGTTTAATAAGCTCTACCTCAATTGAAAAACTCTATTATTTGAAGCACATTAAAAATGAATTTAATGCCAAAATAAGCTTCTTCGTTAATTTGGTAGATGACCATAATTATTTTTGCTATGAAGATCCTGATTTAAGAGTCTGAAATTAAAGGAGGCTGCAGATAATTTAGTGATGGTGCAGTTGAGGGATCATTAGGCATACTCTCCTCAGTATCTCTGGCATGGCAGGGCTAGCTGTCTGAACCTGTATTTATGCAATCTTTCAATGAGTATCTTTGGGATTAAAAAAGATACTTGGTATCTGATGAATAACTTTATTATTTATTTATTAAGATAGAGTCTCACTCTGTCCTCCAGGCTGGAGTGCCATGGAGATATCAACTCATTGCAACCTCTGCCTCCCAGGTTCAAATGATTGTCCTGCCTCAGCCTCCCGAGTAGCTGGGATTATAGATGTGCACCACGCCCGACTAATTTTTGTATTTTTAGTACAGATGGGGTTTTATCACGTTGGCCAGGCTGGTCTTGAATTCCTGACTTCAGGTGATCCATCTCCCAAACTGCTGGGATTACAGGCATGAGCCACTGTGCCTGGCCTCTGATGGACAACTTTAATATTAAGATCATTATTTTAAAATTTATTTTATTTATTTATTTAGAGATGAAGTCTCACTCTGTTGCCCAAGCTGCAGTGCAGTGGTGTGATCTTGGCTCACTGCAACCTCCACCTCCTGGGTTCAAGCAATTCTCCTACCTCAGCCTCCCAAGTACCTCGGACTGCAGACATGCGCCACTATGCCTGAATATTTTTATTTATTTATTTATTTTTAGTAGAGACGGGGTTTTGCTATGTTGGCCAGGCTGGTATTGAACACCTGACCTCATGATCCACCTGCCTCGGCCTCCCAAAGTGCTGGGATTACAGGCGTGAGCCACAGCCCCTGGCCTTAAAATTTCTTAACTGACCCACTGTAAGGTAAAATACTAAGGAAATGATGAACACACATGGCTGGACAAGGAAAGACCCTGGTATGTCTGGGACTAGAGTTGTGATCTACTCTGTATTACTTTGAGACTACAGAGGTTCTAAGGACCCCAGCAGTTTTTAATCTCAACTTGATAGCAATACTCCATTGATTTAACATTATAATAGGTAGGATGCGTCTGGGAAGTATGGAGAAGAGAGCAGAAGAAGAGCGTTTGGGGGTCACGTTGTGTAAGATGGAAAGCAGAGACAAAAGAAAGGGATAACAATTTCCCCTGATGGTGTATGAAACATTCTTCATCATTATTCTGATATTCTCCATATACCCACACAATGAACGCACGTGTGCATGCGCGCGCGCGCACACACACACACACACACACACACACTTTGCATATACTTCATTCATGCCCCATAATAGTACAGGAGGGTGCAGTGATACAGTAACTTTCCAAGTATAATACATCACTGTTTGGAAAAAACATAGCTGGAAACATGCATGAAAATTACCTGGGAATGTGTCAGAAATACACATTCTTGGGACCCACCCCAGATTTTGTGAATCAGAAACTCTGGGGATGAGACATTTTAAACAGATTTCCTACAAAGCATTTGCTCCTGCATTTTCATTTTTAAATCTAAGACCTAGTTCAAAACCCATTTCCTGCTTGAACCCTCCTCTAGCCCCCTGATAAGTGATCCACTTCTTGACACAGAAAACATTTTATACTAAGGGACCTTATAATGCACTGTCATTTATTGCAGTTCTATTTGAGCACATTTTACCTCCCAGGCCAGACTAGTAAGGAAAGTAAAAAAAGAGTAAAATACTCTTCATCGATCTATCTGTCTCTCTGTCTGTCTGTCTGTCTATTTATTTGAGATGGAGTCTCCCTCTGTCGCCCAGGCTGGAGTGCAGTGGCACGATCTTGGCTCACTGCAATCCCCGCCTCCCAGGTTTAAGCAATTCTCCTGCCTCTACCTCCAGAGTAGCTGGGATTGCAGGCATGTGCCACAACGTCCGGCTATTTTTTTTTTGTGTGTGTTTTTAGTAGGGACGGAGTTTCACCATATTGGCCAGGCTGGTCTCGAGCTCCTGATCTTGTGACCTGCCCCCCTTGGCCTCCCAAAGTGCTGGGATTACAGACGTGAGCCACCGCACCCAGCCTATTCTTTTATTTTTAATCTTGCATAACTCCTACCTTGTGGTGGATCATATTCATATTTAAATAGTTGGTATATGATGAATATGGAGTAAAGGTTCTATAATATCAAAATAGTTGAAGTTACGGTTAGTGTGTATAGTGAATATTGGCTCCTTTAGGCTATAAAAATCAGCTTTCACAAGTATAGAAAGAAAATGCGTGAAATGAGCACTTACTAGAGTCCAGGCGTGTGTTTAGTTAAAATGTAAATGGAATAACTGCTATAAACCAGGCCCCATGTGATATGCTGGGGAAAAATATTTCACCAGCCCCTCCCAGGATACGATCTATCACAAAACTCTGTTGTGTTTTGTTAAGAACGTTTGTTATCATCTCAAATTCTCATGTGGTTTAACTCGTTCTCTTGTTTATTGTCTGCCCCTTTCCCAAATCCATGAGATAGACTTTGTCTAATATATTAACAGTTGTATCCCAAATGTCAGGGGCAGCCTGGTACATAATATCTATGGAAAAAAATACTTTTGAATGAGTGAATGACTTAAAGAGTGAGTAACATTGTGAGGAAGACATTATAACCCCATCATAGACAAACTGAGACTCTGACAACTTAAGTGACATGCCCAAAAAATATAGAGTCTAGAGTTTAAAACTCAATTCTTTCCAATTCTAAAAATTGCATTTCTTAGCTCTACCAGCCATCTTCACATGATTTTTCCCCTTTTAACATATCTGTCTCCATTTTTTTCAAGGGATCATGGGAATTTGAGCTGCAGTTTTTCAGTACTGACTGCCTGCACTTGAAAACTTCTCAAAATTGTACTGAGCTGTGCAGTTAATCATTTTCTTGAGTTGAAATGAATACTGCAACCTTGCATACCACCAGTTCTCCCAATAATTTTGGTATATGCATCCCCAGCTTTTGGAAACTTCCTTGAGAATCAAGGAAGCAGAAAGATAGGATTAAGGAAGCAGTTATCCAATGAGTTCCCAGTCCAGTGAGCTGACAGCAGGAACCTTGGCCATGGGCTGATTTTAAAGAGGCTTGTGCAGGTGATGGAGTGACCTTGTTAGTGATATTTTCTTTTTTATTTCTTCCTGCATATTTTGCTTTCTGTTTATTATATTGAGGGAAGCAGAGGACTTGTGAGGAACTTCATAAAGCTTTTTCTTTTTTCCAGGACTCCAAAGATCCACTGAATCCCTTCTGTTCTTTTTTTCATTAGCTTCAAAATATTGAGTATCAGACTGTTGTAATAACAAATCCATTCAGTATTCACTAATGAAGTTGTATGAAGATAACTATGACCTGGAATTTAGACGGTGAAATGAGGGGACTGTGGTCAAATGTATTATTTATCCTTCTTCATGGAGACTCTCACAGGGTATTGGAAAGGAAATAGCCACAGAATATCCTGGATTTGAGTCCTAATTCTGCCACCATGAGAAAGCACTAATCTCACTAAGCCAGTTTTTTCTTTTTCCTGCCAAATAAGATTCACTGTGATTACATAGAAGGATATTTGAGCATTAAATGAGATAATGATTAATACAGCCCTAAGGATCATGCTTGGCACATAGTATATATTGCGTAAATGTATGTCACACTTATTATTTTTAACATAGAATAATATGTAATGAATGGTCTCACAGGGATAAGGGATCATTAATTCATCAAAAACCAGATAAGCATGAAGCTGGAATCGATGGTTCCTTCAGTTCTGTGTCTAGGACATGTAGACCAGATTATATGGAGTTTTTTAAGTGGGCTACCTACTAGTGTAATTGAATGAGGACCATCATGGCCATAATTTGGCTTGTTTTTACTCCTCTAACAGTGTTATAGTTTTAATTCTCTGACTGTCAGCACCCACTGATCTTTAGTAATTCCAACAGTCTATCACTAAATTCTACTGTGGTCCACATTCTTAGTATGGACTTCTACTATTTCTCCCATTACAGGAAAGATGAAGACTTAGCTTAAGAATGTTTCCTGTAAGTGAGCATGCTCTGAACAATCTGTGGTGGAAAATGGATGTGACATATTGTTAATGTTGGATTGTTGCTAAAATGTCTTTTGATGCCATAAACATGAGATTGGAAGTCCAAACACCTGGGCTTAAATTCCAATTCTGCACTTACTATTTTGTGTTATCTGAGACTTTCACTTGTGCACTATAAATAGGACCGGAAATGCTTAACTCACATGGTAATTATGTGGGTTAAATTAAATTAGATAAGGTATATTCAGCACCTGGAATAGTGAGAATTAACAATTGGTAATGCTTTGGCTTACCTCCCTGACCTTCCATAAACCATGCATGGCTGAACTCACCCTGTCCCTGCCCAGATTTTGCACTGTTGAGATTATGAGGCACTTCCTAATGGTTGCTGCAGCTGCAGCCCATAAAACAGAGCTCTTTGCATGTGTGAAGAAAATCATAATAAGAGGGGCCTCCAGAGCCATGCCACATCTCTCAGGCAGTACAGCCTCTTTAATGGAATCATATGAATGATTAAACCAAAGCTGCCTGATTTGTCTTCCTGTTTTATAGCAGAAACTTTTCTACAGGTTCTGGCATCAGAAATAATCTTTCCACTCCGAAATTTGGGAAGTATTGGAGATGAAAGGGTATGTTTGTTGTTGTTGTTGTTGTTTGAGAGAGTTTTGCTCTGTCGCCCATGCTGGATTGTAGTGGCGGTGTATTCTCGGCTCACTGAAGTCTCTACCTCTAGGGCTCAAGTGATTCTCATGCCTCAACCTCCTGGGTAGCTGGGATTACAGGCACCCACCACCAAGACCAGCTAATTTTTTTTTTTTTTATATTTTTAGTAGTGATGGGGTTTCATCACGTTGGTCAGGCTGGTCTTGAACTCCTGACCTCAGGTGATCTACCTGCCTTAGGCTCTCAAAGTGCTGGGATTACAGGTGTGAGCCACCATGCCCAGCTGAAAGGGTTTGTTCTTGATATGACATTTTTCTGTACAAAGCCTAGACAGTATGGAATGGTGGAAAAAGCTGACAAACACTAAGACCAGGTGATCAAGTGTAACACAAACAGTGATAAGGGTATGATGACAGCACATACCCTCGATATGATGCAAATAAGAACGGCACTTTCTTCTGTGATCTTCCTCCCAAAAACATACAACCCCAATGTAATCTGAGAGAAAAACATCAGACATATCCCAATGGAAGGACATTCTACAAAATACCCACTTCATGCTCCTCAAAACTGTCAAGGTGATCTAAAACAATAAAAACATGACAATCAGTCACAGTTTTGAGGAGCCTAAGGAGGCAGGACAGCTAAATCTAGTGTGGTAACCTGGATGTGATCTCAGATAAGAAAAAGGATACTAGGAAGACACTAAGGAAGTCTGAACTAACTATGGGCTTTAGTTAGTAAGAATGTATCAATATTAGTTTACTCTTCGTGACAAATGAACCATATTAAAGCAAGATGTTAACGGGAAAATGTGGGTATGCAGTATATAGGGACTTTCTGTGCAATATTTACAGTGGTTCTATAAATCTACAACTATTCTGAAATGAAAAGTTTATTTAAAAATATTATTATTCTTATTTATCCTTCAAAATTCCGGGCACTCTTTTAGGAAGCCTAACCTTTTATGTAATCCCATAATCCCATAACTTCCCACTATCCCCCATCACCATGGTTTGTATTAGCCCCTCCTCTCTAGTCCCTATTGCATTGTATGACCATTTTTTCACAGAACTAAATGTTCTTCAAGGACAGGTCTTTAATTTCCATATCCCAGTGCCTCTCATAGCATTTGGGATAGATAGTAGATAGATAAATGTCCAAGACATAGTAGAATAAATTTTTAAAAATATTGAATAAAACAATGTTAGAACAAATAAATGTGTTTTTTAATGAAATAGTAACTGAAGGGGCAGAAATATTAAGCCCAGCAAATGGCATCAGCTGCCTTTGTACTGATATGATGTTGAAAAGAACAATGACTGAGGGATCTCGCCACAGTACATTTCACATATTATTGCATCACTGATAACATAATTACTGAAAAGTGTCTTGTTTCTGAGGGGCAAGGCTCTATTCTGGGGGTTGGATTTGGTACACAGATACTGCTTGGTGTTAAGCACAACTATTTGGCCTATAGACACTACATGTGCCCTGAATGTGAGCTTCATTCACTAAATCATTCAACAAATCTGTAATGACAATGGCAACAATAACTACCCTTTATTAGATAATTGTGTGCCATATATTGTGTCAGATGCTGTATTGTACTGATTTCATCCATGCAACAAACCTGAAATTTAAATTATCCTATTTTATAGATGAGGAAATTGAGGCAGATAGTTTAAGTAATTTTATTTAAAGGGCCTATCATGTGCCAAGCCGTGGATATACAACTGGAAGAGTAGGAGGGAGGCACTGGAGAAAGAGGTTGTAAGAAGTAAAAACAAAGTGCTAGTGATGGGCATATTGACCTAGACTTTTATCTAAATGCTTTGTTCACCTATGACCCTTTCTTTTTAGGAACTGAAAACCAAACATTCTGTAGCTTTTCTTCTAAATCTCTTATTTTCCTTCTGGAATAGAAACTCTATGGTGAGTACTCAACAAATAACAGGAAACAACAGTGCATCTGATATAGTACTTGTGAGAAGAAGCATATTGTGTTAAAGGGTTCAAGCTTGGAATCAGATACACTTGGACTGAAATCCTGGGTCTGCCGTTAGTAGCTCTGTTACCTTGGCCAGTCAGCTTCTGCTTCCTTTTTTATAAGTGGGAATTATCATTCTTCTCTTGAAAGGTTGTTGGAAGGATTAAGTCATAGGTATCAAGTACTGAGAGCAGAGTAGGTATTTATTTGATAAATGGTAAGAGGCATTTTCATTACACCTGTGGAGAGAAGTAAAACACAGTAGCTGGTGGAAGGAGGAGGTGTGCTGAAGGCCAGCTTTCAACTTCTGTACATTATGCTATGCCTTGTTTGTTTTTTAATTTTGTTGAATGAGTCTGTCTCAAGAATGACATTCTCAATAAAGTTTATTTTGTAGGGCATAAACTAGTATTAACAGAAGAGCCTACTTATCTTTTATTCATTGAGCATTGCTACAGACTAGAGCCAAGGTAATACTCAGAAGTCCATTAGTTAAACCTTGGTGGTCTGAGGGTCATACCAGAACAAGGATGCACTGATGAATTTCTTATTTTTAATGGAGTCAAACGTTTGCTTAGTTTATATATAGTTTGTTCTATGGTGACAGAATGTTAAAGTTTGGAAGGACTTGAGAGCTCATCAAATTTATTCTTATATGTACCTCTGTGTAGTCATAAATGAGAGAATATGAAGAAAGCTTCTTGGTGTTAATGATAGTGCTAGCCTTGCTACTTGTATTTGGTAGTTAAAGTATATAGCTTTTCTTTCTACAAACAATTTAAAGTACTCTCATCATGTACTCCCATCAAAAATTTTATCTGCAGATGGCTATTATCCAGTTTGCAATGAAAAACTGAGTGGAAGCAGTATTTACTTTAGGAAAATATCTTCCTGACTGTTTTATCCTATCCCACTAGAGGTAGACCTTAGTATGCATACACTAAATTTCAGGAGCCAACATGGTCTTTATTGACTTGGCCTCACAAAAGAAGCATGCCCACTAAAGTACACCCAGATGTGTAGAAACAGCCACATCATAATGGCTTACTGTTATACTTGCTAATTGACAATAAGAAAATCACTCGACTTCTCTAAATGCTAGTTTCATCCTTTCTCAAACAGCAGATAAGAATTACTTTTCAGGGCTACTTAAATAACAACAGACAGTGTATATAGAGGATTTTGCATTGGTTAGCAAATACCACCACCACAAAATATTGGAAATGTACTATTAATTTCTTTCTATAAGACTATTATTAAAGACAATAGGAATATTGTTATTCCAAGTCCTTATATAAAGACATGTCAGCATAAAAATTACTTTTGAAAATTTTATGAAAATATCTCTCTATGTGAAAAACCGTTATTTCCATGCACATAATATGTACATATATGTATGATGTATATATAATAAATATGAAAGATGAATGTATATTATATATGTTATGTGTTATAGATAAGCACAAATATGTTTTATGGTATATATAAATAAATATATGTGTAATACAAAACATATATAATGGTTCTATATATTTTATAACATATTTATATATAGATATAATTTACATGTATTTAGTTAGTTCTACCTTAACACTAGAAAGCTCAGCACTAAAATAAATTTTTGAATATAGTGTTTTTTCCCCTGTAGATGACTGAAATCTTCTCTTTCCTTCCAACTGGGTTTTGATTGTTTCAATATCTGCAATCTGCTCTACTAAAAACCACATTTGATCACTTTTAGAAACAGGGAGGACCTCAGCTGGCAAATATATCATGCCTTCTAGATCAGGAGAGAAAACAAAAGCAATGAGGTTAAATGACATGCCCCCTAACTCACATTTTTTATTTTATTTTATTTATTTTATTTTATTTATTATTATTATACTTTAAGTTTTAGGGTACATGTGCACAATGTGCAGGTTAGTTACACATGTATACATGTGCCATGCTGGTGCGCTGCACCCACTAACTCGTCATCTAGCATTAGGTATATCTCCTAATGCTATCCCTCCCCACTCCCCCAACCCCACAACAGTCCCCAGAGTGTGACATTCCCCTTCCTGTGTCCATGTGTTCTCATTGTTCAATTCCCACCTATGAGTGAGAATATGCGGTGTTTGTTTTTTTGTTCTTGCGATAGTTTCCTGAGAATGATGATTTCCAATTTCATCCATGTCCCTACAAAGGACATGAACTCATCATTTTTTATGGCTGCATAGTATTCCATGGTGTATATGGGCCACATTTTCTTAATCCAGTCTATCATTGTTGGACATTTGGGTTGGTTCCAAGTCTTTGCTATTGTGAATAATGCCACAATAAACATATGTGTGCATGTGTCTTTATAGCAGCATGATTTATAGTCCTTTGGGTATATACCCAGTAATGGGATGGCTGGGTCAAATGGTATTTCTAGTTCTAGATCCCTGAGGAATCGCCACACTGACTTCCACAATGGTTGAACTAGTTTACAGTCCCACCAACAGTGTCAAAGTGTTCCTATTTCTCCACATCCTCTCCAGCACCTGTTGTTTCCTGACTTTTTAATGATTGACATTCTAACAGGTGTGAGATGGTATCTCATTGTGGTTTTGATTGTTAGCTAATGGTAGAGTCAAGGTGAGAACAGCCAGGTGCTGCCTGGTATTCTTCCAAGCTGGTTTGTGTAATCACACTTAAAGGTGTAGTGAGATATGAAACTATTTTCTGTCAGATAACTCTTACCCATTTGGGAAGCTTTTCTAATGAAAAGTTCAATGTACATTCTCCAAAGTACTTGGCACACTTCCTGGGAAATGGTATTTAGTGCTACCTGGGCTTTTAAAACACACACAGAATGAAGTGTTTCTCTCTGTGTAGCTTTGGATTAAAAAAATGAACTGGCCATTGCCTGATGAAGTATGAGGCCCTGAGATATCCACGAGGGCAGACTAATATCCAGAAATTTTTTTTTTTTATGAGTGACTACCTCTATTACCTAAGGAATATGTCTTTCAAAACACTGCCAACAGACACCCATTGATTTCTTCTCAGTCATGAGCACTTGAGTGGCAGGAAGAACCACAATAAAACAGCCAGCCAACAAATACCTTGCGAGTGCCACCAAGGTGATATCATGTGTTACTTCACAGTGAAGGGAAGAAAAAGTAGTGAAGTGTCTGCCTATAAATTTTAAATTGTGCGATCTGGTATCACTGACTTTTGTATGAGAATTCATAGTGTATAAAATTATACAAGGTAGCAATCCTATGAAGTAAGTTAATGAAATTTTATGAGTGGATGCTCATTTCACCAATAAAGGATTTGAAGTTCAACCAGGCTAAGTGACCAGTCCAAGTTCAAATAAATATTAAGTTATGTAATATGTAAACTCACATCCTTTTGACACCTGTGCTCTTTCAATGAAACCATGTTATATTGTGTTTCATACGATTTCATTGATTTATGTAAGCAGCAAGCTATGGTTCTAAATTGGTTCTGGCCACCCTATGAATCAGCCCTAGTGAAAGATGGATGAGTGCAGCTCACTTGAACACGTGCAGTGGGCACTATGCCCACAAGAAGTAGGCGGTGCCAGAACCAAGCATTCAAGAGTAATTGAAGCAAAGCTTTTAAAATTTTTTAAAAATTATTTTTAAGACTTTTTGTGGGTACAGAGTAGGTATATATATTTATGGTGTCATGAGATGTTTTGATACACGCATGCAATATAAAATAAGCACATCCAGGAAAATGGGGTATCCATTCCATCAAACATTTATCCTTTGAGTTACAAACAATCCAATTGCATTTTTAAGTTATTTAAAAATATACAATTAAGTTATTCTTGACTATAGTCAACCTGTTGTGCTATCAAATAGTAGGTCTTATTCACTCTTTCTATTTTGTTTTTGTACCCATTAATCATTTGTGCCTCCCCTTCCCAGTGCCCCCACTTCCCTTCCCAGCCTCTGGTAACCATTTTTCTACTCTCTATGTACATAAGTTCAATTGAAAGAGGCAAAAAAACAGCCCTATCTTTAGGGGAAAATGAATTGAAGTAATAGCATTGAAACCAAGCTCAGCTCAGCTCAGCAAATTGTCTTTGTGCCTTTATGATGAGCCAGCACTGTTGACCGGTAACACAAATTCTTTTTTCTGTACCATGTGCTATGATACTAATGGTCTTGGTAGATCTCTATGATCTCTACAATTTTCTTTCCTTAAGTAGTCTAAATTTCTATTAAGAAATAGAGGTTGAGTTACTAGCAACAATTGTGAAAAGAAAAGGGAAGATACCTGTAGTGTTGTATTTGTGATTATGTGTTTGTGTGTGTATTTGACACATGCACAAACGTATATATGTATGTTTGTGTATATGTATGTGTGCATATGATAATGGATAGATATATTTGTGACTATGTAGCAAATATCTCCAGAATACCTGACTTACTGATGTTGGGCACACTGTCTTTTCCGAACTAGAATAAAAAATATAAGCCTTAAAGATTGAAGTCTTTCCATACTTTTCAAACGTGATGTACTTTATAAGAAGTGGGAGGCTACATGAATAAGTGTTACCTAATCTCTAACCACTAGGGATTCACTTCTAGTCCATGAGCAAGATGCATGCTCAAATAATTTTAATAACTATCTGGTAGGCTGTGATAAGTGCTATAATAAGATTAAAATTGTTAAGGGATCACAGAAAAAGGAGCATTGGATTTGGATTTGGGTTGTAAAAACCATTTCTCAGTAGAAATGACATTTCCCTGAACCCCTAATAATGAGCAGGGAGTTGACATGAGAAGATAAATAGCTTTGACAGTTTACAACTATTTTTGCACCCAGAAGCAAGATAAGTCTTCCCTGATAATAGTATGGGGCAAGTCTGCCCTCATAAAGATTTCGGAGTGCTTCAAAATACACAGAATTGTCAGGTGTGAGAGTGAGGCCTGGGGCCTGAATTTGTATTGTTCACTTCACCATCAGGATTCTGACCAATATATGATGCTCCTAATGTGCAATGCAGAGATCCGTAAACCAGCTTGATTCAAGCCATGCATGGAGAATGAAGTAGTACCCTCCCTCTTCTTGTGCTTTTAAAGCTATAAAATGAAAAAGAAGTTATTTGTTTCTTTCTAATATTCCCGTAAAGACAAGATTATTTGTGGACATTTGTTCTCTGTGGACCAAGTCAGGAACATGAGCAAGGAAAGCCTAAATATTTCCTCTAAAATAGTAATTGACAAATGCAGAAAAATAACACATATGCTTAGCTTCCAATATTTGTCATCTATTGCATTAGATTACAGAACTCTTACATGTAGCAACACAACATGCTATCTTAAAGTCTGATCTTAACTGTGTTACAAAGAGAGTACCTATCGACTTTGTCCACAAGATCTTAGACTCAGTGAAATATGGCAAATAGATCATAAAAAATTTGAAATGAAACAGCTAATGAATAATGAATGTTCTGTTGCTATCTTTGGGTAAGCGTCTGCAAACATATGTTTTTTTCAGGACTTTAGAGGATGTTGATTTTATGCAAACTAGAAATTCTCTACCATCTGTAATAGGAAACGAGTTCTCTGTGCTATAGCTAATAATAGATAGAGCACTGAGTGAATTTAGGAAACTATTCAAACAGTATGTAATGATTCCTTCACATTGTTCTTCAGCATTGCTTTCTTGCTCTTTGACGATTTGGGCTGGCTGGAATGCTGACATGCAGAGGCTCTTTTAATGTTAATGTTTGGTCAATGTAGGGCCTTGATATATTGTTCAATTTTGCGAGAGCTTTGAGTCTATGTCTCCTTCTGTTCATTTACTTCTTCTTCGTATTAGGACATTGGCTATCAAAGGTTTCTGTGCAGCAGTTCTTGATTCTCTTAGTGGATTTGATCCTAGAGAGAGAATAATGTATGCATTCAATGTAGAGTCATAAGGTAATTATATTTTTTACACATCGTACATTTTCCCAAAAAAGACCCCTATTTGCAGCAATAAAGATCACCAAATAGACTCTCTCACCATGCTAGGTTAAATGGTTCAGACTCTGCTCAGGGGAGCTTGATGTCAGAATTCGCTGGATTAGGCCAGAACGCTCTGACGTAAGGAGTGCGAGTCAGCTTCCTCCTGCTGGGCACCTACTTCACTGGCATGAGGAATTCCTGCTATCCCTACAGATCTTTATTTGCAAGTATTATATGCAGATATATTTTACCTTCTTTTCCCAAACCTCCATTGCAACAGAAAGTCTACTCTTACTTTGCTGTTCATTTTTATCTTCAATGTCTTCTCCTCTGATTGTAGATTTTCTATTTCTAAATTATTTGTTTCTTCTTTTGTCTCTTCCATTCTTCACTCACTCCCTCCATTTTCTCTTTTTCCCACCCTTTTTTTCTTTCACTGTAATTTTTTGATCATTATAAAAAATGTATCCATTAGCCTATGCATTATTGCTATCAGAATGGGAAACAATGTAACTTGATAGTTAATGGAACTAGCTTTGGAATCAAGGTAATTTGAGGTCAAATCCAGACTTTCTTCCCTTAATCATTCTGTGAAACGATCAAATTTTTAATTCTCCTGAAATGCAAATTTATTCATCTATGAAAATATCTATGAAATACCATTGCTATAATGTAGATATATTGAGTAATAGCATCTATATAATAGCAATCCCATGAAGATTACATAAATTAATGTATGCAATGTATTTAGAAGACTGTCTGGCCCCTAATAATCAATTCAGTTAGTGGTCAAGATGCTGTAGGCTGCTTCATGGTTGGTGGTGGTGGCAGAGATCAATTTTTATGCTTTATCAAGTATATCATCGCAGTTTCTTTGAAAGTACATTGCAGATTTCACGTAATCAGTGTTGAGATGCCACTGTGAATGAAAAGGCAATTTTGTGCAAAGCTCTGGTTTTCAGTAATCAGTTAGGATTAATTCTTACTTGTGGACAAGCTGAAGCATTCTTAGCAGCTCCTGCCAACTTCTCTGTAATACAGACATTTTCAACTAGACACCACTGAACTAATAATGAAGATGTCGTCTCCCTTATAAGTTATTCCCACGATATTCATAACTGTTTTAGTCTGAACATTTTGATGAATAGACCTATTTGTTTTAAAATTGTTTCTTAAAATCCCTCCATCCTCAAAAAAATTCAGATTAGTATTGCAATACCATGTTAAAATAAGATTAAGAAACCTCCCTGTAAATTACCAAAAGTAAAGCTCATGAAGAATTACAGAAGTTTTAAAAGAAAAAAAAAAGAAAAAGAAAAAAGGGCTATTGCATTAGGAAAATTAAGCAGATGCACTATGAACATTAATTACAGCTAACTGAGGTTTTGTTTACTGAGGTTAGCAGATTCTAACTCACTGAGTTTCCTTAGAAAATGGCCTGAGTTATCCTTGCACCATAAGTTATAAAGCAGCAGATATTGTTTCTCTCTACAAATGGAACCACATTAAATTAAACATAGCTTTTCTTATTACTCTTTTGGAAAGCAAAGGAGGAAGTTACCTAGAGTCCATCAGGATGCCTCAGACCACTAAGGCTTCTCATTTTCTCATAATCATGTGCCATCCTCTGGAGATATTAGCTTTGCTTTTGCAAGCTCATGGTGTGGCTTAATACATATGGCACCATGACATGGTCAGTTGAGGAGGGAAAGGAAGGAAGAAACCTATGTTCTAATAACTATTCTCCCATTATCCAGTTGTATGGTTCTCCACAGTCACTTTGGCTCTCTGTGTTTCCACTTAGTCATCTAAAAAGTTGTTTATATCAATAATTTTTAAACTTTTAACAATTATAACTCCCTTTAAGAATAACATGTTGTCTATAATTTTAATTGGCATAAACATGAAATTTTCACAAAATACAGCTATATATCATTTTAACAATTCTGTGCCACCCTAAATCCCTTACAGTTGCATGAATTCTAGGCTAAGGACCCTTATCTAGGTGGCCACATGATACCTTCATAATTCTGTGATCCTTGGGCATTTAAATTCTTTCTCAAATAGCTTATACTTATAGGGTTTATTGGGAAGCAGGGGTTATGTATATTTTACACATTCTCTAGCTCTGAATTTGCTGTAAGATTTGACCAAGTTACACAGTTTCTGTGGGCCATGTTTATAGGGTAGTGTCGTGATAAAATCTTAGACTTTGGAATCCAAAAGATCTCAATGCAAATCATGGTTACATCATATATTCACACTCTAACTTTCAGGGAGAGTATTCTGTGGGCATGCTTTTATTGCATATAATCCTGTATAATAGGCCATGATCTTTTTTTTATTATTATTATACTTTAAGTTTTAGGGTAGTGTGGCGATTCCTCAGGGATCTAGAACTAGAAATACCATTTGACCCAGCCATCCCATTACTGGGTATATACCCAAAGGACTATAAATCATGCTGCTATAAAGACACATGCACACGTATGTTTATTGCGGCATTATTCACAATAGCAAAGACTTGGAACCAACCCAAATGTCCAACAATGATAGGCCATGATCTTAAGACTCTGAAAATTTACCTTTAATAATCATTTGCTCAATATTTGCCTCAATCCTTTGTAATGTATATGCCCATATACATGTGTACATACATACATATAAGTTCATATACACGTATACATGTATCTATATTATATATAATATGTGTGTATATGCATATGTGGAGTTTGTAGCTAATTGATGTTTCAATTTAAATGTATTTATTACAATTGTAAACATTTTGATTTTGTGTTTTTATTTTACGGCTTAGAGATCATTGCTCTTAGATCTTAAACACTTTTTGTATTCTGCACAATTTCATACATACTTAATGTATGAAATTATATTACTTAATGAATATAATGGCCACTATGTGAGTCCTAGTTTTCTCATCTGTTAACTTGATGATCTTAGGTAAATTCCTCTATTTCTCTGAGCTTTAATTTTCTCAATGGGCTGCTAAATAACTTAGGTCAATTAGTGGTTAAAATAAAGCTGGATGTAATTATCTAATTCTCAATTCCTTTTTTCAAAATTGAAATTAGCTCATTAAACTTGAAAAGGTTAAGGAATACCAAAGAAGGAAAAGAGGTATGAATAAAGTCTCTGTAGTTACTTGATTTACAATTTAGTGACATTACCTCTTGGTATGCTAATATGTCAACTTACCTTTGTGTTAACAAATTAATTCATTTATACACTTAAAATTAACTTATAAAACCTGTGCTTACCTCATACATCTTAAGGTTTTTTATTTTTATTTTTAGGTAGAGGGGCAAAGAAGGAAGAGATGCGTAAGAGGGATCAGACATTGATGTTATCTTTTATGAGGTGTGTAAAACAATAGGGCTAAAGGTAAATTAGGCTCCTAATTAGTTGTAAGTAAAAAGTTATCACTTGTCAGTTATGTTTTTAAAATTATGCTAAAATACCCTTAATGAAGAAACAAACTAAAGAAATAACAGAGGCAAATCAAAATGCAAGAATATTCTTCAAAAACTTATGCAAATTTATTGTTCCTTCTATCTTCTAAATATGATTTTTCTTGATTGCCTTTTACTGTAAATCATTACTTATGGATGGTAATCATATTTGTAGTGTAATGTGAAGAAACATTTTTTCATGAGTTTGAATTAGAAATAGCAGAATATATAAAGACAATAGAGTAGACCAAACTGTTTTCTCCCACATAAGTGCCTAGTAATGAAATTTTATACTGGAGAACTTAACCTTACGATGAAACCAGTAACAACATGATTGCGTTCTTTGAGTTCAATTATAACAAAAGTACTAACAACTAGTGAACTATCACTTATTATAGTTTTGGATATATATACTATTATCAAAATCAAATTTATATAACCTTGATGTCTATAGAAACATAGCCATGAAGAATAACATTTTAGATGCATAAATACAGACTGTGTAGTAAAACAATTTTGCAGGAAGAGTCCTTGTCTATTTACATATAATGGAGAGAAATAACACCAGAGGAAATGTATGATTTATGATAGAGATCTGAGCATACTTAAATTTAATTTTATTTTGAATATTTGCTTGATTAGCCAGCTAACCATGTCTTTTATTTTGGTTAGTAAAGTAAATGGTTTAAATAGTAAACATTATATATCCTTGAGTTTACATGTCAGCACTGCATACGAATTCTTTCCAGCATAGGTTTTCAAAGAAGAAATTTTGGTCCAAAGAGACTTTTTTCTTGTCTATGTCATGCGGTTTTTTCACAGTTTCCTTTTTAATAAAGACTCACAAAAACCCATATAATTTTATTACATATTTCTCCTCTTACAACAAAGATAGTTTCTTTCTGAGTACATACAATGGTATTGAAGTTTGGAATTCTAATTTTAAGTATTATCCAGGACTGTGTTTCTTTATTTGAAGTTATATTATAGATGCATTAATATTGTGAGTGATTAAACAAGGAATGAAAGGTTGCCACTTTCACCAATCATGTGAAGTTATTAATGACACAGCGTTAAACACAGGAAGATTAGAAAACTACAGAAACTGAGGATTCATAGTCCTCATTCAGTACCTTCTTTTACTTCTCACCTTGATTTCATAAGAGTCTTCTAACTGCTCTCCCTGTCTTCACTTCATAGTTGTAATTAATTTTGCATTCTGCCACCAGAGGTTCTTAAACATTGAGCTATTCATCATGCCCTTCTGCTTAAGCCCCTTTAATTCTTCCTCTTACACACTTGGATAAAACCCATATGACCTAACAAGGTATAAAACAAATAAACCTTTATTACCTATCTAGTCTCTTTGTACTTCCCCCAGCATCGCTTTTCTCCCTTCTTGTCTTGCATCTATGCTCTATTTATAAAAACCCTAAACATAAACTAGCAGCAGAATAATGGCAGTAATGAAGATCACTCTTGTTGATTGATTATTAACAATGTGACCAATCACTGCATTTGAAGTTTCATCTATTCCTCCATTCAAAAGATGCTCCTGAACACATACCATATACTTGGCACTAAACTTAGCAGAGAGATATGCTGACATGAAAAGAACAGTGGTGTTATAGTTCAAGAAAAAGCAAATATTCACTACTCTCCTGGGGTCACGGTCTGGTTGGAAGGATGCAAATTATCACTTAACAAATGCAAAATTTTATCTTCGCTGTGTGCTAAAAAGTAAAGGAAGCAAGTCCTGGGAGATCCTATGATAGGGGCATGTGGCCTAATAAATAAGGGTGGGATAGGCACACTTGATGCAAGATTTTAAAAATGATTTGGGCCGGGCGCGGTGGCTCAAGCCTGTAATCCCCCACTTTGGGAGGCCAAGACGGGCAGATCACGAGGTCAGGAGATGGAGACCATCCTGGCTAACATGGTGAAACCCCGTCTCTACTAAAAATACCAAAAAATTAGCCGGGCATGGTGGCGGGCGCCTGTAGTCCCAGCTACTCAGGAGGCTGAGGCAGGAGAATGGCGTGAACCCGGGAGGCGGAGCTTGCAGTGAGCCGAGATTGCGCCACTGCGCTCCAGCCTGGGTGACAGCGAGAATCTGTCTCAAAACAAAACAAAACAAAACAAAACAAAACAAAACAAAACAAAACAAAAAAGATTTGAAATTATGTAGGCAAAGTGGGAGAAAGAGAAGGACAAGGACGAGGTAAAGATAATATGCAAAATAGAAAGAGCAGGAAGGGGCATGGATATGTGTAAACTCAAAGAAGGCCAAAGTGGCTGGTGCACAGAGAGTGAGGAGAGCAAGGCGTGAAAATGACTTTAGTGAGACAGGCAGGGGACAAATCATGAAAGATCTGTTAGCCCATCATTAATAATTTGGTTTTAGGAGCAATGGGAAGTCATTGGGGGCTTTTAAGTGGGGATGTGACTTGATCTGGTGTGCATTTAGGTTCTTCAGCCTGGATGGTGGAGAATGGGTTAGGAGCAGGGGTCCAGGTGGAAGCAGGGAGAGAGTTAGAGTTAATGACTAGAGTCCAAAAGAAAGGAAGACTGTCAGCTCATTTGGAAATGGTATAAAAAGAAATACTTTTCTGAAGTAAATGCATAACTTATCTCATTTAAGCCTCACAACTATGCCAGGGTAAATATTATGAATCTCACTTTTCAGATCAGTACATTGAAACTTAGATAAGTTGTATCAATTTGCTTAGTCCCATGGCAGTATATGGCATAGCCAGGCCACAGAAACCAGGTTCTTTAATTCTAAATTACGTCCTCTTTCTACTATACTGTTCTCTTTCCATATTCTGCAATGCTGTGCTTTTTACATATTATAACTTTTCATTTGCTTTTCTCTCAATTTGAAATACGCTTCCATTGTTTCAAACCCCTGGATGCCTTCTTCAATGACTGCCCCTTTATGCTTCCGTTCTTTACTAATATCTGTCCTTTGTGCTTTCATAGCACATTTTGTTTTCCTGTTGTTTTATTCTTTCTCTACTAGACTATGCACTCTTAAATACAAGGAATAGGGCTTTTATTTGCATAGTTCCAATGCCTAGCAAAATGACAAGAATATGGTAGGTGAGCACCAAAATTTAAATTAAGTGAATGCTTGTGATAACCATTTAAGTCAAGCCCTCAAACATCCCCTAAATCCTTTGTACAACATTTCTGGCCAATGATCACTGAAGGCATCCACCGTTACATTACTGGTAATACCTTACTGATCACCTCCTAAATGCCAGGCACAGATATAAATACTTACTAATTTGCCATATTTAATACTCGTACAATCTCTAAAAATAGATATATTATAGCTGAGGAAAAACTGAGTAACTTACTTAAGGTAACATACTCCAGAATTCAACATTAAAGGCATTCTGAATCCAGAGATAGTCGATGTAGATTGTAATATATCCATTCCCATTACTGTTACCTTTGTTTGGCCCTTTATAACTATCCATTGTTGGACGGAAAATTACACCTTGACTTTCCTGACCCTAGCTTGACAAATTGGATATTTTCTCCAAGTCAAGCCAACCTAATACAAGCAAGTGGTTCTTCCTGACTCCTGTTATTTCTGCTCTTTCCAATTCCTTCCCGATATGAAATGTATAGCCTGCTTTTAGTACGCAATGTAATAAATTTGTCAACTTCTGCTTAAATAAGGAGTCCTTCAACAAGTTCTGACAACTTCAAATTTCTTTCTTTCATACTTACATTTAAACACATAAAATTTAGTAAAATATTTTAAAAACCAGTTGCAGAATCTTACTTGTCAGCATAAATCCAAAGATAGATTTCATCTATGTAAGAGTTTTGCTAAGTTGGTCCTGCTCCCAGCTGTGAAATCCCATAGTCAGAGAAGTCAGTAATGTCCTAAGCCTAGAGGCAGTCTGTTCTGCCAAAATGTAGTCCAGTTTTGGAGGTGGAATCATTGAGTTTTCAATTGCGTGTAACCCATATGCTGTTTCTCCTGGCTTTAGAGTTCTTGATTAGACTGAGGAACCAAGAAGAGCTCTGTCTGAAGGACAGTGTCTTTAAATAGAAGAGAGGCTTCTATTCTAGTCTCAAAAACATAAATATTTCATCTATTTGCATATGGGATTAAATAATTGTAGATTTAAGTTCATGTAATCAAATTCCCTTTCTCACCAACCTTACAAATGACTTCCTCAGAAATGCTTCAGAAAGAGGAAAATAATTTTTAGTAAGATAAGTAACTTGCCCAAGTCACAAAGCTACATTTCAAATGTAGATCTAAATGATTCCAGAGCCTAAATTCAGAACTATTTAGATCTTACCTTGTGCATGCCCACTTTCAACATCTTAGGACTGCTAAATTTCTTCTTTTTGTTTCAGGTTAAGCATTCTCAAATTCCATAAGCTTTCCTTATATAATGTGCCCAAACTTTGTACTCACCAGGGGTCCCCAATCCTGGTTAGTAAGAAAGTATTTTAAAGAAGGAAAGCTCTTTGATCAAAGCATAAGAAATTTTTGACAGAGATAATCAAATCTATAATAATTTGAGAAGTTCAATATCATTTAAATTCCAGCATATAAATGTCCATATTAGAGACTTTTAAAATATTCTTTGCATTTAATAATCTACCCCCAATAAAATCATACGGCAAACAATTTAAACTTGAATGAAATGAAAAACCTACCTTAGACATCTCTCTTATAATTTATCATAGAGGATAATAGATCATTTGGTCCAGCCTCTTGCATTTAAGAGAAAGTTGTAACGTATTCATTTGAAAACATAGCATTTAGTACCTATTAATTTGTGAAGACCTCTGCTATTTGATTTATTTTGAATTATACCTCTTCAACACCCTGAACTCCAATAATACTTTGGTTTCAAAAGGATCTACAACTCACTATTGATCTTGCCTACCCTTCAATGTTCATTATCCTCCTTAAGCCTTCACTCCGACATTATTCAGCTTATATTTCCAGTTCAGCTTTATAATCACTTACTGGGATATCTCTATATTCGCTTGTACATTGTACCTGCCACCATACTTGACTGGAGCAACTCCAGCTTTGGCTAATTCTACCTGTCTGCCTAATTTACACCTGTGCCTGGGCCACTCAACAGGGCTGGATCAAACACAAAACACTACTGACCGGCTTTACTTAAATTTATTATCACAAACCTTATATAGCTTCAATTTACTTCTGGCCAATACCACAACTACATTTTATTCATCAATTTACTCTCTCACTCTCCAAAATAATAATAATAAGTTGTTTAAATGTTCAAAGATGGGGTCTCAGCAGATTTCCTTTGAAACTCATCCTAGCTTTATAATTTAAAAAGCACTATTAAAAATTTGCCATTAATCTTTTAAGACTTAGTTCAATGTTATTCTCCAGGCCATCTAGCTAGTCCTTTTTCCATGCTTTACGAATCCTCATTTTTTGCACTCATCTCAATGCATGCTATATTGTATTGCTTTTAAAAGTTTTTCTGTTTATTTATCTTCCCCCCTCACCCTGCTCTCTCTTTTAAATGGCATTCCCTCATTAGGTAATTAGATTCCTAAGGATAAGAGTTTCAAGGACTGTGCTGTGTTTTGTTTGTTTTTATATCCCAGGGTTTTTCAAGAAGACTGGTACTATATCCCATATTGTACTGCGGTTATCTGTCCGGTTTTAATACCTTCCTCTCACCCCAACTGCAATCTTTTCCTCCACAGTGAGACCTGTGAGAGCAAGGGTTGTGTAGCATGTAGTTGATTCCACTGCTAGAATTATGCCTGGTACATTATAAACAGTAAGCAAGTGTTTGTAGAAAGCATAGCAAAGCAAGAAAAACGTAAGTTCTTCAAGTTCTTCCACTTAACATGTTTTTGTTGAGCATATATTCTGTGCTTGTCATGAGAAGAATTTTTGGGATAGTGCAGTGAACAAGAACACAAAAAAATTCCTATAAAGGAAATGTAAAGATGGACACTAAGAAAAGTAAATGAGCCCTAAAATGTGTTAGAGCGAGATAGGCTAAATTGAATATTAGATAAGATTCTCTGGGTGAGCCTTACTGAGAAGAGGACTTTAGAGCAATGATCTGAAAGAGGTGAAGGTGCTCCCTAGGTGGCTCTCTGGGGGGAAAGCATTCTGAGCAGTGGGAATAGTGTGGCATCCTTCATAAAAATGGAAGCCTTTGGAGGGTTTTGAACAGAAGAGTGAGGTTCTCTGATTTATGTTAAAATACATAAGTGAAAATACAGGAGAATATAATCAGTGGTAAAATGTCCTGCAATAGATTATTAAACACTCATCTCTGTTGGTTCTGTACTTTAGTAGTAAGTGACCCATGCAAAGTAAAAGTTGCCCTTGTTGCAGATAATATATTTAGTAGATGGATAAATGAGCTAGTGAACTTGAATGACAGGTTGCCAAGGGGATAACCTATCAGGATTCATTACAAAAGAAAGAGGCTTGTCTTTATGTGGTAATCAGGAGCAACAAATCTAGTTATTAGCATTGGCAGCCTCTTATTTCTGAGTGTTTTTTTAGGAAGCCAGAGCTCCCAAACAGGATTCTTCTGTGCACTTTATCTAATGTTCTTGAATAACAAGATCAGTGCATATCCGGTTTGCTAAATATATCCACTAGCTCTTTCCTTGATGTAAATAACTTACACATTTTAATAAAAGTGTGTTAGCTCTTTGTTATGACTTTATTTAAAGCACAATCCTCTGGAATTATTAATTACCATTACTTTGGCATCTTACATTTTTCTTAGCCTAGATACTGTTTGGAAAACATGCTAAAAATAGTTAAACTTGAAATAGAAATATGTTCAATCCAAGAATCTTAGAAGACAATATGAGCTCCAGGCACTCACTTTATGTCCTTCCACCTGCCTTTTAAAATGTTGTTATCAACCATATTTCCGGCTCTCTAGGGGGAGAAAATAGCTCACATATAAGAAATGTAGGTGCTTTTAGTTTTAGTATAAGTAAAAATTACCCTTCAGTTAGAGCATTAAGAACAAATAAGATTTAGTATTTTTGTTTTAAAAATGACAGTCTGTTTAAAATATATGTACTTCGTTTTTGTTGACATAATTATGATTAATGTGATATGAAAGTCTTCAGATGACTTTTTTTTTTTTGGAGGTGATGCACGTGTTTATTACCTTGATTTTTTTTTCCTTTTTTTTATTATACTTTAAGTTTTAGGGTACATGTGCACATTGTGCAGGTTAGTTACATATGTATACATGTGCCATGCTGGTGCGCTGCACCCACTAACTTGTCATCTAGCATTAGGTATATCTCCCAGTTCTATCCCTCCCCCCTCTCCCCACCCCACCACGGTCCCCAGAGTGTGATATTCCCCTTCCTGTGTCCATGTGATCTCATTGTTCAATTCCCACCTATGAGTGAGAATATGCGGTGTTTGGTTTTTTGTTCTTGCGATAGTTTTTAATAAGCGAGGTTGCTGATGTTAGGACCCTTTTAAAGTAAACCCTTTATTTTGAGATAATTGTAGACTCGCATGCAATTGTGAAAAATATATAGCGAGGTCTCAAATACTCTTTACCAGTGTTTCCTCAAATGGTAACCTTTTACAAAACTATGTACAAATTATAGCCAGTGTAGTGACACGAATACAGTCAAGAACAGAGCAGCTCCACCACCACAAAGATCCTTCATGTTTACTTTTTATAGCATTCGCTTCCCTACCCACTACGTCCCTGACCGCTGACAACCACTAACCTGTGCTCCATTCCTATAAATTTGTCACTTCAAGAATGTTCTATAAATGGAACTATACAAATATGGCTTTCCGGGTTTGGCTTTTTCACTTAGCATTATTCTCTGGTGATTTATATAGGTTGTTGGCTGTATCAATATCTCT
The DNA here is from genome assembly GCF_000001405.40 of Homo sapiens. Classification (NCBI taxonomy): domain Eukaryota; kingdom Metazoa; phylum Chordata; class Mammalia; order Primates; family Hominidae; genus Homo; species Homo sapiens. The sequence continues at coordinate 87,932 of NW_019805495.1, forward strand.
GTCCACTGATATGGATATACCATCCATTGAAGTTTAAACATTGACCAATTGAAGGATGCCTGATCTGATTCTGGTTTTTGATTATGCCAAATAATTCTGCTGTGAACATTCTAGAACTTTTTGTGTGTGTAAGCAGAAGTTTTCATTTCTCTAGGATAAATGCCAAGGAGAGTGATTGCTGTATTGCATGATAGTGGAAAATGTAGTTTGGCAATTTTTTTTTCCACCAAGAAACCTTATTAACATTGTCTCCTGGAGTGGCTAGGTTATTTTACATTTTCATGAATAATGTATAAATGACTGGTGGTGGTTTTATTTATTTATTTATTTTCTTATTTTAGCCATCCTGCTAAGGATATAGTGCTATCTCACTGTCGTTTTAATTTGCATTTCCCTGGTGGCCAATAATGTTGGAATTTTTTTATGTGCTTTATTTTTCATCAGTATATTCCCTTCAGTGAAATGTCTGACCAGGACTTTGCCCATATACTAATGAGCATTCTTTTTAACCATTGAGTTTTAAGTCTTTCTATATTCTAGATAGTAATCCTTTGTTGAATACGTGGTTTGCAAATATCTTCTCCCAGTCTGTAGCTTATTTTTTGTTGGTTTTCTTTAATTCTTTTAGGGTCTTGTACAGAGCAGTTTTTAATTTTGTTGAAGCTCTATTTATAATTTTTGTCCTTTTATTAATCTTGTGTTTGGTGTCAAATTTAAGTGTTCTTTTCCTAGTCCAAAGTCATGAAAACTTTGTTCTATTTTTTCCTAAAATTTTAAAATAATTTCAAGTTGTACATTTAAGTCCATGATCCAGCTTGAATTATGAGGTTTAGGTTGAGATTCTTGTCTTTTTCCTTTGCCCACTGATGATGACTTACTCCAATATCACTTATTAAAAAGGCTATGAATTGAATTGTTTTAATACCTTTGTCAAAAATCAGTTGGGCATATTTATATGGTTTTATTTCTGAGTTTTTTGTTCCGTTCCATTGATCTGTGTCTATTCCTCTGCCAGTATAACATATTGTGGACTACTGTAATTATGTAATAAAACTTGAAACCAGGTAGACTGACTTATTTTTCCTCTTCAAAATTGTTTAGCTAGTCTAGTTCCTTTTTTTATTATTATTATACTTTAAGTTTTAGGGTACGTGTGCACAACATGCAGATTTGTTACATATGTATACATGTGCCATGTTGGTGTGCTGCACCCATTAACTCTTCATTTAGCATTAGGTATCTCTCCTAATGCTATCCCTCCCCCTTCCCCCCACCCCACAACAGTCCCCAGTGTGTGATGTTCCCCTTCCTGTGTCCATGTGTTCTCATTGTTCAACTCCCACTTATGAGTGAGAACATGCGGTGTTTGGTTTTCTGATCTTGTGTTAGTTTGCTGAGAATGATGGTTTCCAGCTTCATCCATGTCCCTGCCAAGGACATGAACTCATCATTTTTTATGGCTGCATAGTATTCCATGGTGTATATGTGCAACATTTTCTTAATCCAGTCTATCGTGGTTGGACATTTGGGTTGGTTCCAAGTCTTTGCTATTGTGAATAGTGCCGCAATAAACATATGTGTGCATGTGTCTTTATAGCAGCATGATTTATAATCCTTTGGGTATATACCCAGTAATGGGATGGCTGGGTCAAATGGAATTTCTAGTTCTAGATCCCTGAGGAATTGCCACACTGACTTCCACAATGGTTGAACTAGTTTACAGTCCCACCAACAGTGTAAAAGTGTTCCTATTTCTCCACATCCTCTCCAGAACCTGTTGTTTCCTGACTTTTTAATGATCACCATTCTAACTGTTGTGAGATGATATCTCATTGTGGTTTTGATTTGCATTTCTCTGATGGCCAGTGATGATGAGAAATTTTTCATGTGTCCGTTGGCTGCATAAATGTCTTCTTTTCAGAAGTGTCTGTTCATATCCTTCACCCACTTTTTGATGGAGTTGTTTGTTTCTTTCTTGTAAATTTGTTTGAGTTCATTGTAGGTTCTGGATATTATTAGCCCTTTGTAAGATGAGTAGGTTGAAAAAATTTTCTCCCATTCTGTAGGTTGCCTGTTCACTCTGATGGTAGTTTCTTTTGCTGTGCAGAAGCTCTTTAGTTTAATTAGATCCCATTTGTCAATTTTGGCTTTTGTTGCCATTGCTTTTGGTGTTTTAGATATGAAGTCCTTTCCCATGCCTATGTCCTGAATGATATTGCCTAGGTTTTCTTCTAGGGTTTTTATGGTTTTAGGTCTAACATGTAAGTTTTGTATCCATCTTGAATTAATTTTTGTATAAGGTATAAGGAAGGGATCCAGTTTCAGCTTTCTACATATGGCTAGCCAGTTTTCCCAGCACCATTTATTAAATAGGGAATCCTTGCCTCATTGCTTGTTTTTCTCAGGTTTGTCAAATAGCAGATAGTTGTAGATATGCTTCTTTTGGTCAGGTTTGTCAAAGATCAGATAGTTGTAGATATGCGGCATTCTAGTTCCTTTACCTTTCCACATGCATTTTAGAATAATCTTGTCTATATATAGAAAAAGCCTGTATACTTTGTAGATTTATACGCCATTTTTTAGTGATTGTAAATGGTAATTTTTTTATTTTCAATGTCCATATGCTCATTGCTAGTATATAAAAGTACATTTGATTTTTATGTTTATCATGAATACTGAAGCTTTGCTGAACTCACTTGTCAGTTTTAGGAGTATTTTTGTAGATTCCTTGGGATTTTCTATTTAGACTGCCATGCCATCTCCTAATAGAAACAGTTTTATTGCTTCATCTCTAATCTTAGTTTTACCTTTTATTTACTTTTATTGCCTGTTGCACTGGCTAGAACATCTAGTGCTATTTTGAATAATGGGAAGATTGGTCAGCCTTGCCTTGTTCTTAAACTTAGACTAAAGCATTTGGTCTTTCAATATGAAGTATAACATTTACTGCTGGTTTTTTGGAGATGCTCTTTATCAAGCATCAAGCTGGGTAATTTCTCTCTATTCCTGTATTCTTGAGAGTTGGGTTTTTTAAATCAATGAATTTATGTTGAATTTTATCAAATGGTATCTCTGCATTCATTGATATGATCATGTCATATGGTAAATTACATTGATTGATTTTCAAATATCACTCCCACATCGCATCCCTGGAATAAACACCACTTGGTCATGGTGTATAAACTGCTGAATTCATTTTTATGTACTACTGAATTCTACATAATAATATTTTGTTAAAAATTTTTGTGGTTATATTTGCAAGGTAGTTTCTCCCTCCCTCCCCGCCTTCCTTCCTTCCTTCCTTCTTTACTGCTCGCTTCTCCTCTCTCTCTTTACTATTTTTCTTCTCTCTCCCCCTCTCATATTTTTCTTCTCCCACCCCCTCTCATTTATTTTTTTTTGTTATTAGTTTTCATACCAGGGAATACTTTCTTTGGTTTTGGTATCATGAATGTACTACATTCATAAAGCATATTGAGAAGTATTCCCTACTCTTCTCTTTTCTGAACGAGAATGTATAAAATATATTTGAACTCTTCCTTAATGCTTGATAAATTTCTCTGGGGAAACCATCCTGGTCTGGAGATGACTTTTTTGAGTTTACATTATAAAGTCAATGTCATTAATAGTTATAGGATGTTGAAGTTATCTATTTATATTTAAGTATTTGAGTAAATTGTGATTGTCTGTGCATTTCATGGAATTGATTAATTTCCTCAAAGTTGTCAAGTATGTGTTTGTAGAGCTATTTGTAGTATCCCCTTACTATTCCTTCAATATTTGAAGGCTCTCTATTGATGTTCCACATTTCACTCATGTTGGTGGTAATTCATGAATTCATGTCCTCTCTCTCCCTGTCTCATTTTTTTCAGTCTTCTTAGAGGATTGTCAATTTTACTGATTTTTTTTAAATGAAGTAACTTGATTTTCTCTATTTTTTGTTTTCAAGTTTATTAATTTTTGTTATTATATTTATTGTTTTCTTTCTGTTTGCTTTGCATTTATTTTGCTCTTTCTTCTGAGGTGGAAAGTAATGCTACTGATTTAAGATTTTTCTCTTCTTTCTTTCTTTTTTATTTTTTTTTTAATTTTGAGACAGAGTTTCACTCTTGTTGCCCTGGCTGGAGTACAGTGGCACAATCTCGGCTCACTGCAACCTCCACCTCCTGGGTTCAAGTGATTCTCCTGCCTCAGCCCCCCAAGCAGCTGGGATTACAGGCACCTGCCACAAAGCCCAGCTATTTTTTTTATATTTTTAGTAGAGCTGGGGTTTCTCCATGTTGGCCAGGTTGGTCTTGAACTCCTGACCTCAGGTGATCCACCCGCCTCAGCCTCCCAAACTGCTGGGATTACAGGTGTGAGCCACTGCGCCCGTCCAGAGATTTTCTTCTTTTCTAATAGAATCATTTAATGCTATTCATTTCTCAGCACTGTGTTAGCTGTGTTCCACAAGTTTTGTTATAGTGTCAACTTAGTTCAATGATTTAAAAAAGTTTTATCTTGATACTTCCTTTTTAGCATGTAGATTATTTAGCAGTGTATTGTTTAATATCTATGTGTTTGAGATTTTCTTGGTATATTTCTGTTACTGATTATGTTTTGATTCCGTTGTGGTCAAACAACACATTCTGCATGATTTCAAGTCCTTCAAGTTTGTTGTGGTTTGTTTTCTATCTTAGTGTATGTTCCAAAGGCACGTGAAAAAGAAGAACATATTCTTCTGTTGGATGGAATGTTCTATAAATGCCAATTAGATGTTTTACTAGATATGTTTGTCTATATCGTTATTGATTTTATGTCTAGTTCTATCAATTTTTGAGAGAGTGGCATGGAAGTACCCCACTAAAATGTGGTTTTGTCCCTTTTTCTTTTAAATTGTATCAGCTTTTGCTTCACATTACTAGAAGATTTGTTGTTGGTTGCATATAACTTTAGGATTGGGTTGTCCTCTTTTTTATCATTCTATAGTATAATGACCTGATGTATCATCATTCAAATTTGGCAAGTAATTAGTTGCAGCCATAGATAGTGTCAGAATTGTTATAACTTGATTTGTGTTGCATGGCTTATGAAGCCCAAGTACACCAAATACCATTTCTTCTCTTCAGAAGTGCTCAGAGATGTCCTTTGGAAGTTTATCAGTTTTGTTCTTCTCCAAAGGAAGATCATATTTCTCATGGATTTCAGAGATAAAGACACAGCTGTAATCAAATTGTGTGTATAGAAAATAGGCCATTTTGTAGTAAAATTCTCCCACAGGGTTTATCATGCTGAGTTGAACTGTGAAACTAATACGTTGGGTGATAATTAAAACTGTCCTAAAAAATGTGAAGCTGTAAGATCTCATACAAGCATACATTTACTTTGACTAGCAGCTATATACTATTGTTTCTCTGTGAGGTTTTTCTTTTTTTTTTCTTTTCTTTTTTCTTTCTTTGGTTATGGTTTTGATGACCATTTCTGAGGGAGATGTCAATTTCTGGAAAGTCTTTGGATGAAGGGTACAGGTGAGGAAAGCAGCCATATGGTTCTTCCTTTTTCCATGCCCAGAGCCCCAGTATGTAATCATTCTTCTTATACATTTGTAGATATTTTATTTGGAATTTCAAGATTTGAGTTTTGCTGCATACCCTTCATATGTTTGATACAACCTATATACCATTTTTCAATCATATTATTAGAAATGAGAACTGATATTTAGAAAATGTCAAATGATTTACATCCTACAGATTGCAGCAGACATCGTAATTGTCAAGTCCAAAGAATTTTTAATTGTCCTTGCCCAAGAATATATTCTACAACATTAGTGCACACCACTTCAGTACCTTATACCATGTACCTCACTGGCCATTTTTTCTTTTGTTCTTTTTTTTTTTTTTTTGAGGTGGAGTCTCGCTCTGTCGCCAGGCTGGAGTGCAGTGGCATGATCTCAGCTCATTGCAACCTCTGCCTCCCAGGTTCATGTGATTCTCCTGCCTCAGCCTCCCTAGTAGCTGGGACTACAGGTGCCTGCAAACACGCCCGGCTGAATTTTTGTATTTTAGTAGAGATGTGGTTTCGTCATGTTGGCCAGGATAGTCTTGATCTCCTGACCTCATGATCCACCTCCCTTGGCCTCCCGAAGTGCTGGGATTACAGGCGTGCAACACCGTGCCTGGTCACTGACCTTATTTTAACTCATATGTTCACTTTTGCTCTGTACAACCAATTCTTGCTGGATCTCTTATTTCATATCTTGTTACATGTGGGTGCTATAATAACTGTCTCCTATTCTCTCCTCAAATTACTCTATGGTTTTTAAAGCTTAGTTTCAGTATCATCGTTGTTCTGGGAATTTTTCTAACCAGGCTCATGCTCACAATTCTCAAAGGTTAGGAGCTCTACAGCTAGACCATTTTGCTCATTTCTTTATCTCCAGGGTTTGGCAATTTATAGGTACATAATAAACATTCTTTAAATAATTTCATTTTAGTTATGGTTATGGGAAGGAATGAAAGCATAGGTAAACATTATGAGGATAAACTAAGAGACAAGCTATAGGTGAAGCATTCCCTAAAACAATTAAGATAACTAAAACCATAACATACAGTAACAGGAAAACTCTATAGATATCAGTAGAACTTCACCCCCTACCAGTCCTTGGATCTTGATCTTATGGAACCTCATACACACTTGAGACAATGGTTTTGTAAAAAAACAAAACAAAACAAATCAAAAAGAACTTTCTGATATAAAGTAAATTAAAATCTTAACCTGAGTTAAATCCAAATCATCCCGGGAACACCAACGAAGTGTTTTACTGTTTTTTTTTGTTGTTGTTTTGTTTTTCTGTAATGCTTTAATTCAGTGGCTTTCAAAGAATGACCATGGCTAACTCTGGTGTCTCCAAGATTCTCTCAGAGGATTCACAATGTCTATATTATTGTCATATCAATACTTTGAAGCAATTGTAATATATATATATATATTATATATATATATATAATCAGTTAAAGTGATAAATAATAATAATGGGTTTTTGTGTCAGGCACCTTACCAGGTGCCAGAGAAAAATACTTTCTCTCTTTTTGTGAAAAATGCTATTGGAATTTTGATAGGGATTGCATTTAATGTGTAGATTGCTTTGAGTAATATTAACATTTTAACAATATTAGTTCTTCTAATCCATGAACTCAGGATATCTGTTAATTTATTTGTGTCTTTTTTAAATATCTTTCATCAGTGTCTCATTGTTTTCCTTGTATATATCTCCTACCTCCTTGGTTAAATATATTTCCAAGCATTTAATTCTTTTTATAGTTATTTTATAATCTTATTTTCTATTGTAAATAAAATTATATTCTTATTTTTTTGGGGGGATAGTCCATTGTTAGTGACTGAATGCTGCTGATTTTTGTATATTGCTTTTATATTATAAAACTTTACTGAGGTTGGTACAGTGCTTTGTATCAGTAATCCCAGTACTTTTGGAGGCCAAAGCGAGAGAGCTGCTTGAGCCTAGGAGCTTGAGACCAGCCTGGGCAACATATGGAGGTAACTACAAAAAGTCAAAAAAAACTGGTTGGGTATGGTGGCTCATGCCTGTCATTCCACTTACTCAGGAGGCTAACGTGGGAGGATCACTTCATCACTGCATCTCAGGGCTGCAGTGAGCCATGATTACATCACTGCACTCCAGCCTGGACAACAGAGTGAGACCCTGTCTCAAAAAACAAACAAACTAAAAACACCAGAAATAAAACCAGAAAAAAAATTTACTGAATTCATTTATAGTTCTCATATCTTTTCAGTGGAGTCTTTAGGGTTTTCTATATATAATATTACATTACCTTTACACAAAAACAGTTTATCTTTGAGAACCAAAAAAAGACTCTGAATAGCCAAAGCAATTTTGAGGAAGATCAAAGCTGGAGGCATCACATTCCTTGATTTCAAACTATATTACAAAGCTACTATAATTTAGAACGTATGGTACTCAGTTGAAAACAGACATATTTACTAATAGCACAAAATAGAGAGACCAGAGTTAAACACACATATATGGTCAACTAATCTTTAATAAGGGTACCAAGAACACACAATGATGGAAGAAAAGTCTCTTCAATAACTGCCACTGGGAAAAATGGATATCCATATCCATATAGAAAAGAATATGAAACTGGACACTTGTCTTTCTTTTTTTTTTTTTTTTTTTTGAGACAGAGTCTCACTCTGTCCTCCAGGCTGGAGTGCAGTGGCACGATCTTGGCTCACTGCAAGCTCTGCCTCCTGGACTCATGCCATTCTTCTGCCTTAGCCTATGGAGGAGCTAGGACTACAGGCACCCACCACCATGCCCAGCTAATTTTTTTGTATTTTCAGTAGAGGCGGGGTTTCACCGTGTTAGATAGGATGATCTTGATCTCCTGACCTCCTGATCCGCCCACCTGAGCCTCCCAAAGTGATGGGATTACAGGCATGAGCCACCACGCCAGGCCTGGACTCTTGTCTTACATACAAAAATTAACTAGAAGTGGATTAAAGACTTAAATATGAGATGTGAAAACATAAAACTTCTATAGGAAAACTAGAGGGAAAGATTCTTGAAATTGGTCTTCCCAGTGATTTTTGGGGGAGGATATGATACCAAGAGTGCAAGCAAAAAAAAAAAAAAGCAAAAATAAACTCATCTGAATATATTAAACCAAAATTTCAGTACAGCAAAGGAAACAAGCAACAAAATAAAAAGGCAACCTATGGCTTGGAAGAAGATATTTGCAAACCACATATCTAGGAAGGGATTAATACCCAAAATGTATAAGGGACCCATACAACTTAGTAGCAAAGAACAAGTAACCCAAATAAAAATAAGCAAAAGAGTTGAATAAACATTTTTTCCCAAAGACTTCTTTCCAAAGAAAATATACAAATGCAAAATTATAGTATAAAATCACCACCAGGATATTGACATTAATACAGTTAAGAAAGAGAAGTGTTCCATCACCACTAGGAAACCTCATGTTATCCTTTTATAGCCACGCCCACTTCCTCCATTTTCTCTTTTTTCTGAACCTTGTCAACCACCAATCTGTTCTCCATTTCTATAATATTGTCATTTCAAGAATGTTGTATAAATTGAACCATACAATATATGACCTTTGGCTTTTTAACTTAGCATAACTCTCTAGAGATTATATTAGTTGTTGTATATATTAGTATCAATAGGTTGTTCTTTTTTGTTACCTAATAGTACTCCATGAGATGGATGTACCGTAGTCATTTAAACGTTCATCCATTTAAGGATATCTGTAATAAGCCTGCCATAATCATTTGTGTACACATTTATATGTAAATATAATTTTTCATTTTTTAGGATAAATGCCCAGGATTGCAATTGGTGGGTTGTATGGTAGTGGAATGTTTATTTATTATTTATTATTGTTAAGAAACTGCCAAAATGTTTTCCAGAGTTGGGCATACCATTTTATACTACCATCAGCAATATATAAATGATTGATGTTGTAATTTTGCATTTTAGACACACTAGCAGTTATGTTTTGATAACTTACTCTGATTTTCACTTGTATTATTTTGTTAGCTAACCCTATTGGACATAGATTGATGTGCATACTTGCATCTGCAAGCGTCCATACAGTAGAAAAGGACAAACAATGCTTTAGTATTGCTATGATAATAATACTGACATTGCAGATCCTCTGAAAGTGTCTTGGGGACACCAAAGGCATCCTTGGCCATGTTTGAAAACTGCTTAATTTAAACTTACTATGGAAAAGTGAAACATTTGGTGTTCTTGGTATGATTAGGACTTCATTTTGATTAATAATTTTTTATGTCAGAAAGTGTTGTTTATTAAAACATAGTCCCAAGCATACATGAGGTTTCATGAGATCAATATACAAGGACTCATGGGGTAAGCTCTACTGAGATCCACAGACAATAAATTGTGCCTTTAGTTATCTTGATTGCTTTAGGGAATGCTTCTCTAATAGCTTGACTCTTAGTTTATACTCAGAAGAATCACCTATAATTTTATCCATTCTCTTAATTATGACTGAAATGAAGTCATTCTAAGGATTTTTATTATGTACCTAAAATCTGCCAGAGTCTGGGGAAAAATAAATAAACAAAATTGGTTATATATGTAGGAGCATGAGTTATGGCATCTAACCTTTAGAATTGTGGTATGAAAATAGTTTTTCCAGAGAAATGATGATACTGCAACCAAATCTTAAAAAACATGGTGAGATTAAGAGAACTGGGTGTGAGAGTGGGATGGCAGGCTTTATTCCTTTAGAGTGGCATTTATGGCTCTTGTGTATTTATTTCTTAGACTGGACCTGGTATCAAAGGACCATTAATAAATGATTAAGCAGAATGGAGTAAAATTGAGTACCAGATTGATGATACACATAATAGTGTGATTAGAAAAAAAGTGAGTCAAATTATTAAAATGGCATTCAAAAATATCATTGATAACAACATAAGATTTATTTTCATAATTTGCCAGGTGTGTGTTCTTGAGATTTGAAGAAATTAGATGGAATGATTCTTTAGTATATGATGCCCTGGAAAATGAAAACATCCAAGTGCTCTCTCTCTGTTTCCCCAGCAGTGCTGTAATTCAAATAAATACCTTTCTTTCTCCTATAGCTTTAATAAACCATTTGAATGTTACATAAACTTTTAACCCTTTTTGATTAAAAATATATAGGTCTTACAAGTTTAAAGTGAATATCATTTATTCTAATTTTATAATCTTTATTTAAATTTAGGAAGGTAATTATCAGAGTTAAGAGAATAAAGATATGGCTAACTAGCGGCATAATATACATTTATAGTCATATGTCACTTAACAATGGAAATACTTTCTGAAAAATGCAACGTTAGGCAGTTTCATCCTGTGAACATCATAACGTGTACTTACATAAACCTAGATGGGATAGCCTACGCTACACTTACACTATGTGGTATGGCCTATTTCTCCTAGGCTACAAATCTGTACAGCCTATTACTGTAGTGAAAACTATAGGCAATTGTAACAAAATGTAAAGTGTTTACATGTATAAACATAGAAAAGGTACAGTAAAAATACAATATAAAAGATAAAAAATGGTACACCCGTATAGGGCATTTACCATGAACGAAGCTTGAAAGATTAGAAGTAGCTCTGGTGAGTTGGTGAGTGGCAAGTGAATGTGAAGGCCCAGGACATTACTGTGTACTACTGTAGACTTTATAAACACAGTAAACTTAAGCCATACTAAATTTATTAAAACACCTTTTTTCAATAATAAACTTACTGTAACTTTTTTACTTTATAAACTTTAAGTTTTTGATTATTGTAATAACAGCTTTAAACACAAACATATTGAAGAGCTGTGCACAACTATTTTCTTTATATTCCTTTTCTATATGCTTTTTAATATTTTTAAAAGTTTTTATTTTTCAACTTTTTGTTAAAAACTGAGATAGAAACACACACATTAGCTTCGGTCTACAAAGAATCAGGACCTGTAAATATCACTGTCTTCCACTTTTCTCACTGTAAAATCTTTAGGGGCAATAATGTGCATGGGGCCATTACCTCCTATGGTAAAAATGCCTTATTCTGGAATATGTCCTGATGGATTGCCTGGGGCTGTTTTACAGGTAAGTTTTTTCACAAGCAGAAGGAGTATACTCTAAAATAATGATAAAAAGTATAAAGTATATTATCAGAAGTACATAAATTAGTAACATAGTGATTTATTGTCATTAACGAGTGTTAGGTACTGTATGAAACTGTATGTGTTAGATTTTATGAGATATTAAAAAAAAGACTTTTGTGAGACTGGCAGCACAGGAGGTTTGTACACCAGCATCACCACAAACACCAGTGATGAGTTGCACTATGACATTATAATAACTATGACATCACTAGGCAATAGGAATGTTTCGGCTTCATTGTAATCTTATGGGATCACCTTTGCATATATGATTTGTTGTTGACCAAAACATTCTGGCAATAGGTGGTGCATAACTGTAGTTACTATGCACATGAACTCTTTAGGTGCCAATTAAGATAAATTTGAGAAACAACTAAGGAGACAATAGAGTTTTATTTGTGTGTGAATGTAAAGTAGTAAGAGAATTGCTATGAGGAAGAAAAAATTGTAATGATGTAATCCAACAGATTTATGTCAGTAGTCCAGACTTGTCTGTTATTGTTATAGCATACACTTAAAAAATGTGAATTTGAATGCCTGGCCAAAGAAACATTGAAAAAGGAGGCTATATCATGCCCATAAAGATTAGCTAAATTTTGTGTGTGTGTGTGTGTGTGTGATGGAGTTTCGCTCTCATTGCCCAGGCTGGAGTGCAGTGGTGTGATCTCAGCTCACTGCAACCTCCGCCTCCCAGGTTCAAGCCATTCTCCTGCTTCAGCTTCCTGAGTAGCCAAGATTACAGGCGTGTGCCATCATGCCCAGCTAATTTTGTACTTTTAGTAGAGACGAGGTTTCTCCATGTTGGTCAGGCTGGTCTCAAACTTCTGACCTCAGGAGATCCACTCGCTTCAGCCTCCCAAAATGCTGGGATTAAAGGCATGAGCCACTGCTCCCGGCCAGCTTCTATATAAGATGGAAATCAGTACAAATGTACTGATTTTAACAGTTAAAAATTAATATTCCTCTATAATTTGTATTTTCATTACATTTCTTTCACAAAATTTAATTATAATGTAAGATATACTTTTAAAAATTTATTGTGTGTGTGTAAAACAAAAAAATAGATAAATTGTGTGTACAGATACATGTATATATGTGTGTGTCTGTTTCCCTGTATTTTAAAAACCTGGACAGTGTTATTCTCATAAATAATTTAGTATTAAATTGATCAAAACATTATAACTATATTACAAATTAAAAGAATTATTACACATAAAATAATTTGGCAATGACAAATTTTTATAAAATGGGTGGAGTTCTTTTTCCAAATGATTCATGGATCCATACATAAATATCACTTCCTATTAGAATTGAGACTTATGTAAGCAAAAGGTTTATATATCACTTATTTGTATTTTTTAGATTGTTTTATAAATGTAAGGGCTATGAAATACTGTTTACATAAATGAACAAGTAGGCTAGAAGAAATTCTATTGCAGTGACATTGAATGTTTTTAATTCTTTCTATTTTCTAAAAATCACATGATGAACATGAGAAAATAATTTTAGTGACCAGCTGATCATCTGTTGAATTTTCCTTCAATTTTGATAGAAACAAAAAATTGGAATCTATTTGACTTGCAGAAATATTGGTTACCCAATACCAACAGCGGGATTTTGAAATGTCACTTTGCTTTCCCTAAGGTTTTTTACACGTTGGAGCAATACATCATAATAAATTGAGGATAGAAAATTCAAGTTATCTTGCATTGTAGGAATAAAAAAGGGAAGAAAAAACTAACATGGCTGATCAATATTAAGATACAGCTCAGGTTCAAACTTAATTCAGCCTCCTAGATGCCAATTTCTCCTGTAGGCAATTTATTTGGCTGATCTAATTTAACCCTTATAGCTATCTCTGATATAAGGACTTATTCTAATTCTTCAGATCAAGAAAGTGAGGGCTATAGAAGGTAACCACAATTTGAGGGCAGAGCTGAGATACGAACTTCAGTTCAATGACTCCTGGTTCTATGTTCTTTTCACTTAAACATCAATTAGGGATTTCAATTTTATAATCTGAAACTAAGAACCCAGTTGTTTATGGCAAGGTGGGGTGTAGAGAAATAATTTTTTTGTTTATACTATTTCTGACTAATAAATGTCTAAATCAGCCAGAACGAATGACTGTCTCTCCTTGACTCATAGTTTGGAGAGCAATCCTTTGGTAATCCATTCCAATGTTTTGTCTGTAAATAGCATAAAGATCACAATTAACTAGATTAAACTTCCATGTGAAATTTTTGCCATTTAAAAATTTAACTTTAAAGTATAATGATTCATTATTATTTTAATTTGGACAGTTTTGAGTCTAGGTTTGGAAGTCACAGACTTGTACATATTGATGTTTCGTTGAATGTGTGTAACACTAGATAAATTACCTAATGTCTCTGAGCTTCAGTTTCCTCATATTTAATATTTGGGTAATAAGGTTCATATAATGTTTTAATGCAATGGCATATCTAAAATATTAACAAAGTGTATGGCATAGAACAAACACGTGCATATATTGATGAAGCCAAATGCACGAAAGCATTGATGAAATGAGGTTGAAGAGGCAGAGATCACAGAGTACCTTGTATGCCTCGATTAACATCTTTTTCTTTGAGAAGAGAATATGGGCAAAAAATAGTTCCTAACTATAGATTTTTTAAAAAAACTCATTTTTTTTTTTTTCTGATTAGGGACTATTTTAGGTTTAAGAAAAGTTCCAGAAATAGTACTGATAATTTCTATATATCCTTCCCTCAGTTTTCCTTAATGATATTTTACATCACCATTTGTCCAAACAATTGGTATGATACTATTAACTAAACTACTACAGGTCAGGTCATATCCTTTTATTTTTATTTATTTATTTTTTTGAGACAGAGTCTCACTCTTGTTGCCCAGGCTGGAGTGCAGTGGTGAGATCTCAGCTCACTGCAAGCTCTGCCTCCCGGGTTCATGCCATTCTCTTGCATCAGCCTCCCAAGTAGCTGGGACTACAGGCACCTGCCACCACGCCCGGCTAACTTTTTGCATTTTTTAATGGAGACAGGGTTTCACCATGTTAGCCAGGATGGTCTAGATCTCCTGACCTGGTGATCCACCCGCCTCTGCCTCCCAAAGTGTTGGGATTACAGGTGTGAGCCACTGCTCCCGGCCAGGTTATATCATTTTTATAATCGAAAAACTACTAGAAAAAATAAGAACACTTTTATTTAATTAAATTAACTTTTTAGGAGTGCATTTCTTAGAACTTTCTTAGATTTTAGATATTTCACCAATATGAGGTAGTCATTAGGTTGAGGACATCAATAGTTCTCTCTCCTGCTAAATGTTCAGAAACCACATTCACTTAGGACTATCTTAATTTCATTAACAAACATTGCCTAGATATAATTTATTTTTTGTTAACTGATCAGAACACATTTACCAAAATTTGAATGCTTATTTTTAGCCATTTTAATTGAGTAGGTAATAGAGATATTGTATTTCTGATTAATATTTCCAATATTTTCAGCTGTGTTTTTTCAATTATAAAACTAGGAGGCAATTCTAAAAATATGCACTGAAGAATTAGTCTGTGGATAGAAGTCTGCAAAATCCAACCTCTGCACACTAAGACTCTATTTATCTCCCAATGATCATATCTTCAGAATCTCCCACATTTCTTTACCTCCAACATTTAAAATTGTTTAGTCCTTTATTGGGTAAATAGCCCATGCAATAGAATGCCTTACATTTCCAAGATTTTTGCCCTGGTTAGGCCAATGTGAGGTCTTCAATAAGAATCTGGGAATTAGAAAGGACCACGACCCAACAGCAGCAGTGTTAAAAAAAAAAAAATGTTAATGTCTGTCTCACATGTCTGCTCAGTTACTCATTGATTTCAGCTCAAGCCCCTATTAGGAAGTGATTTTTTTTCCACAAAAAAAGGAGTATAAAGTGTTCCTCTCTCTACTGCAGCACAGGAGAGCCACAGACAGGAATTCACAGAAACAGCAGACCTGAGCACAGAGAAAGACAGGACCAGAATATTAAACAGATGAGGCAAAAGACAACTTTGGGCAAAACTGAAGGCTTTTCTACAAATAGTAAGATGGGCCCTGAAAAAAAGTAAATGGCATGGTATACTCACAAAACAGATCAGCAATAATCAGACATCTCTAAAGGGTATTGACGCAAATAAGATAGTCTCCTAGCAAGGATTAATATTTTTGTAATACCTGTAAGGTAATGACTTGGAAATTTATGTCAGACTCACAGAACATTTATCACTTGATATGTGTATTAATATTTAAGTTAGAGAATAAATGTGCAGTTTCTTATTCCAGTAAATATTTGGTTCCAGTGTTTCAAAAGATCATTTTGTTTACATTTTGGAATCAAAAGTTCAATAAACCCTCCTGGCGTTATGAAATCATGATAATGAGACTAGTTAGACCCTCCATGACTTGAGAGGCTCCTGTTGTTTTAAAAGACTGGTTTCTCTCAGGATAAACTACTTACTCATCACAGGAGAATTCCAAGGCCCTAATTCTCCTTTCACCTGCCTGTGACTTTCGCATTATTCATTAGGTTTAGATTATTTAAGAGTTAATAGCAGCATCAGGAATGAAACTGCATTGCTGAACAAGAAGATGAAAAATTATGGCTCTTTGTGAAATGAATTTTTCTTAAAACTAGGACTGTTTTAAAGATGGTAGGAGGTATATGAAGGATTTTGATACACTCAATAGTATTTATGTCTTTTCTCACACAGCAAAGAGTGCAATCTTAAAGAAATATAAATTGAAGTTAGGAATCCTGCGTTCAATCTCGGCTCTTCCACTCACGGAATGTGTGTCTTTGACAAATTTCCTACTCTGAGCATCAGTTACCTCATTAGCAAAATGGAGATAATAGATACCTAATAGAGAATGAGAGGATTCTACGACGTAACAGAAAGCTTTTTGTATGGTTACTGGCACATGCAAGGTGCTCAAAATATTAGCTGCTTTTTTTTCTCTCCAACATCAACATTTTATCTTTTCAACATTTTTAAAATTTAATTTCTTGACATACAAAATATTGTACATCAAGCTTGTCCAGCCCTTAGCCTTGTAAGCCACATGCGACTGCAGCCCAGGATGGCTTTAAATGCTGCCCAACACAAATTCATAAACTTTCTTAAGACATTATGAGGTTTTTTGTATTTTTTTTTTTAGCTCATCCGCTATTGTTAATGTTACTGTATTTGATGTGTGGTCCAAGACAATTCTTCTTCCAGTGTGGCCCAGGGAAGCCAAAAGAGTAGATGCCCCTGCTGTACATAATTAATGGATACAGCTTGATGAGTTTGGAGGTAAGTATACACCCATGAAACCATTACCACAACCAATGCCATAAATATATCCATCATTTGCAAAAGTTTCTTCCAGCTTTCTTGTTTATTATTATTACTTTTTGTGACAGAACAATTAACATAAGATCTACCCTCTTTGCAAGTGTTTAAATGTACAGTACAACATTAACTATAGGCACTATGTTTGTACAGTAAATACCTAGGACTTATTTACCTTGTATTTTAGAGCAGGCTAATTGTGAGGAAGATTGGCTACAAGTGGAGCAGAAACTGATCTACTACAAATGAAAATGCGCAGTTTTCTATATGATACCCAATAAAGTAGATGATATACTTAAGGATATATAAGCAGAAATGCTGAATGAAAAGGTAATAAAACAATTTTGTGCAAGATTACTATGAGTTTGTATGTGTTGACAAGGGAGGTGTGTTGATGTGCAAGAGAAAGTAATTGTTCTCTCTACCTATCTTTACCAGGGCATTGTGATGCCAAATAACATTCATGTCAATTGTCATAAGCAGCACAGAATTTTGAGGTAATTCTATGCCTGTTGCATCTGTCTTTCCCTCTATAGCAAGTGGCTTCTCCTTGAATATCCAGGGCAACAAAATATGAAATCTTGAATTAAAATCTTAGTCTTTCACTTGCAGAAATGTGCTTCTTACCTGCTGTGGTCATTTACTTTGAGCTAGTCTCAAATTCTTGCATAGGACACCACTTCAAATATTCAAGACCTTCATAGCTGATAGCAAGTAGGTAATACTTTGGAAATTTAAATTTCTGCATTCTGAATGGAACTTTATTTTTGTTAATGAACTTAGTTTTTTAAAGACTTTGGCTCACGCCTGTAATGCCAGCACTTTGGGAGGCCGAGGTGGGCGGATCACAAAGTCAGGAGATCAAGACCATCCTGGCTAGCACAGTGAAACCCCGTCTCTACTAAAAATACAAAAATTAGCTGGGTGTGGTGGCGGGCACCTGTGGTCCCAGCTGCTCAGGAGGCTGAGGCAGGAGAATGGAGTGAACTTGGGAATCGGAGCTTGCAGTGAGCTGAGATCGTGCCACTGCACTCCAGCCTGGGTGACAGAGTGAGACTCCGTCTCAAAAAAATAAAATAAAATAAAATAAAATAAAATAAAATAAAATGAAATGAAATGAAATGAAATGAAATGAAATAAAATAAAACAAAAAAAAGAAACAAAAATATTTTATGTTAAATCACCTGGGATGAATTTCTCGAATTCATTTAAAAATGTTCCTTCATTTTGACAAAGACTTGTTTTAATCTCTTCAAATGAATCTATTATTTGAGAATAAAATCTTGCTAGATTCTAAATCTCCCCACATGAGAAATAGAGTTTTATTTGATCTATTAGAAAATTAAAGTAAACTGAGAGTTTCTCCCTCAATATTGACTAGTTTACTAGGGATGACATTATTCATTTTTTCTCTTTCCAACAGTATTATTTAAGGGTAATATGCTAAGTATACTGGAAAAATCAGCATATCTAAGTATTTTTTTTTGTATTTATAGAAAAGAGTTGGAGGAAGTAAGTCTTCACTAGCAGCGTAAAAGAACTTCCATTTTTATCTCTGAAAAAAAAAAATTTGCGTATGTGTCAGATTTACTGCTTAATTGCAACTACCACAATATAAAAACTTACTCTGGATGCACAATTCAGCAAACAATTATTGAGTGTTGCTTCTGTATATAATAGAGTGCTACTAATCCTAAAGAATACAATGTTGACAAACTCAGCATCATCAACCTCCTCCTCAAGTCTATTACGGATAAAATTTACATAATAACAGCAATTATTAATTCATTTTTTTTTTTTTGCCAAGCCCTGTGTTCAGCACTTGGATTTTTAAATTTTCTTACAACAACCCCATGTATTAGATATATTATATCTATTTATTGGATAAAGAAACAAAACCTTTGGAAGATAAGATTCAGGCTACCATAGTTCTATCTGAGAAATAAAAAAAGTGGCATTGAAGAAAGGAGAAGAAATGGTAGATTTGCAAGATTCACGAGACCGAAGCACACTGCAGCCTTCTCTCAATTTTTGTTTTAATTACTGTCACTGCCACAATCCTATTCTCTCCAACGTGGTCACAATTTTATATCAGTTTTTAAATATTCATTATATTTAGTCAGTATCTGCACACACTCAATGTATGTATTTTAAGTTGTAACTACCTAGGAATCAATTTTATTTTCCTCTTCTTGAGGTTAAAATCAATAATCATTAACTGGAATCATTTCACTCAAAGCATCATTAAATTTATCAAATTAACTAATCAAATAGGTGGAACCAACATAACAAATAAGCAATTTCACAAACAGCCCTGTGCTAGCTGCAACCTGAATATTCATGTGAAAGTGTAAAACCAATGTGAGACCATAGCTCTCTGTTCAAATGGAAGCTAGGCACATTATATTCATAACATTATTTCATTCTTGTTATAACCAAGGGAGGACACTATTATGATCTCCATTTTATACATGGGGAAACTAAGGTTAGTGGAGGCACAATTCACTTATCAATGTTTGGCTTCAAAGCCTAATTTTTTACCTCATAGTATGTTGGAATCAAAATGAGACCAACATTGCCATTTTAACAGAAATGAAACAAAATGTTATATAATACATTTAGATGGCAGTGCTTCACAAACATTCAAGCCCATATGAGTCAACTGGGGATAATGTTAAAAGGCAGTTTCTGAGTCAGTAGATCTGGGTTGGAGCCTAGGACTTAACATTTCCCTCAAGCTCCCAGGTGATGCCAGTGTTTCTGGCCCATGGGCCACACTGTGGGTAAGAAGGTTTAATTTAGAGCCTTGAGATATAATGAAGGGTGGTCCTAGGTGGGAGGCATCAGCATGATGTGAGAGTTTGTTAGAAATTCAAACTCCCTGGCATCCTTTCAAACCCCTTGAATTAGAATATCTGGAAATAGGACCTGAAAATCTGTGTTTTAACAAGACTTCAAGATAATTTTTGTTCACACTACAGTTTGAGAAGCATTAATGTAAATTGCATATTGAATTTGTATCAGAAAAAAGAAATGATGTCTTCTCACTCCCTTCCTCTATACCAGATTGTTTCTCCCAGTGCTGGAATTGGCTGCCATCACGGTTTGTGAAATGTCAAGATTTTATTCATAGTCCTCTTTCTTTATACTTTATATGATATATTTGAGAAATTTTATCTATTCACAAGCTTTAACTAGCACCTACCTGCAGAAGAATACCAAAATTACATCTCTTGTTCTAACTTCTCTTAGTTTAAGTCCTAAATGTCTGATTCTCAAATACATATTTATCTGCACAAGTATGTCCCACTGACACATCAGACTCCTTATGTCTGAAAAAGCACTCATCAGTTTTACGTGATAAGTCTTCTCAATTATCTTTCTGTGTTTGATATTCCCATCCACTGCAATTATTTAAGACAAGGTCTTCAGAATATTGATTGAATAGTTCTTATGAATCACTTCTTACACCTAACTATTTACAAAGTTTTGTCTTTCCTATTTTTCTTTCTAGTATATTCCTACTTACTTACCTCATTTAATGGGGTGAGAGAGAAGACATTAAAGAGATGAGAGATAAGAGATTTTTATAACAATTCATGCTAAAAGTTGATATGGTTTTAATGTAATATCATAAAATTGGGCACACAAAAGAAAATCTGAGACAAAAAATCATGATAGAATGTAAAACTTACAAACTGAAACACAAATGATGGCCTAGGGTGTTAAGGTATTCTGAAATGATTCTATATTGGGAACTATGCTCTAATAAAGCTGACATTTAATCACATTGCTAATATAAACTTGGAATGTAAGATTCTTTAATTCATCCATTTATGATTCATTCATACATACACCAATTAATATAAGCATTTATTGAACATATATTTAAAGCATTGTGCTAGGCTCTCTAAATATAGATTATCTATCTCTCTATCTCTCTATCTATCTATCTATCTATCTATCTATCTATCTATCTATCTTGCCAGGGAGATAACACTGTTTATTAGCCAACTCAACAGATGTTTTTCAGTTGTTTTCTCCATTTTCATATCTACTCCAGAAGCTGGGAAGGCAAATGCCCACCTTCACAGCTTCCCTCACAGTTGGGTATAGTTCTGGCTACTGAGATTTAAACAAATATTTTCTGGAGATACCTAAAACAACATCTGCTTTCTTAATAAAAAGACACAGGTTCAACTGGCATGAACCTTTATCATCTTTTTCTACTCTCTTTCTGATCTTGAAAACAAATATGATATCTGTAGATACTATAGCCACTTTAGAACTAGGAAATAAATAGCTTTAGGATAAAGGCCAACATTTTGAGAGGATAAAATAGTAGAATATTTAGTGTCTGAATCCCTCTAGAAAGTGTTGATCTTCCTCCCATTTCATATTATCCAGGCAATAGCTTTTAACCTTTGCTTAATCTTCTAATTTTTAAATTTTTTAAAAGCATTATTCAGTAATTTAAAATTTACATAGAAATTGAAAAAATATAGGGAGCTCTTGTATAACTTTCACCCAGATTTCCTTGTTAACATTTCTCTTGTTTTGAAAAAGTTAAGAGTAAGTTTCAGTTATGATACCCCATTACTCCTTGTATTAGTTTTCTGTGGCTGCATTAACAAATTACAACAAACTTGGTGTATTTAAACAACAGAAATTTATTCTTTCATGGTTCTGGAGACCAGAAATCCAAAATTAGCCTCACTGGATTGAAATCAGGGTATTGGCAGGATGGGGGTCTCCTCCAGAGAGAGATCTGTTCCTTGCTTCTTTCAACTAATGTTGGTTATCAATGTTTCTTGGCTTGCCTCCATATTAACCCAATTTCTGCCTCCATCTTAACACTTTCTTTTCCTCTTCTGTCTGGATTAAGTATCGCCTTGCCTCTCTCTGATAAGAGCACTTGTGGTAGTATTTTAGGGCCCACCTGAACAATCCAAGATAATCTCCCAGTCTCAAAATCATTAACTTACTCACATCTGCAAAGAACCTTATTCGTCATATGACAACACTTAAACAGGTGTAGGTTTCAGAACCTGATACCTTTAGGGGCTATTATTCTTCCTACCATACCTCTTAATTCTACAATATATATTTCCTATGCACAAGAACATTTTGCCACATAGACACAATATATCCATCAAAATCAGGAAATAAGTATTGATGCAATATTATTTTCTGGTCCACAGACCCCACTTACATTTTCCTAATTATCCCAGATATACCCTTTTTAGGCCCACTAGCCAATCCATAATCAGTGGTTTTATTCATTGTCAAATCTCTTTAATACTTTTCAATCTGGAATAGTTCCTTATTTTTTCTTTGTCTTTAATGGTCCTAACATTTTTAAAAATTAGCCTAGTTACTGTGTAGAATGTGACTCCATTTGTAATGTTTGTTATATTTAAGAATTTGTATGTTTCTGGCAAGAATACCACAGAAGTGATGCTGAGCTCTTTGCAGTGTGTATATCAGAAGGTATACATGCTGATTTTGTTTCATTATTGATGATGGTAACATTTATTATTTAATTAATGGTGCCTGTGAGATTTCTACACTAGAAAGTTAATAAGTATGTTATCAATAAATAATCATTATGCATTGATGGAAAGTTACTTTGAGACTATGTGAATACTCCATTTTTCATCAGTCTTTTACACAACAGATTTGGCATTCATTGATGAATTCTGCCTGAATGAGTTTTCACTGATGATTATCAAGTGGTAATCTCCTAATTCCATAATTCTTTGTAGATTGATTAGTTGGCATGGAAGAATTCCCTTCCAATTCCAGCACCACTCCCAATTTATATATGTATCCATTTATATTAGTAAAATCTCATAAATTCTTATTTTACTCAAAGTATTATAACTGGTCATTATTATTGTTAAGAGTTAAAGAGGAAAGAAACACAAAAAGTGGCTCAACAGTCAAAGACAGGTTTATTTTGGAGAATAAACCTGAGAGGGGCTTCTGGGCGATTTCAGTCAGGAGTGCTCTCTCTTACAGGCTAAGAGTATGTATTGGTTTTAGGGTGAGGGAGCTTATTACAGACTTGAAATGTTTCTGTGTGGGGGAGAAGTTTTATGGCAGGGTTGGAATGTCTCTGGTTGGAAGGGAGGTTATCTCGGGGCTGGCATGTCTCTGGTCGGGGAGAGGTTTATATTACGGTTCGAACGTTTCTGGTCGGAGATGTCATTTATGGTTTATGGTCATGCTAACCTTAGCCATTAGGCTGATGCCCTTTGGATTTAGGCAATTTTTAATCAAGGGGAACTTTAAGATGGCAGTGCTTGTCCAAGATGGCAATGCTCCTGCCATGTCAATTATCACTTATTTCAATTTGTCCCAGACTTGACTAGTGGAAGCTCCTTCAACTGGTTCTTATGTCTTTTGCACATGCCCCTAGAGTACCTCTGGCACAACAGGATGTTACCAGATCATCTTGTATTTTCCCTGCCTCAGCCCTGGAGTCAGGTACTCTTCCCCAGGAAGCTCTGGCTCCTTAGTATCTAGAAACAAATAATAGGATACTATATGTGCTCCTCGTGACTGTGGTGTAATTACATGTATGTCCTCTAAAGAGAGTCAGATAAAAAAAAATCTATTTATGCACTATTTGCAGTGAAAAAGATATGGAATCAACCTAAATGCCCATTAACAATAAACTGGATTTTAAAAAAAGTTGTACATATGCACCATGGAATACTATGCAACCATAAAATATAAAATGA
Organism: Homo sapiens; assembly: GCF_000001405.40. Classification (NCBI taxonomy): domain Eukaryota; kingdom Metazoa; phylum Chordata; class Mammalia; order Primates; family Hominidae; genus Homo; species Homo sapiens. The sequence continues at coordinate 111,751 of NW_019805495.1, forward strand.
TCGTGTCCTTCACAGCAACATGGATGGACCTGGATGCCATTATCCTAAGTGGACTAACACAGGAATAGAAAACTAAATGCCACATGTTCTCACTTATAAGTGGGGGCTAAATATTAAGTACATATGGATGCAAAGAAGGGGACAACAGTCACTGGGGCCCACTTGAGAGTGGAGAGTGGGAGGAGGGTGAAGATCAAAAAACTGTTAGCTTCTATGCTCATCACCTGAGCGATGAAATAATCTGTACACCAAACTCCCACAGCACACAATTTACCTATATGTCAAACCCGCACATGTGCCGGTGAACCTAAAATAAAAGTTAAAAACAATTAAATTTAAAAAAGCAAATCTATGTATACAAATAATATGCACATATGTGTATATCTGTATGTTTTTATATTTAATTTTAACTGGAGCTCTATCATATTTGATCATTGTGCACACTGGTGCTTCTACTTGCATTCCAAAACTATCTCCTTTTCATATTCGTAAGTCCCATTTTCAACAATGAGAAATATGTTTTCCACTACTCTAAATGAATTTCCTAATTTGTTCAGTCCTGCCAGTGTTAACAAACTCCTCACCATGACAGCAGAAAGCAGTGTCCTTGACTCACATCCATATTGGGTGTATTGGCTAAAAGCTCACACAAAGGAAGGGGAGAAGTAGGGAAAGGAAGAAGGTAAAAGAGGGCAGGAAGAAGGGTGAAGAAAAGGACATTTAGAAAGCACAACCCCAAAATTTCATTTCCCTATATTAATATGCTGGCTCGTAGCTGGGCCCCTACATACCACTGCCCACTGCCCACTTCCCACATATGGTGTACACATATGGTGTACTGTCCACATATGGTGTACTGTCCACATATGGTGTACAACACCTGAAAGCTGAACTTTCAAAAAGGGAAAGAGAAAAAGGAAGAAAAATTGATCAGTTAGAACTGTTGATTCCAGATATGTGACACTCATCATACCAATGTGTTGGCCCAAAGTGGGTCCTGACATGCTGTTCTCTGTCCCCACTGGGCATGCCTACCCAAAGCTTGACTAATGTAGTAGTTTGATTACTTTCAGTTTAATGTTGCTGCTAGCTGTCCAAGATAAATCAGTGTTTCTTCTTCCTATGTACAGAGTAAGGCTCCATTTCAGCTTCCTTTTTAGCTACTTGAGGCCAAATGATGATGTTTTAACCACTGAAATGCAAGTAGAAGTGATATGTGCCATTTCCAGACAAAGACGTTTAAGAAGAAGCTATATCTCCTTCACTACCTCTTCACTCTTGCCTGATGGATGCAGATTTCAGTGAAAATCTAGGGGAAGCAGGGGCCATAGGATGGAAGAAGCAGAGCTTCGTAAGTTATTCTATGTGAAGCAGAGCCACCCACGCTGAACTATTAGGTAGGTGAGAAAAAAGCATCCATTTATCTTGGAGCCAGTATACCTCCTATGATCTATTTGTTACAGAAGCTTATTCAAGTTACACAAACACACACAACATCTTAAACTAATATTATCTTTATAATATTATACCTGTTGAATAGTTATGCATAGTATATTATATGTACACTGAATAAGGTCACTTAATACATTTTAGACATAGAAGAAAATCAAGAAACATTTCCCACAGGAGGTAATACCTACTTGAGTATTGGAAAAAATAAGTATTAATTAAAGTAGCAGGGAATAAGATTGTGCTCCCATTAGAGAGAATGTCACGTATAAAAGTACGGCAAATGAGGCAGTGGATATCGTGTTTAAGGGAAGTCAAGTTTCTTGATATGACTATAACTCAAAATGTATGAAGACAGTCATGGAAAGATAAAGCTATATATGTTGTGCTGAATTTCTGTGCACGAAATTTAGCATTTCAATGGAAAATGCAAAGTATATACATATTCTTTCTTTTTGACATCAGTTTATTTCTTCCCTGTTAATGATGATCTCATGTCTAAAGCAAAAGATGTAAAATAATCACACAGAATTCTTACTGCTATAAACATCTGAGCCTTGATAGAGCTATTAACATTAAGCCATGTTAATAAACATTAACACCTTTATATCACATATTTGATAAAGTTAAAATTAATTTCAGCTCATTTGCTATACTCTATTTTGTTAGTACCCAGGAGCATTTTCTTAATAGGAGTTCCAAGAGATCATTGATTGGTTTCAGTAAAGAAATCACCGACATAAAGATGTTCTTTTGATAGGGAAATTAGATTTGATGTATTCCACAAGAAGCAGTTAGATCTTAATTTAGAGGGTAATTTGGTACCTAAAACTACCTGCAGAAGGTTTAGTTTGGGGTATAAAAATATGTCTCCAAGCATTGGGTAGTGTTTCTCATATGCTTGGATACTTGCATCTTATTTTTCCAGCAAGTAAATATATATATATGTATATATGTATATATAATCAGTGACAGAAAAAATATAAAAAATTTTTAAAGCATAGTTGTTTTAGGTCATCTCCTAGAATGCACAACTGATGGGAACAAAAGTTAAATGACTGAAATGCATTCTTATATTATACACTTAGTTTTCTCCTCACCTGTTGTTCATTACTTCCATTCTGTATTCATTGCTATTGTTCCTGTTCAGGCCCTTATTTCCTCCTATCTATGCTAAATAATTGTCATACTTTCAGGATTGTCCTTTGCTTTCTACAATACACCTTCCACATTGATGCTGAAGTTTTCTTTTAAAAAATCTAATCTTATTGTTACTACATCTAAAAGCCCGATCCTGGCTATCCACAGCCAAGAGAAATAATTAAAGATTTCTTGTCATATCATCTAAACCCTTTGATTATCTGACTCTTACCTACTTATTTTTTAGTTTAGTTTTTTTATTTTTTAAGTATACAATTCAGTGGCTTTTTAGGGTATTTTCAAAGTTTGAAATTACTTATACTGTCTATTATGAGAACATTGTTATCACCCTAAAAACAATCTTGAACCCTTTGTGTTATTATTTTTTTTTTTTTAGAGACAGGGACTTACTCTGTCTCCCAGGCTGCAGTACAGTGGTACATTTATGGTTCACTGCAGCCCCAAACTCCTGGCCTCAAGCGATCCTCCTGAGTAGCTGGGACTGCAGGTGCAAGTCACCACACCCAGCTAAGTTTTTTATTTTTATTTTTGGTAGAGATGAAGTCTCTCTTTGTTGCCCAGGCTGGTCTCAAGCTTCCAGCTTCCAGTAATCCTCCTAAGTCGGCCTCCCAAACAGTTGGGATTACAAGCATGAACCACCATGCTCAGCCCTTGAACCCTTTAGCAGTTACTACCCCTAGTTCCTGGAAACCACTATTCTACTTTCTGTCTCTCTAGACTTGCCTATTCTGTACATTTCACATAAATGAAATTATACAATATATTCCTGCCTGTTTAAGCCTTCTCTCTTTTGTAACTCCATCTTTCATATTCTTCCAGCTGACCAGATCTAATTGTAACATACTGTATTAATTTTAATTAAGATACAGATTGACTACTGTATTGGACATTCAAAATTAACAATGATTTTAGTATGACATGTATTTATTTCTGTATAAGCCTGAATTGGGCTTTTTCACATAAAATTCTTCATTAAATTTTTAGCAGTCCTAAATCTTTCTATTCTGTTGCTCCACCATCAATAGACATCACATCCAAATTCGAATTCAAAGGAAAGGGAAGGCCTAACCATGACTCACCTGTAAATTTGATGGTCACTCTACTTTTGCTCTTAGGTGTAGTCTTCACTTTTTCCTTTTCTGTTGTATAATCCAATGGATGACCTTGGTAGGTTAGGTATTTCCTTCCTCTTGGTCTGTCTTTGGTGCGTCTTCCATAGAAGCTGCCTTTTCTCTGTGCCTCTAGCCTCAGACAAATGGCCCATACCCTCATCACTCAATTCTCAATATGCATCCATCAGCAGGGAGCTTTAGCTTTTGGACTCATTATATTATCTGTTGCTATGACTTGAATATGCCCTCTGAAATTCATGTTGAAATTTAATCCCTAAAGAGTGTCGATAGGTAGGACCTTTAAAAGATTATCAGAACACTAGGACTTTGCCCTCATGAATGGATTAATGCCATTATTGCAGGAGTAGTGTCCTTATAAAGAATTAGCTGAGCCCCTTTGTTGCTTGCTCTCTCATGCATGCACTCTTGCATTTCAGCTGTAGGATTACATGGCAAGAACGACTTGCTAGATGTAGGCCTGGTAGCTTCAGACTTCCCAGGTGCCAAAAGTATAAGAAATAAATTTCTGTTCATTATAATTTATCTATCCGTGGTTTTCTGTTACAGCAACATAAAATGGACTGATATATCCCTCTATCCCTATAAGTGGTAGGGGCGTCATTTTGTTTTTAATCTTTAATAGATAAAATACTCTTCAGAAGATTTTATATATATATATGTATATGTATATATATATATACACACACACATATATACAAACACATATATCTTCTTTAGTGAGTTTTGATAAATTGTGGCTATTAAGGAATTCATTATGCTTGGCTTCTTGGATTGTCTGTCACTGTGTAAAAATGTCTTCTATAAAATATCATCTGATTGAAACACTTAGATTGGTCTCAAATTTTATTAGATGTACTATGCCTGATGGGGTGTATGACATTGAATTCCACACGTACATTTTGCATTTCTCTTGGCCTAGCTGTATGGCCACAGCTAGCTTTGAAAGGTGGTGGAAAATACAGTCTTTATTCCGGAGGGCCATACACACAGCTAAAGATTATACTTCATGTTTATTCCATGAGAGGAGAAAACACTTGATATTAAAGGAAAACCAGAATTATCTGCCATAGTATGCACCTTGGTCAGCCAAAATCATTTGTGTACGCTTCCTTCCACATAGAGAACGTATTCATCTCATACCCAGGGGACAGACTTCCAAGTCTCATTCATGAAAGTCCATTGAAGTCCATGAACTTGAGGTTATGAGTACTCACCTTTATTAGGTCTATCTATGGTTCTTCATGATCCAGGGGCCTATAACATACCCAAAATGCAGCAGTAGAGTAGGAACAGTATAACCACACTAAAATGTCCATCTGACATGTCAAATTTGTGGATATAGAGTTGCTCACAATTTTCCCTCGTTATTTTTGTGTCTGTGAAGGTATGTAATGATGTCCCTTATTCAATTCCCGACATTGGTATTTATGTCTTTTCTCATTTTTGGTTGCCAGTATGACTAGAGTTTTTTTTTTTTTTCCAAAAACACAGCTTTTTTTTAAACTGCTTTTCTGTTTTTAATTTCATTGATTTATGCTCTTAGTTTTTCTATTTGCTTGCTTTGAGTTTGTCTCTTCATTCTCTAGTTTGTTAAGCTAGAACTTGAGTATTGATTTAAGGTCTTTATTCTTTCATAAGCATTTAATGCTATAGCGTTCTCTCTAAATATTTATTTAGCTGTGTCTTACAAATTTTGATGCCTTATTTCCATTTTCATTCAGTTCAATATTTTTACCTTGAGACTTCTTCTTTGACCTCTGGGTTACTTAGAAATGTGTTGCTTAATTTCCAAGTACTTAAAGGTTTCCCAGATATGTTTCTATTATTTATTTCTATTTAAATTATGTTATGGTCTAATACACTTTGTATGATTTTTACTTTTGTAAATTTAAAGTCTGTTGAATTTCTTGTTCTATGTTCTGTCATGATGAAAGTTTCATGTATGCTTGAGGGAACAATGCATATTCTGCTGTTCTTCAGTAAACTATTGCATAAAATGTCACTTAGATCAAGTAGTAGCTAGTATTTTTGAGGTCTTCTGTAAGCTTCCCGACTTTTTGTCTCCTTGTTCTGTGAATTACTGAGGAGTGTTGATGCCTCCAAATCCACTACAATTGTGTGTTTGTATATGTCTCCTTTATGTACCAACAGGTTTTATGTATTTACATATGTTGTTGGCTACATACCAAATTAAGATTTTAAAAATACCTTCTTAGAGAAATGACCTGATTGTGTAGCTTTTTACTCCTGATGATATACCTGGTTCTAAATTCTACCTTGTCTATTATTAATATGGCTTCTCCAGCTTTCCTTTGTTTGGTTTGTGTGTCTGTCAAATCTCTTTCCATCCTTTTACTTTTATCATACATAAGGCTATATATTTAATGTAGTACAATGGACTGAATGTTTTTGTCAACCCAAATTAATATGTTGAAATCCTAATCTCAATGTAATGGTATTTGGAGGTAGGGTTTTTAGAAGGAAATTAGGTCATGAGCATGGAGTTCATGACCTAATTCATGAATGGAATTAGTGCCCTTAGAAGAAAAGGCCAGAGACTGAGCTAGCCCTCTTTCCTCCATGTGAGGATAGAATGGGAAGTCTGCAACCTTGCAACAGGCCTCTCACCAGAAATCAACACACTGGCAACCTGATCTCATACTTCCAGCCTCCAGAACTGTGAAAAATAAATTTCTAAAGTTTATAAGCCACCCTGTCTAAGGTGTTTGTAAAAGCAGCCTGAACTGAATAAAACAAGTACGTTTCTTGTAGATACAATGTAACTATATGCCTTAGATTTTTATTCAGTCTAACAATTTTGTAATTGGTGTGTTTATAACATCTATAGAAAATGCTATTATTGATGTAGTTGGATTATAATATACAGATCTGCTAGGTATATTGTATTTGTTCAATGTTGTTTTATTGTTCTTTTTCTGACCACTTGAGTTAACTTGGCAACTTTTTAATGCAATTTTCACAGTTTTTCTTTCAGCACTTTAAAGACGTCATTCTATTATCTTTCAATTTGCACAGTTTCTGAGGAGAAGTCTTATATAATTCGATATAATTCTTTTTTAATATACAAAAGTAGGCCAAGTCTATTGCTGAGAGTGGATATAATTCCTATTCTTATTTCACTGTATATAATTTGACCTCATTCTTTGGCTATCTTGAAGAACTTCTCTCTGTCTTTGGTTCTCAGTAGCTTGAATATGATGTGCCAAGATATGGCACTTTTGATATGTATTGTGCTTTTTGTTCTCAGCTTCTTGGATACATGCTTTGTTGTCAGTCAATAATTTTGGAAAATTACTGTGTTTCACTTCTCCCTGCAGGTGTCTGTCTATTTGTTTATTGGGGGACAGTTGGTTGTCCTGTGACCACAGCACTTAGATGAGCTCAATAAAATTTGTTAACTTGCTGTTTGCCTGGCTTTTTAAAAATGTGCATGTTCTAATTCTCAAAACTACTGAGCAAAATATAGAATTTAAAATACTTTTAAGTCTGGAGAGTCTAGTCTTTAAAAAAAAAACCCTCTGTGTCCTGCCTATTCTATTGTTACTCTCAGAAAAATAAAATGAAAGCTATCTTTCGAGTCATCTAAAATAATATGTTTGGATGGGAAGATAACATCCTTAATTCGATTTTTGGTATTGTGGTGGCTCCAATGTCTCACTAACAATTTTTAATTAAAAACACTTGGTGCCATATTCTCTTCTCCAGGTAAAGTACTTTTTCAGGGCTGCCTAATATTATTTTTCAACCTAAGTTACAAAATCAATTCACTTTTTGAATATATAAGGCCCCAAATAATGAAATTTTCAGTCAACCTAGATTACAAATTGCACATAAAGAGTGTGTCCCTGCACTGATCTGTAGAGTCTCCAATCTGTGTAAACTAAATCTCCACCCTAGTGTCCTTCATCTCTTGTGGGCCTTTACTAAAACATAAAATAAGAATAAGAATATTTCTAAACATTTCCTCTTGAGCATAGACTCTCACAGGAAGGAGTTTTCTTTCCAAGTATTAGGACAAGTTTTACCAAATATTGGCCATAATGTACTGAGAGTTTTCAGCTTTCCAAGATGTGATATCTGTATCTTCACAGCCTCTCTTACTGTCTCAAAGAGAATGCCACATATTTTATATTTGTTTAGTGAAACAGTCCATTGTATAGAATAAAGGGTCACATACCATAAAACATCCAAATTAAGAAATTACAAGTGGTTTAAACAAGGTAAAAAAAGTAAAAGCCAAAGCAAGAAGAGGTTGACCGGCACAATGTCATGGGGTCTAGAATTTTTCCATCCTATAATTCTGCCACCTCTACCAGGTTGCTTTATCTGCATGGTCCAACATGGCTAAATAGCATAACTGTATTCCAGCCAGAAGGAAGATAAAAGGGATAGCAAGTTTATTACTTCTTCTCCTTTTGAAACATAACACGGATGTTGCAAACACTACTTCTGCTCACATTCAGTGATCGAAACTAACATAAATGGCAATACCTAACTAACTGTATGGTTAGTTAGTGAGGCTGAAAAAGTAAATTTGATTCTGGGCAACTATTTTGCCTAGATGTTAATTAGTAATTTTATTACTATTAGAAAGGCATAATAAATATTGGGGAATGACCAACAGTATGCCACATATATCCTGTTATTTAATGTAAATTTGCATCTGCTTTACCATTTCCCATTGTCTGAAATGTTTCCTTTGTTTTCCAACGTGTAAACCTCTCTGTTTCTTTTAAGCCTGCATTTGTATATCACCTCCTTTGGTAAGTTTTTGTTTGTTGGTTGGTTTTTTGTTTGTTTTGAGACAGAGCCTTGTTCTGTCACCAGGCTGGAGTGTGCAGTGGCATGATCTCAGCTCACTGCAACCTCCACCTCCTGGGTTCAAACCATTCTCCTGCCTCAGCCTCCTGAGTAGCTGGGACTACAGGCGTGTGCCGCCATGCCTGGCTAATTTGTGTATTTTTAGTAGAGACGAGGTTTCACCATGTTGGCCAGGATGGTGTCTATCTCTTGACCTCATGATCTGCCAGCCTTGGCCTCCCAAAGTGCTGGGATTTCAGGCGTGAGCTACCGTGCCAGGATGGTAAGTGTTTATTGAACTGCTTCTCTCCATACAACAAAGATATTTTCTCCTTTGCCTCACATTATTTTTTTCTAGATTATTTGAATCAGACTGTAAGATACTGTCGGTTAGAGTATGTCTTACTCATTTTAGTGTTCCTTGTATCTAATAAGGGTTTGCTACAAAGAAGATACTTAATAATGGTAATAAATGGATATATTTTTAATAAATAGTTGAATAGGTGATAGAATTAATGGATAGATGTCAGGAATTATTAAATTAATAAATGAATGAATCAGTGACTAAATGAATAAATCAACAGATTGGTAATGGTTTCAATATACAGATATGTTAGGGAATAAATGGATGAGTTAGAAAATAATTGGATGAGTAGATATATGAAGGAATTATTTAGTGTATGAGTGAATGGCTAGTTGAACGCATGAAGAGAGTGGTGGAATGGATGACAAGGTAAGTGAACGGAAGAATTGAAGAATGGATACGTGAATATAAGAACAAATGAGTGTGTGGATGGAAGAGTGGATATTTGGAGGAAAGGTGGGTGGATGGCTAAATTATTAAACTGATGGATAAACTGATGCATAAGTGTATTGGTGAGTGCATGGTGAATGGATCCTACATACATATGTAACTGAAATGGCACTTCTGCCATTTTGCACTGATTTGAGAGTTAGAACAGCCTGGACTTTTATCATATCTCTGCCACTGACTTTCTGATTTTTATGCATTACTTATGCATCTCAGTTTATCTATGCATCTCAGTTTCTTCGATTCTAAAATCATATTATAATAAATGCCTTGCAAATTTTTGTGGGGATAAAATAAGACATTATATAACGTGACTGGCACAAAGTATGTGCTCCATAAACAGTAACTGCTATTACAGTCATCATTACCATCATCGAATTCTCAGCCAGCTCTAATTTCCTACACAGCATTTCACTGATCAGCGGGTGTACATGGAAATATATATGTAATCTTGGTTCTGCCTTCTAGGATCTCCTAGTAACTCTGGGTAGACAAGCCACATGCATAAAAGGATTATCACCATTAAAATGAAGGAAATGCTCAATGCCAGGTGACAAATTTATGATAAAATTGAAAAAGAAAAGGATCATGAATAGTCAAGTAAGTCTTGGAATGTTATGTTGAAGTTTGGGAAGTAAAGAAAGGAAGAATTTAATTAGCAGAGAGAAGGTGATAATATCTTGCCCATACTTCTCATTAAATTGCAAATTATCTGAAGGATCTCAAAGGAAAAATGAATAAGTAGCAAGAGTTCCATTTATCTGTGAGACAAATGAGGTCTCAAAACATTTGAATGAATGACCCAAGGACAGACAGTGACTTTGACCCTGGCACAGTTGCAAATGGCAGCCTCAATTCTTGGCTGCTGTGTCTCTTTGGGTTTGCCAGTGTTTTTAAAACAAGCAAAAAAAAAAATGCTGTAACATTTTTACTGAGGACAACTTGGCTGAGTTATTTTGACAAAACACAAATCACTGGGAACAGCTGAGCTGCTTGTACATTGCACCCATTTGTTTACCCACCTGTCTAGATGCTAAGAACAATATTCTAAAACAGTGATTTCATATATGGTGCCTACTTCTGGTGTTCTCCTTTTACCCCACCTGGCTCCAGTTAAACCTCCTTGATTTATTTAGGCTGTTCTTGAAGAATTTCTCACCTAGAGATTCACAGGACCCCCAGCAACTATAAATTAAAGAGCCAGTGATATAATCTAGCAGTTATTTTAGACCCCAAAGTCGAACACCATTGGATTGAAATCCAGACTCTACCAGTTATTAGCTATGTGTTCTTCAGTATACATGCTTCTTTCTGAACTTGTTTTCTTATCAATATCATGGGAATGCTAATATCTGTTAAAAACTGCTTCATCTAGAATATTTTTATATATAATGTAATCAGAAATAATGGTTGACTTCACCTGAATTCATTTTTGGCTTACTGCTTATGCTAAGGAAAATATCTTACAGTCATTTGGTTTCAGATCTGTGATGTCATTTTAGTGGTCTCCCTTACTTCCATTTCTGTCAACTGCAACTAACTCTACTAGGTCACCAGCAGTGATGGGGAATCTAGGATAAATCAGCTCAAACATGTTCATCTCACACATTTTTCCAAGTTTCCTAAAATTTCTGGGTATTGTAAGCTTCCCAACTCATCTTCCTGCTTCCACACTTGCCCTACTACTATCTATTCTTAAGACTATCTAATGTGATTCTTTTAAATTAGATATTAGTTCTGTTGCACCAAGCATTAACCAGCACTCACTCAACTTTAGTTAGCAATGGATGTTCCTTCCTAGGAAATATTTGTCTTTGCCCAAAGGTGGTTTAGGAAGTCAATCTGAAGAATTTCACAAAGCCCTTTTAATATTTAGCAATATCCTTTATGTGCCTACTTCATAGTTTTTTTTTTTTTTGTGAGGATGACACAAGCTTATATAAAGTACTTAGAATAGAGCCTGACACACAGTAATTGTAATATGTGTTAATTATTGGATAATGTCTCTGTTCTTTTTACAGCCTTCCAGTCATTCCCAAATTCATTCATTCTAAATATAAATCGACCTACATAATCAGTTCCCTGCTACTTCTCTGACTGCATGCCTTTCACTTGCCCCATTCATCCATCTTACTCTGGCCCGATGGTCTCCTTGCTCTTTCTCAAACATTCTAAGCACAAGTCTGCCTCAGATCCTTTCCAAGTGCAGTTTCCTCCACTGAGAACATGCTTTACCTGGAGTCTGCATGGCTTGCTTCCTCCCTTCATCCAGATGTCTACTCAAATGTCATCTTATCAGCGATGACTTTGCTAAACACCATATGTTAAACTGAGTTTAAAATGTTCTATGGAAAACAAGAAAAGAAAATCTTTCCAAAGTCTAGCTGTATATATACTTTCTTCTGTCAAGAAGACTTTGTGTGCCTTCATGATTTATTCCATCTCATCTTATCTAAACATAGATAGGAGTGTGATTTTTAGCAATACACTGACCTCTTATCACATTTTCCTCTTCCTGGCTAGGCAGTGGTTCTAACCCGGAGCTCTGTGTCTCTGGCTGACTCAACTAAGGTCAATATCTGAACATTCTCTCAAATAAGAGGTGAAACTGTTACGTGGAGCAGGGAAGGAAGGGTATTAGTAGTCTCTTATTTGTTCTTAAAATAGAGTATCTCAAAACTGCTTTAAAAAGAGCTATAACTGTCAGATGATCAGTATATTTTTATCAATTTATACCTGTAGAACTATGTTTACTTTAGAATTTGATAGTTTAAAATCTAAAATGCAGATAAAAATAAAGTTATTTAGAAACATTACATATATTAATGTATATAAAATTAATTATAATATGTTTATATTTTATGTTCAGCATCTGAACATTAAAAGTGACAAAATCTGGATTATTAGTTAAAATTTGCATAATATTAATTTCTTAGACATATCTGTCTCTGATGGAGTCACTGGTATTTTTATGAATATATTTATTTCAACATGACATCACAGTTTTTATTTTTTCTATAAATTTGCTACAAACATCTTAAAATTTGTATTTTCAGTTACTAAAATTTAAATTGTTTACACTTCCAATTGACATTTTCCTGCAGAGCAGAAATTACTAATATGTGATCCAAAGACACTTGGACTTTCAAAATGCTTTCACAGGTCTTGTGAGGTCAAAACTATTTTTATATAGTATTAGAATGCCATATATCCCTATTTCTCATTCTCTTATGAATATATGATAGAATTTTCTGTAGCCTTTCTGACACATGGTATCACAGCATTTTAAATGCGATAGATACAAAAATCCAACTATCTTCTATGAAGTCTGACACTTTCCAAACTTTTTAAAAACAAAGTAAGAAAAAATGCCACCCTTCAAACGAAAAATGCCACCCTTCACACTAAAAATATTTCTATATTTTCTATGGAAATATAAAATTTTCAATAGAAATATTTGTGTTAACATGTAATAGGTTATTTAAGATCAATGAATATTTAAATTTGTGTTTTAGTTTTTAATATAGTAAATACCAGTGGATATTACCCACATAAACAAAAGTCATTGGGAGCATTCAATACTTCTTAGCAGTGCAAAGGTGTTATGAAACTTAGAAAGTTTGAGAATTGCTATTGTAAACTATAATGGTTTATCTTAAAATACCTTCACTACAAATACTGATTTATCTAATAGGTATCAGAACAAATTATGCTAAATGAAAGATGTCTTTAGTTATATTTTATATTGAAATGTGTGAATATTTAAGCCTAAGCCTTAGAGGAACAATCATTTTTATTCTCTTTAGAATATTTTCTTTGGCAGATATTTTATAAGACAAAATTTATTGAACAAGTTGTTTTTGTAATTCTTTTAATTTTTTTATGTTTCAAAAAATTGATTTTGTGTAATATTTATATTATATTTTCAGGGTATTTAAAAGCAGAAAATGATAATTATGATTTATTTATCTGAGAGGTGAACAGGGTACTATATTATGTGCAGTAAAAAGAAAAATTCATTTACATTATATATATATAATATTTTTGAAAGTGATAAACATTTATTCTGTGGTTTTCACAGCATCAGGAAGGGAGGGGGAAAACTGTAGAGGACCTGTGTGGGTGCTGTAGGGACTCCTGAAGGCTTCTTTCTGGTGGCTGGAGGGCATAGGTTGGGGAAGTAGTTGAGTTAAAGTGTTGTCCTGGAAGTTAATTATTTTGATAATTTTAGATGTTGAAAAATTCTATACCTTGTCAACTTCAATCTTTGGTAGTATAAAAAATATAAATTTCTAAAATTAAAAATAGTTTTTAAAAAGATTCTACAATTTGAGATAGGATAAAACACAATTATAGAATTTAAAAATTAGAACACTATGCACAGTTTGAGATTTCTAATCTTCCCTTTCTGCTTTTGTGGGATAAATTTGGATATTTTTTTGTAAACTCTATTTAAATTTTAAAATGCATGAAATATTAATGAAGATTATTTAAAGTAAAAATAAAAAATATTGTCTCCATGGGGGAAGATCATTTTAAAGCATGAACTAATCCTGCAATATTCTTCAATCTAATAGAGAGAAATTATCTTCATTCTTTCTGATATGATCCCGTTAGTTTTCCAGCAATAAATGAAATATATTTATATGTCCATTTTCGTTACAGCAAGTTGGTGAAAAAACAGGAACATACTTTCTTCTGTGATTTTATAGTGATGTCTCAATCTCCATTACCAATCATTACACCATTTTAAGACATCCTCATTTTTTTTCTTATCTTCATCCCTGTTGTTTACAACTAAGTTCAAGATCTTGTCATCTATGTCCTGGAACTGTTGAGATAAACTTATAGCTTGTTTTCTCATTTAATGCTTCAGCACTCTAAAGTGTATTTCATCCCACACTGCTTTTGGTAAAATGGAAATACATCCACAGCCCTCCTCCTCTGAATGTTTATGAGATCTCTTTGTCATGTTCTTTAGTCTCTTCTCCATCCGCCTTCTGCTTTAGCCATACTGTGCTGCTTACAATTCTCTTGAATATATTCTTCTGAGGATTTGTTTTTAATCGGAAACATCCATTCCTTTCTTAGTGATGTCACCTGGAAAATTCCTACTCATCTTTCAAGTCTTACTTTCAACAATCCTCCTCTGAGAAGGCTTCTCCAACTTACTTTGACAGAATGAGGTCCCATCCTTTCACATTTGCATAGTATATTCTATTTTCCTTCTTCATAGCACTTTTCACCTTGAACTGCAATTATTCTTACTGATAATTACTGAGCATTTATTAAATTCCAAACAATGGACTAAAATACTTTATGTATTTGCATACATTAGCTTCCTAAGTTCTCACAATAACCCAATAAGGTATGTAATTTTAGTGTCTCCATTTTACAGATGAAGAAATAGGCTCAGATTAGTTGATCAAGCTGAGAACAAAATAGAAGTTATTGTACCGACGCTTTTCTTTTTTTCTTTTTCTTTTTTTTTTTTTCTTTTGACGGAGTCTCGTTCTTTCGCCCAGGCCGGACTGCAGTGGCGCTAGCTCGGCTCACTGCAAGCTCCGCCTCCCGGGTTCACGCCTTTCTCCTGCCTCAGCTTCTCGAGGAGCTGGGACTACAGGAGCCCGCCACCTCCCCCGGCTAATTTTTTTGTATTTTTAGTAGAGACGGGGTTTCACCGTGTTAGCCAGGATGGTCTCCATCTCCTGACCTCGTGATCCGCCCGCCTCGGCCGCCCAAAGTGCTGGGTTAACAGACGTGAGCCACCGTGCCCGCTCAGTTTTTCTTTTTAATATACTACATACTGTGCCTTTCCTAGGAGACTATGAATTCTTGAGAATAGGAACAATGTAATATTTATATTCAATCTCTAGCCTAGCAGAATGCCTAGCGTATGATGTATGCTTAATAAATATTTCTTGAATAAGTGAATAAAATACTTGCAACAAAATAATTCACTTAATTAGAATCAGTGTACCATGATAAATATCGTATATCACTAAGATTTTAATGTTATTCTCTGGATGCTCTACTTAGGAATTTTGTTAAGGGATTTGCATTCTGAACACTTTAGCTTTTACGTGCAAAGAGTGTGAAGGCAAAGTGTTAGGTAATTATTTATTCTGACAAAATTTTCAAGCTGAGGGGATTCTGTGCCAATCTGCTACTCTAAGCTTTGCACTTTCAGATTCTCACTTGTGAGTAGTATCAGGAATGCCTGAATAGAGGTTTGAGTTTCTGATGCTGTTTTGTGAAATTGATCTGACGTTAGCAAGACAAAATACAAATGCTGTTTCACAACTGGATTTTTAAAAAAATAATTTGTAACCAGCATTATTTAAGAACCTATCTTATAGGAACTTTAAAGAGATTCAAATGGTCTTCAACTCATGGTACATTCAGACTACTAACTAATAACAAGACTTTCAGATAAATATCTATTGTGCAAAGTATGAGATCAAGGTCAGAATTGCTAAGAAAGTACTGAACAAGGAGTGATGAATTCTGATGAGAGAAAAGACTTTCTGTAGTGGGAGGCATTTGATCTAGATGCTGAAAAATGTTAAGGTTTAGTAGGTGGAGAAGTGGGAAGAGCACTCTGAATGAAAAGAACTCCACACACAATGGAAAAGAAGCAAGAAAGTTCAGGATACATTTGGGACAAGGACAGGAACAAGGTATGATCAGAGTGTAGATGAAATATGAAGAAATTAGATAGAAAAAAAAGCATTTTAAGCTAACGAAGAAGTTGAGAGTGGAGAAATAAATATGGCAAATTATTTTCTGTATGCTGTGGAAATGCAGATTTTTTGTTAATTTTATAATTACATGAGTTTTATTACATGTGCCTTCATCAAGAGTTAACATGCATGGTTTACAAAATTTACCAATTTTCAAGAGGTTATAGTAAGGCATACATAATCATCATTAACTGTTACCATTGAACCTGAGTAATCACCATAAGATCTTTTAGTGTCATTGTTTATACACATCAGTGATTAATGTATGACTCTAAAACATAAGCTGAACTGTTTGAAATATTTTATGTAGCAGATTGAAAAGAATTGTCCCCGCTCTTTTTACTCTTGAAGAATGATAATAGTAAACTCCTTCTGGTTCTGTAACTGAACAAGTTACTCATCTTATCTTTGCTTTTGATTGTGTGTGTATACAAACAATACAAAATTACTTGCTTGTTGGCTTTGTATTACCACTATTAATGCCAATGGGGGAAAAAAAACACGTGAAAGTGTTGGACAGGCCATAAATCATTATAGAAATTGTCCATATCATTTTTCAGGAACTTAGTAAATGGGAATGTATCCCCATGTATTTTATTATTTTGGAAAGATAAATAGATCTAAAAGTCCTTTACATTCAGTCTTTTAAATTTTAATCCTTAGCCCTTGCCATTGAAGCCTTTCTACATTCACCCATCCGAGCACCTGTTCCAGTGTACCATACATACCACCAGGCTTTAAGGTTAGAACAATTACAGCAAGCAGACTAAGCTTCCCAACAATGGTAACAAAATCAGCCAGGTGATTACAGGACAGAACACAGGGGGAATGACTAGAGCTGTGCTGTCCACTACAGTGGCTACTAGCCACATGTGGTTTCTTAAATTAAAATTAAAATTAAATAAATTAAAAATTCAGTTTCTCTGTTGCACTAGCCACATTTCAAGTACTCAATAGCCACTGGTATCAGACAGCTTAGATTTATAGACCATTTATATCACTGCAGAAAGTTCTATTGAGCAGTGCTGGGCTCTCACGTTAGACCTGATTATATTACTAAACTGTCAAATAAATGTTTATCCTTTATTTACTCTCTCTGGTCTTGTTTTTCTTTATACAACATGTGATAAGAATAATAACACTCACTTTACTTACCTTAGGGAGCACACAAATGTTAAGCAAAAACACTTTTTAGCATTCTCTCTAGAAGAACACTACAAAATGTCAGGTATCTCTGTATTATTTTTGGAGGGCTCATGAGGTCAATGACAAGCTTTTGAATTCTTAACTAATTTTCTTTAAGATATGCAGCATTTCCATCTTAGGTGGAACAGTCTTGATACTGTTGATGTAGAAGGCACCACATGACTGGTATTGTGCTTTCCCAACTCTTCCACTGGGAAGAAACAGCATTTTAGCTAACCTATGGACTTAACATTGAATGAAACTGCTAAGAAATGACCAGAATATGAACCTAATTTTAGTGAAAGGAGAACAGCAGGTTGATAACCACTCTTTGAACAGTAATTTTATCTACACCATTTATGAACCAAAAGACTGACATGAAATATAACGTGTTAACATAAAACATAATATGTTCTTTCAGTGGTGTTTACAGAAGCTTATTCTCCATGCAATGGTCAGAAGACATGCACGTTTAGGTAACATACTTTTCTTAAAACCTTGTAAGACAAGATGCTACATTACAAAAATCCTATGAAAATGACTGCTTGAAATATCTTTAGCAGCATAAAGCACTCAATTGTATGATTCTTTCACAATTTTTCTTTCTCCATTAAATGACATTTTGATTTTTTTTCACCATAAATTACGTGATTCAGCAGCATGGATATTAGGATTAAGTATCCAACATAGGCAATGTTGATATCGTGGATACCAAGGAGATGTGCTTTTCTGATAGCGACTGGCCACAGCGCCCCATGGAGCACTGTGGTAGTGCCTATGGCAAGGACAGAGGAAACAAATGAAGGTGGAGGCTCATGTGGTTTTATAGTTTAGAAGAGGTCAGCATATGTGACTTTAACGGGCCATCAGAGTGTATATATTTGGCTTACATTTCTGCTTCATGTACCTTCTTTTGCTTCTTTGAAGATACAGTCTTAAGAAAGAAAAAAAAATGATAAAGTAGGCTGTTGCAATTTAAAGAAACAAATTAGTCATTCTCCAGGTCTTATTCTGAGAGCTTATTATCTGCCCAATTCTATGGTATGGGATTTTAAGCTACTGGCATAGATGTGTGTGTATGCATATAAGTGTGTGTAGATGTGTATGCACTACAATGAATGCATGAATTTTTAAAAAGTGGAATGTTGATATTTGTGTCTTGATCCTTTCTCTTTCCTCATAACCCTCAATCCATAAACAATAAACACGAGTCTTGCAAATTGCAAGGTACTGTAATAGGCTGCAATAAATTTGATCTAGAACATCAGGGTTTTTATTTCACTATCTTTGCAGAAGGATAAATGAAGGTAATTCAGAAACATGATTGCTTTCTTCACTCTCTATTCATTTTATTCATTGCATTAAAGATAGTTTAACATTATAGAAAGTTTAGAAAAGAGAGGGGAAAATCCTCCATTATCCAAACACTCAAATATAATAACTATTACATTTTTATTTTTCCTACTGTCTTCTCTATATTCCTTTTAGAAGATATTTTACAGATAAAAACAATTACGGGATAATGGATGGAAATAGACAACAGTTCCTGTTTTATTTTCTCTTTTTTTCTCATTTAAGAAATGGAAATGATTGCCCAAGGCTGAAAATAAATTGTTCTGATTTATTTTTAAAATGGATACCCATTGTTTGATTTCCTCTATACATACATATTGAGAGAAAAATAAAAATACTGACATTACCAAAAACCCTGTGACTTTCCACATTAGCATTCCTGGGGATTTTTAAAAAAAAAGCTCTCTTTCTGCGTTCACCTTTTTAACTTACTATGGAATTTACAAGAGGTAGTAGGCGGTACTGAGAAGTTAATGGTAGAAATTTTTCTTTACGTTTTGGGATATGAATTTTGCATCAGAACATTCAACCAATATTCATTGAATGCATACCAATACCATTTACTCTACAATTTACCAGCAATGAGACAGTGGAAGAGGGAGAAAAACCCCACTCTTGTGCAGCCTTCAGGCTAGTGTATGAGACATACCAATGAACAGGGATTACAATCTATCCAATGCTACTGAGGGACAGTTGGAAGTTCAGAGAGCTATATGGGCACATTAGAGAGTCCAGGAAGTCATAAAAACGTTTCAGTGAGGAAACCTGAAAGATGTATAGGAGATTTTCAGAAAAGTGGCAGAGACTGGGTATCCCAGGAAATGGGGACAGGGTGTGAGTTAGCTTAAAGAAAAAGCAGAGAACATGGTGCATTATAGCGATGTGTGAGTGTGTGTGTTTGTGTGTATGTGCACATGATGGAAGAGAGCGAGACTTTGCTGAGAGCTGTCACCTGAGAAGTTGATTGGGACATGAGTTATATGGAGAAGAGTGGCAGGAACAGAACTGCATTTCAGAAAGATAATTCTGCCTGAAGTGTCTTCTTTGTATCATAAATGAAACAGTGACCAGAACAGTCAATATGGAGCAGTCAAAAGCAAATAGACTGAATGAAACCCATGCTTGAGAAGTGAAGTAATGCATAGTTTCTTTAATAAGGTATAAATACACACTGCACACATACATACACATGCAAACAGACAACCAGGCCAGAATCAGTAACTAGTAACTATGATGACATTTATTAGGCACTTAATATGTGCCAACAATTGTACTTAAAATATCTTTAACCTCAGAACATCCTTGCACTATAGACGTTGTTGTTTACAATTTATAGAAAGAAAACTGAGACTCAGAGGGGATAAGCAAGTTGCTACTGTTTCTTCTCTGTTAAATAGACAGTATTTCTCTGACCAAAAACTCACACTGTGTCTACCATACTATGCTCTTTCTCTATTGAACTGTCAACCCAAGGGAATAATATGAGCCATTGTTGAGACTGATAAATTGGAAAAGCAAACACAGGACACATCAGCTCTTATCGTCCAACACAAAACAGAGAGTTAAGCAGGCTCAATGAAAGACAGGCCATATAACCTGCACACTTGCAAGGAGGCCCAGAGCTTCCCGGTATGCGAAAGTTCTTCCCCTTTAACTTCTCATATCTCCCAAAATCTAATTTGTCAATATTCCATTTAACCCTAGAATAATTTTCTTTTACTTCAACCTTAGTTCTTACCTCATAGTTCTTCAGTAAAACATTGTAAAAGCAGAGACTGTTCTGGAAATGGAATTGATTCTGAATATGTTAACCACTCTCTTTCAGGTTTGAATTCAGCACAGTTTTTCCTGCATAGCAGAAATGAAATACATAGACCTCTATTCATTGCTTTAAAAACTAATGCATATTCTCTCTGTCACACACACGCGCGCACACACACACACACTAATCTGCCATTTGAGAAAAAGAAATTGTCAAGTAAAAATTCTTAGACTGATTTTTCTCTGCTAAATAAATTCATTTTCTGATTTCTAGTCTAGTTTTTCCCAACACTGATGGTCTCATAAAACTGGAGTATGATTGCATTTGATTTATATATTTATACATTTACAATTTCTCTCACAAGTAGTATCTCCCTTGATCCTAATGACAAACCTGTGAATTAGAATCACACTGGAATTTGGGTCAGACATGTGAGGCAAAAATTCTGTTCAATGATAACAATAAAACTGGTTTTGCTACAAAATAGCTTTTTGGGTAGCTACTCTCACAGCAAATAATGACAGAAGTAGAGCATTTTCTTGCAATAAGGAGAGGATAATATTTTGGAATAGCAGGGAGGACTCCCTGACAGTTTTTGAAGTATTTTTTCTAATTTCTTAGTCTTGCACTTCTTTTTGCCATTCTAATAATGAATTGTCACATGTCAAAGGATCTCATTTTATAAAAACTTGTATTATTTTCAATAGTTTGCACATTATTTTCTAGTTCTTTTTTTTTATTCTTATCATTAACATTTTAGTGCAAAAATTTAAGAAGGTATTTCTGAGTGAAAACAAAAACTAAAATTTTCCCAGAGAATACCATTGGTATTGTCTTGCTCTTTTTGACTTATTTCCCTCTCTGTGCATATGACACACACACACACACACACACACACACACACACACACACACACTCTTATCTCACAAATATCTCTTAATAGGTTCTGTTTAGAAATATTTTCATTTACCTATTTTTTTTTCAATCAACAGTACAGCATAGAACATATTCCTGGTATTTTTCTAAACACAGATACAAAATGTAAATAATAAAGAGTAGTTGCCCTTAATGGTGTCTAATAGATAACAAGGAAATTCGGCTGGGCGTGGTGGCTCACGCCTGTAATCCCAGCACTTTGGGAGGCTGAGGCAGGCGGATCACGAGGTCAGGAGATCGAGACCATCCTGGCTAACACGGTGAAACCCCACCTCTACTAAAATACAAAAAATATATATATATATATTAGCCAGGCTTGGTGGCACGTGCCTGTAGTCCCAGCTACTCGGGAGGTTGAGGCAGGAGAATCACTTGAGCCCGGGAGCCAGAGGTTGCAGTGAGCTGAGACTGCGCCACTGCACTCCAGCCTGGGCAACAGAGCAAGACCCCATCTGAAAAAATAAAAGTATTACATATTGATTACATTGATGTATATATCATTTTTGGCTCCTAAAATACTGTTTCTAATGATTATATTCTTATTGTATAGTATGGGTATTGAATAAAGTTTTTGCTATTTAAAAATATTGCAATGAGTATCTTTGTAGATAACAGTTTTCATGCATTCATAATAATGTTAAAAATAATATATTTCAAATATTTCCTTACGTTTTGCCTTAACTTTCTTTAACAGTCTATGCTTTATTATTTTTACATTTGGTATATTTTAACAACTAAACTCTTACTTCATAAATTGCCCATGGAACACTGCCTCAGTCTCAATCATTAATCTGGTCAATTACTTGAAGTGTTTCTTCAACCAGGATAATATTTCATGGTTGTATGTTTTATGGTAAAATGTGCTCACTTAACAAATATTTATTTAGTATACCTACTGTATTTCAAAACGACACACAATGGGTATGTAATGGGAATCAAGTAGAACAACGTATTGCCTTCATAAGAATTACAGTAATGAAAGAGACATACTGAACAGGCAAGTGCAGTATAGGGTGAGGATTCTATTAATGGAAGATATCCAGAGCTGTGGGAGCACAAAAGTAGAAGAGCACAACAATAAAGGTGAAACAATTGGAAGAATGTGAGCTCATGGTGAAACAAAGTTGGCTCCCTCTGGACAACACCTGGACTAAAATCAGGGTTTGATGCCTTAGGCAGTGTACTTTTATTATATAATCCTACTCTTAGTGGTTAGAAACTGCTTGTTCATCTAGGAGAGTGGCTTCAGAGCACAATCAGAAAATCAAGTATCTGCACATCAACCTTCTATCTAGACAGTAAAGAGGAAAAAAAGCAAGCCATTCTGGGCTTCATGTTTAGTTGGGGCACACAGTAATATCTTTCCAGACGTAAAATTAGGAAGTGACCATTTTTTGTTTCTCGTCTGTCGCCTCTTTTGAACACAATTGCTCTTCATTTCTGCTCTTGTATTACTTTATTTGCACTTGCCTTTAATTGCTCTTCTTCCTTATTTGTATTACTTTCTCAGGTCCATATCTTGTCCTTTTATTGTGCATTTTGAATTGTTTTCATAATTAACTTTATTTCTTTGGAATCTAATATTTGCACATAATAGGAGAGCAATAGCTTTCTTGATTTCATATTTTCTTTTGGAAATTAGTTTATTTCTAACAGTGAAAATAAAAAGGGTGTGTGCATGTTAGCTGGACAGAATACAGGAAAACAGGAATGATCTCCATGTACTGTCATAAAACTTCTAGGAATTTTATGAATTCTCAAACTTGAACCCTTGCATTTAGCCAGGTTAGACCTAAGTTAACTGGGAAACATAATGCTTTCTTCTGTTAGGTGAATTTCATAAAGGTGTAAAAGAAGGATATAAAGTGACCATTTCATTTTTCAGTATCATTGGTAAAAATTTATTTCTAGTCATTAGATAACAGTGGAAACTGAAAGCAGCATGCCGTCCTTGAGCAAAGCAGTATGCCGTCCTTGAGCAAAGCAGTGAAACTGTAGCCACCTGTCTTTTGTGAACCACACTGGGAGCTTAATTAAAGAAACCTGCACCTGACTCAAACTGGTTTGAATACCAATAGCTGATTCATTAATTGCAGAATAAAGTTCTTAATGCTTTAAAACACTAATATGGGCAGTAAGAATGTTTATACCAGTAGTTTTCCATTAACATACAAAAAAGCAGCTTTCTTGTTTTCCTTCTTTTAAGAAAAGGACGGTCATACAGAAAGCCAATATGTAAACCATAAAATTGGGACTTCTCTGGCTGAGATTAGGTTAGGTTATCCCAAGCTCCCCTCCCTTCTCCTCCACCTATCCTTTTGGCCTCCATTTTCCTGACACTCTCCCAATCACCTCTGAGGCATTTCCATGAAAGCTCTGTTTCTGCTCATCACATTTGAAAGCCAACAGCTACGCTATCCAATTTGCGACTTCTGACTCCAGAGCTTGTTCTTATAAGTAAACAGTTGTTTCCAAGGGACATCTTTACACTGTGGAAATTATTTATATTATTAATAGTAGTATGAGGAAAGATGATAAGACTTCTTGAACTTTAAACATAGTAGATATATATTTACTGCTTTTCCTTTAGCTCTGAACAAGGTTGTTCAATAAGGGGAGAGAAGCCCTGGTGACCCCTCTCCCCCCACCCAGTAAAGTGGATTATTTCTTCCAGGCATAATGGATTATATTTTATTAATCAACTAAATCTATATCAACAGATAAGTGGGTAGTTAGCAAATATAATACTTAAAGCCAGAGATGGTGTCTGAATAATGAGTTCACCAGGCAAAGATTAGAGAGGGATAATAGGGGGAAAAAAAACTAACAATGCAAGGACACAATGGTAAAAAGAACACATTTTAGGTACCTAAACCTCCATGATGTGTATTTGTAAGTACAACATTTGAGTCAGGAGGTGAAGCTTGTGGGTGACTTTATTGTCCTAGTGAGGATTTTGCATTTATCCCTATGTGGAAGGCATTGGCGGGCAAGTAAATATGCTTTTTGGAAATGTTGTTTAAAGTAACCAGAGTTAACTCAGCAAATATTTCAACAGAAAAAAATGAGCATACCAAAATAGAAATTTCTATAAACATTAACATGCAAGAACAGCAAAATATTAATGCAGGAGGTAGGATAAAATGGGGAAATTATTTAAGTCATGTGAGGCCTAATAAGTGATACAGTAAAAGGGAATCTTTTTTTTTTCACAATTCTCATTATAACCTCTCATTTACTTACATTATTAAAAGTTTGGTCTATAATATGTTTCCTAGTTCTTTGTTTAAAAAATTCAATATGTTCAATCCATTTTTAAAGCCAAAAATCTTTCTACTGATAGACTTGTTAGATTCCTCAGTGAGTCTACCTATGCAAAGATTTTCCCCATAAGTAAACATTCTCACTGATTAAAGCACAAAAATAATAAAGCAGTTAGAGAATGGCTCCAGGAGATAATGTTTCATTGACTGGCATTCTGTCAGTAATGTGAATGCCATCCTGTTCTCATTTTCTCCCTGAACCCTGTAGGGAGGCCAGATTGAATAAGTAACCCCCACAAAAGAAAGAATTTCTGAAAATGTCAAAAACACAAAACATAATTTGGTCTCTAAAATAATTGATTGCTTTGCATGGACAGATCCAGAAGAGACAACATAGAAAATTTTTCAACTATTTCTCCCGTTCACCTCTACTCTAGTAGTCCTCAGTTTCTATTATTGCCATCGTTATGTCAATGGGTACTCAATGTTTAGCTCCTACTTGTAAGTGAAAACATGCAATATTTGATTTTCTCTTCTTGCATTAATTTGCTTAGGATAATAGCATCTAGCTGCATCCATGATTCTGCAAAGAACATAATTTTAATGGGCACCTGGATTGATTCTATATCTTTGCTAGTGTGAATAGTGATGCAAAGAACATGCAAGTGCATATGTCTTTTGGGTAGAAAGATTGGTTTTGTTTTGGATATATACCTAGTAATGGGAGGGCTAGGTTGAATGATAGCTCTGTTTAAAGTTCTTTGAGAAATCACCAAACTGCTTTCCACAGTGGCTGAACTAATTTCCATTCTCACCGACAGTATATAATAATTGCCTTTTCTCTGCAACCTTGCCAGCATCTTTTGCTTTTTGACTTTTTAATAATAGGAATTCTAACTGGTGTGAGATGACATCTCCCTGTGATTTTGAGTTGCATTTCTCTGAAGATTAGCGATGATAATTTTTTTCATGTTTGTTGGCCTCTTGTATGCTTTCTTTTTAGAAGTGTCTGTTAATGTCGTTCACTCACTTTTTAATGGGGTTATTCATTTATGCTTGTTGAACTGTTTACATTCCTTATAGCTTCTGGATACTAGACTTTTGTCAGATGCATAGTTTGTAGATATTTTCTTCCATTCTGACAGGCTGTCTGTTTACTTGGTTGATCATTTCTTTTGTTGTGCAGAAGCTCTCTTGTTTAACTAGGTCTGACTTGTCAATTTTTGTTTTTGTTGCAATTGTTTTTAAGGACTTAGTCATAAATTCTTTCCCAAGTTTGATCTCCAGAATGGTGTGTTCTAGGCTTTTTTCTAGGATCCTTATAGTTTGAGGTCTTACATTTAAATCTTTAAACCATCTTGGTTAATTTTTGAATATGGTAAAAGGTAGGAGTCCAGTTTCATTCTTTTGCAAATGGCTAGCCAGCTGCTCCAGCAACACTGATTGAATAGAGAGTCCTTACCTGATTGCTTATTTTTGTCAATTTTGTTGAAGATTAGATGGCTGTAGGTGTGCAGCTTTATTTCTGAGTTCTCTATTCTGTTCCGTTGGTCTATCTCCCTGTGTTTGTACAAGTACTATGCTGCTTTGTTTACTGTAGCATTATAGTATAGTTTGAAGTCAGAAGATGTGATGTATCTGGCTTTGTTCTTTTTGGTTAGAGTCGCTTTGGGTATTCAGGCTCTTTTTTTGTTCCATATGAATGCTACAATACATTTTTCTAGTTCTGTGAAAAATGACATTGGTAATTTGATAAGAGTAACATTGAATCTATAGATTGCCTTGAGCAGTATGTCCATTTTAATAATATTTATTCTTTTAATTAATGAACATGAAATGTTTTTTCATTTGTTTTGTGTCATCTACGATTTCTTTTAACAGTGTTTTGAAGTAGTTGTCCCTGTAGAGGTCTTTCACCTCTTTGGTTAGATGTATTCCTAGGCATTGTGCGTGTGTGTGTGTGTGTGTGTGTGTGTGTCTATTGTAAATGAAATTGCATTCTTGATTTGGATTTCAGCTTGAATGTTATTCATGTGTAAAAATGTTGCTGATTTTTGTACAGTGATTTTGTATCCTGAAACTTTACTGAAGTTATTTATCAGTCCCAGGAGCCGTTTGGTGGAGTCTTTATGGTTTTCTAGACATAGGATCATCTCATCCACAAAGAATAATAGTTTGAGTTCTTATTTTCTTATTTGGATGCTTTTTTTTTTTCTCTGTTGCCTTGTTGCTCTGGCTAGCACTCCATTCTATGTTGAATATGATTGGTGAGACTGGGAATCCTTGTCTTGTTCTAGTTCTCTAGGGGGATATTTCCAGGCTTTGCTGATTCAGTATATTGTTGGCTGTGGTTTTGCCATAGCTGGCTAATTGACAAATTTTAAGCATTCTAGTGAATTTCAGTCTTTGTTTTAAGCCCTTTGTAATCCAGTGTATTTTTTATAAGCTACATTCAACTATCTTTCTTTAAAAAAAACAAGGTATCTGGAGATCTAATGTACTGCATGAGAATTATAGTTAATAAAATTGAGTCATAAACCAGAAATTTGCAAAAAAAAAGGCACGTAGATTTTAGGTAATTTTACCACACACACACAAAGGGTAACTATATGAGATGATGGATATGTTATTAGCTTGGCTATAGTAATCATTTTACTATGTAAATATATATCAAAATATCATGTTTTAAACTTGGAATATATTCAATAAAGTAAAGGAATAATTTAACAACTATTTAATTCTCCCACTGTGACCCAAACACACTCATGCACACACACAAATCTCCATTATATTTCTCTCTTACTTATGAACATTTATTGGTTCTCTAGCATCCAAACTCCTTAGTTTGTCATAGGAAATTCCTTATAATCTGGCTGCTCTCTATTTTTCTGGCTTCAAGTTTAGCCTGTTTGCTTCTACATCATTTATTCCTTCAGAGTAAAATTCTCATTTCCCCCGCCTAATAAAGTCCTTTCATGAGGTCATAGCAACAACCAACTTATCCTTCAAGATGCAGCTCAAATGCATCTCGCTTTAGGCAACACAACTTTAGGATCATCTATTTTCTGCCAAACACTATTAAAGTGCCAAGCATTTGACATTGATTATTCATGTTTACTATTCACAACTTCTTGAGGTAAGGCTAGACATCTCCATTTCAGAAAAGAGAAACAAAAATGAAGGCCAAAACAATTAAGGGTCTGTGCTCAGTTGGTTGAACATGTAGTGAAAATGTGAATTTGTAGCTATGGATGCCAAGACCCCTATATATGGACCTCTACATTGCATACTGTAGTTTATTAGAACAAAAAGAGAGAAATCTGGATATATGAATGATATTGAAACCTATATGTTGAGGTAAAAGCAAATTCAATATTGTTAAGATCAACGCCTGTTCTTTTGCTATTTCTCCTATACTAAAGCTACTTTTTGTTGCTGGTGGGAAGGAAAGGGTAAAGTCCTACAAGGCACCAAGAGTTCCCACTTGGGAGCTTGGTGTATATCATTAACTGATAAGGAAATTTCAGAAGAAGGCGAATTTTTAGGAGAGGACCATAAGCTTTGTTTTTGTTTTGGAATGTTATGAGTGAGTAGTAGCAGTATGCTTCCATAGATATGTACAATAGAAAATTAGCCATTACAGTCAGACCTAGACTTTCACATTTCAGAACTGGGAGCATTTCTATGTAGAAGAAATGGTGAAAATGATTATCTGAAAAAGATTATCTGATTGCTGCTAATTGTGAAGCTAATGTATAGAAGAGAGACTTGGATAAATTTTGTGATGATTTCTAGATGTCTGGAGAAATGTTCTGGAATACAGTCTTCACAAATGAAAGTTATGTTTGATTAAATGACTACTTTAAATTGTAAAACTGCATAGACATCAAAAGGAATTGCCTAACGCATGACAGAAGACATAATGTTGGTCTTAGAGTTCAGTGGTTCTTTCCTAACGACACCTATATGAAGCCCTGTTAGGCAGAGTTCATCAGTTAATCTCTCTAAGCCTCAGAGTAACAGCAGTTATTTAATAACAACAGCAATAATGTACTCATATGGGACCACTTCTCCTTGGGCTTCCTAGGGGATTGGAAGGAATAAAGAAATGGTGCCATATTAGGAGAACAATTGAAGTTGCTTGCTTGATGGATGTTGTTCTCCAAAATTTTTGGTCTGCGATTCTACTTTGTATCCTGTAGTTTATTAGAACAAAATAAAAGTGATAGATCTGAGATAACAATGATGTTGAAACATATTTGTTGAGGTTCTATAAAAGCAAATAAAATATTGTTAAAATCAATTCAACTCAAAACATCAAAGTAATTTCAAACTTCAGTTGTGTCCCATTTTTTTTTGCTTTACTTAGCTTTACTAAGCTTAAAAGTCTTCCCATAGGGCAATAGAACCATTGAAAGTATTCTTGGGTGAGAGGTTTATGTTTGATTTATGAATATATAATTTTAGGAAAACCTTTGAGGGCCATAAGACTAGAAACTGGTGTTGGCAGGAAGCAGGAAGCCAGTCCCCACTGCAATTTTCATGCCCAGAAGAAGGAATGGATGCACTTATCTGGGATTTAGGATGAATGAGACTGGTCAAATTGTATTTCCTGCTGTTCTATTTGTTTTTAGTTTGAAACAGACAAATCACACTAGAAAAGTTGAAAGAATGGTACAATATATACTCATATATCCCTCACCAAACTCACCATTTGTTAACATCTTCCCACACACTTCCCTTTTGCCAAATCATTTGAAAATATGCTATGAATGTCATGATATTTCATTAATAAATATTAAAATGTGTATATTTTCAGAATGATAAAATTTTCTGACACAGCCTGAGCATACTTACAGCATAATTCAACATTAATTTACTATCATTATACACAGCCCATACAAATTTCCCCAGTTATCTAAAATATGTCCTTTATGGCTGTGTTTTATGTTTTGTCTTTGCATTTCTGTGTTTTGTTTTTGGTTTTATGTCTAAAATCCAATTAAGGTGTATATATTTGCATTATTTCTTCCTAGTCACCCTGCATGAAGCAAGTCTTCCTCACGTGAATTTTTTTGTGTAACATTGAATTATTTGAAAAGCCCTGGTCTGTTGTCCTGCTGAATATCTTATAGTATAGAAAGGCCTATCTTCTAATGAGATAAACTTACACCTAACATTTCAAGCAAGAATATACTATTGGTGATGTTGTATGTCTCCCACATCATCGCATCAGTAGGTATATATGTGCCATTATTTGGTTAAGATTCTGACCATCAAGTATCTCCATTGTAAAGGAATTTTTAAACTTTGTAAAATTAAAATTGATATTATGTTCCCTAACAACATTTGTTAGGCCAATGTTTTAATGATCCCATATAAGTCAATTATTACTATAGTTGTTCTACATTTACAGTTGGCATTCTTTTTTGTAAGGAAGCTTTTTCCCACTTTCCCTCCCCTCCCTTCCCCTTCCCTCTCCTCCTCTCCTCCTCTCCTCCTCCTCTCCCCTCCTCTTCCCTCCTCTCCCCTCCTCTCCCCTCCCCTCCCCTCTTCTCTTTTCTTCTCCCCTCTTCTCCCCTCTTCTCTTCTCTTTTCTCCTCTTCTCTTTCTCTCTCTCATTATTATGTATATATGGCTTATTTCTTTAAGTTCAAATGTGTTATATTCCATTAGTTTCATGATTATTTTTGATATTCAGAGTGTTCCAATTTTGTTAATGGGGTCGCCTTTAAACTGACCTCTGTGTCTTTTTCACATGTCCCCATTAGACTTTGAGCATTTCTTTATTTTCTGGCACATTAAGATGCTTCAGGCTCACCTTGTACTTCTATTTGCCTCAGTCTGAAATAAGCAATTTTCAGAAAAACTTTGTTTCTTATTAGTATAAAATGACTTATACTAATTAAAATTAGTATAAAAGATCTTTGTTTAGAAACAAAGACCTAAGTTTGGAGTGTTTGTTGCCTCTTGCTTGTTTCATTGTGCTTTGGCCCTTTTGATGATAGAGTTAGGGGGAAAACTGTGTGTGTGCACTTAACACATTGTCACATATGAGTGCACATGCAAGTGTGTTCATACTGATTACCTCAAATGAAATTCAGCATTACAAGATTTTGTTTCTCATCTTCTTCCATTTGATATTTGTATTTCTCTGTTTCTATAGTGAATATTGTTATTTATCAAAATATGTATGTTTAGTCACTTTTTTTCAATATACTCAGAGTAGTTTCAGAATTGCATCACCAAGACTATTATCGGGAAATCAACTAAACAAAGTTCAATATTTTTTGTTTTTATTTTTATGCTATACTTCCCATAGGTTTATAGTCAACATGATGTATTTCAAAGTTACTTGAATTAATTTTTCCATATGTTTATGGAATTTAACATTCCATTAAAGTTTCCATATGTTACTATTTTGCATCATATTAGGATTATCTGTATTTATTTTTATTAAATTTCAGTTTTATTTTTTATATTAATTTTGAGTAGTAAGACATTATTGTTCAAAAGATAAAACTGTATAATGGGAGCTCTTTCTCCCATCACCATTCCCATTAAAAAGTCTTCTTTTCCCCAAGCAAATGACAAAAAAAAAAAAGAAAAGAAAAAAAAATTGTCCCTGGAGGCTGAATTGCTTTTAAAAGGTCTTCCAAAAAAAAAAAAAACAAAACAAAACAAAAAAACATGAACCTGGGATGAGATCACACTATGTGAGATGATTTCAAATCAGGAAAAAAATGGGCCACTTAAATAATGTTGCAAATAGATGCTAGAACACAAAGAAAATTAAAATTGGTTTCTTCTTCAGAGTTATGGAATATATCACCTAAGGCCTGGGCACTAATAGAAGACTGAATCTGATTCATTTGGGCAGGCGTATTTAATTTTGTGTTAAGAACCCTGAAGTTTAAAACTAGGCCACTAAGGTGTGAGAGAAATCAGTAAGCTTCATTCAATGATATTTGAACAAGATAACACATAATATAAAAGACATTCTACAATCTGATCCCTTTTATTACTGAATTCTTCACTCTTCATGTTATATACTTTGATGTTTCAACTACTGCCACCCCAGCCTATGTACAGTTATTTGCACATGGTCTGCTACTTCTCACTTCTGTACTTTTAGCCATTGTTTGCAATGCTCCTCTGACTTATTTTTTCAACTTGGAAGCCACTACTTCTTAATAGAAGTTTTTTTTAGACATCAGGTACTTCTTTCCCTTTTCTATTTCTCAACATTTGTTTATTCGTTATGTACTAAATGTCAGGTGTGCTCATATTGCTTCACCAAACACATGCACACATACGTATTAGAATATTATTATTCTAATCATATTAGAATAATTATTCTAATCTAGTTTTGTGTTTGCTTATCTGTTTTTAAAATGTGAGTACTTGGTTTAGGATGATGCTGTACATGGAGTTATCCAGTAAATATCATTAAAAGGCCAAGTGAGAATTACTAAAGAAAAATGATCATGATTTCTTCCTTTGTTGCCCACATATGCAGCTAAAATACACACATTACAACTTTTAAAAGTTATTTGCTTCAATTGTCCTGGTATCATTTGGCCTATTTTTCTCTACTGTTATCTTCAGGAGCCATGATAGGATAATGTTGGTGCATCTGGTATGTTTGGGTTTCATGAAAATACGATTAATGTGGGCACCCTTGTATTACTTGATTAAAAATTATTTTGCATTATAAAAGTATTATTTTAAAGTAAGCACACCGGGTACCAAAGTTCTGGTAGTTAAAAACAAAACAAAATTGAGTAAACAATTCAGGCCTTCAGTGGTGACATTTAGAGAATGAAATTTGAATATATATTTGGTGATCTCACGAGAAGAGAAATTATTTCAGATGTGCCAGAATAAAACAGAATTCTTGAGTCATCCACAGATGAATTAGTCATAAACTAAAAATATAGAATATGCAAAGAAAAAGGAAAATTATTGCAGAAGATAAAAAATAGAGCAATTGTGAATTTAAAATATACTGCAATCAATAACATTTTAGGCAAATATCAGTAGTGCAGAAAACAGTACAAATTCACAGTTATGGAGAGAAAAGAGAATATGGACTAGAATCCATCCTGGAACATGTTAATGGAGACAGTTTGTTTGATACCATCTTGAAAGATGCAGACCTTATATAACTTAGGAAATCAAAAATATATGTAAGCTTTTCTAAATTTGGTGCTGATATATAGATGTAAAAACATAATCCAATTTTAATATTCATTAGAAAAAGACATTCAAATGATTGACCTACTTTTACTTGAACCCTGTTATGTGGAGGTGAGATAAGAAGACAGTGAGTAGATAAACAGTGTTCGTGCAGAGGACCCAGTGAATGAGAATGACTGGATTTGGTTCTACTACTTGCTGAATATGTAACTTTATACAAATTACTTGACTTCTCTGGGGTGTACCTTCTTCTTTAAAAAAAAATGAAGTAATACCTCATAAAAATATTGTGCAAATTAAATTAGAAAGTATATAAAAAGAATTAGTACAATGTTTAACACTAAATACAGACCCAATAATTATCTTTTTCTTTTTCTTGTTGAATATCAGGCTCTGTCTCTTAAGTAAATTTTCTAAATAATGGATATATAGTCCTTCCTGTATGAAAAATATAAAAGATGTCTCTCCCATTTAAAACAACAATGTATTGCTTTAAAACACAAAAATCAAAGTCATACTAAATACTTTCTTCTCTTCCTAGGAGGAGTAAAATGTGATAAGGCTAAGAGCTTCTTATCCAGCACACTCCTCATTATAAATATTTGGTTCCTCCCAGCTTTATTGACATACAACTGACAAATAAAATTTTATGTATTTAGTGTATAACATGATGTTTTGATATATTGATGATATATATACACATTGTGAAATGAATAAATCAAGTTAATTGACATATCCATCACCTCACATAATCATTTTCCTTGTTGGTCATGAGAATATTTAAGATCTAATCTTATAGCAATTTTCAAGTATATAATACATTATTTTCAACTCTAGGCACCATGCTTATTACAAATATTTGTAATCACATTTTATTTTAATTCAACTGTGCTATCTAAAGTTATTGAATCATTACAACTGTTTGCCTCTTTAGAAAATGACAGTGATTGTGTGAGATACAATTTCATGCATTACTTCCCCTGTTTGCCCACATATCCACTGGCTTTGCTCACAGGTATTAGTATGTGAATACAACAAACACCTCTTCTAATTTTCTGCTTCTATTCTGCAGTCAGCTTGGAAACTGGAAGACTGAATTTGCTTTAAAATTTGTCTATAAAATAAAAGATCCTCTACTGTATTTGAGGGCCTGGTGGGCTCTCTTGAAAAAGACATGTAGAGTCCAACAAATTTGTGTTACAGAATTTGTTTGGAAACATTTTGTTTCTTTCTAGTTAAAAGACTGTATTTTGTGTAAATATCCAGCCATGTGAATGCTGGATAAGAGAAACTTTACTATAATTGTTCTCATTTGGCTCATATGTTATAATACTACCGATACATGAATCTATGCAAATTGTTAGCAGAAAGAATGAAGGCTGTGTTGTCATTGTTTAGAAAATGAGAAATCTGTCGGACTTCAAAGTCATTATAAATGTTGAAAGAAGACAAGTAAAGCAAAGATAAATACTGTATTACTTTATCAACTTCTCAAACTACAAGGTTTTTGTACTCTATACAGAGAATATCATTACTAATGTCATTTACTATTTATTTGATTTTAAGTACCATAAACGCCAATATATGTGGTAGCATGTTTTATCCAAGAAATGATGAGAACATTTCCACATATTAAGGTCAAACCCAGTTGGTCCCTCTGAGCTCAAATTAAGCTCAATACTCACCTTTCTTAAAGATTCCAGACTCAAATGAACATGTTATAGATCACTTTGAGTTTTAGTGAGTTTTTCTAAATTACTTTCAACAATGCTACTTATTTGTTCTATAATAAATTGTAAATTATACCATAGCCAGTATTGGAACTTCTCTTTCTTTAGGAATCTCCCAGCTTCTAATCTTTCCATCCTCCACTTCCTATACTTCAAAACCTAAAACAGCTAAACCTAAAATACCATTAGCATTCAAAGTGATTACTATTTCATAAACTATGTCCAGGCTTTGCTCCTTTCTCAATGTTGGGCTGTTCAATTTTAATATTTCAATTGGTCCAAACAAAACTAGCTGAAAGGGTAAAGTGATTGGGCTTTTTCAGTGCCCTTATATCTTGGTGTTTGTTTATGAATAAATGGGTTAATGATATTTTTATTAACATTCATAATGACTGTTTAAGGTTATCAGTTTAAAAATATTACAGGTAGGTATTTTAAACTTAGCTTTTTATCCAATTCATATTTCCATCCTTCATATCAAGTATTTGTTCTTACCATGTGTCTTGCTTAGTTATATCAGCTTTCCTTGCTTTATGTTAAAAGATACTTTATTTCACATTGTTTTCCAGGTTTTCACAGCTTTTCTTTATTTCACATAGTAGTAAACATACTAGTAAACAGAAGAAAGTATGAGACATTATAACGAGAAAAAGCTTGATGACCCAGATAAATCTTACTGCTATTGGCCTAATAGTCAAGCCTCTTTTTTCCTTTAATAAATATTTTTATTTGTTAAGTTTTCACTTAGGCTTAAAACAATATGGTCATCTGGCTCATAATAATACTCACCATACATTGACTTCTTGCCAATTCTAGGCCTTTGTTTAAATATTTATGTTGTTATTTTAAATCTCTTACAACCATCCTGCAAGGAAGATGCTAGTCAGATTAGCAACCTAAATCTTATGGAATTTAAATATCTTGATCAAGTCACATAGCTGCCGGTGGCTGAGACAAGATCTGAGCGCGAGTCTTTCTGACACACTTTTCACACCTGCCTGTAGTCTTGTACCTGACTCCATTAATCATCAGCATCTCCTCTTGGCTCTCTATTAATAATTAGAAAAATGAACTGTGGGATTTACTTTGTAGAATAATATGTGACAAAAGCATTAAAATAGATTTATTCTTTATGTCATCTAAATGTTGTCAAAGGGACTAGGATTAGTTGGGATTGTATTTAGTTTAATTTTTAATTAGTCTTACTCCAAATAAATTCTATACTAATGAGACAATATTCTCTTTTCAGAAATGTTTGACCATATCTTTTTAAAAATCTTTTAACAAAAAATATAATTAACGGGAAATAATATATCAACAACCTAAAATGTGTGGTTTATATATGAAGGATATCCATCCTGTAAAATATGTATTCCTTTGAAGGTCTTCAAAAAGAGTATTTCCCTTTTCATTCATCCGTTGAAGAAGTGAGGCTGGAACATGAATCTCATCCTGTGCCAAGCTGCCTTTTGTTGTAGTGAGGGACTTTTGACCATCACACTCTTCCTAATGGGGGAAGTTCACACCTTGCTCATGGATTTTCCTAAAGAAATTTCTATTTAGAATCACAGTTGCTCATATTAACTAGGGCACTACCTTTGGACCTAAGCAAGCAAGATTGATCATTCCTTCTCTGCCCCTTTTGAGCAATGTAACTTGCTCAACCTCATTTCTTTATATGCAAAATAGGAAGTCAGTAATTGGAAGAGTGATTATTTTTATATATATATAAATTATACCCACACACACATACACACACTATTTTTTTTGTCTTCATCTATGTGATCTTTCTTCACTATTCTAAACATTCTTGTCACCTTATACATTCCTTTTATTTTTGTCACTTTCTAACCTGAAAATTGACAGCCAACACAATTGCTTTGGAAGAGAACATGGGGTTGTGGAAAAAACTAAAATCAGGGTCTAAAAATCTCAGCTCTGTTGTTAATGAAGTTGAAAGCTTGGCGAAGTCACCTAATCCTTATATGTCCTAATTTTT
Source organism: Homo sapiens (assembly GCF_000001405.40). Lineage (NCBI taxonomy): Eukaryota > Metazoa > Chordata > Mammalia > Primates > Hominidae > Homo > Homo sapiens. Next base: position 148,296 of record NW_019805495.1, read on the forward strand.
CTCCCGTGGTATGGGGATATTAACAGTTTGATAGCAGATTTACAGTGTTCATGTGAGAATTAAATGAAATTGCTAATCACAACAGTACCTAGCACAGTGCTTGGGACATAATAGGCCCACAGTAGGCAATTGACAGGTATTAATTTGCCCTTTCCTGTTCCTTCACGAAAGCTTTAGATCATAGAATTTGGCAAACCTTATTGTCTATTGGCGGCCTGTTTCTATAGTCCGGTGTTTTTCAGACTTAATTTTCAACTCCTTTTAAAAGAAAAACATTTGCCTGAAATCCTGCCACTAACTTATGCATTTTTATTATAATAATATTTAAAATATAAAACCATTACATTATGAATTAGACACTAATATTTATAATGTATATTCAATTATAAGACCAGAGCAAATTTTCAAATAAGGTTTGAATTCAATTAAAATAAAATAAAATTCAAATAAAATCATTAAGTTAATGTGATTGAGGATGTTATCTTTCTGAAATTAAATCACAATGTACAACTGAATGTAGTACTGGATATACTTTTGCATTCATCATGTTTCTACCTCACCATGTTATGTGATGACTTGAGTCTCTTTTCACTTAAATTATTCAAATTTTTTATTTCAGCATTGGGTCCTGGTATGATTTAACCCTCACCTGGTGCAAATGCATCATGTAAATTTTGAATAGCCATTTTTATTTTCCTGAAAAATAACATGACAAATAGAGCAGCTTTGGGCACTAAAGATGTGCAATACTTAGTTATTAGGTTATCATCCGGAAGATAAGAGTTATTAACCTTGTTTGGTTATCTTTGAAATCAATTGACAGTTTGACACATTCTTAGAGCTCATTGTGAACTCTATTATCAAAAAATAGAGATCACAGCTTGAAAATCTTTCTGTATTAAAAGACCAATACAGGAATCAAGAAGAAAGCCTCTAGTAATTGTTTTGATGATTGTGACATTATTAAAATAGTAAAAATTAGAGAAGTGAGTTGTGTGGCAGTGTGAAATGAAGATTTTGTGTTTGCTTTTTTTTTTTTTTACTTTTATGATGTCGAATCCCTTTTAAAAAGAAAGAAAATTATCAGCAAGATAAAGACAGATCTTATTATCTGTCCTTAAAAGTCCTTTTCTTTTTGCTAGTTTCTTAGGGTATGTTTTAATTTTAATAGGCCCAGGTCTGGTTCACTTTTATATTTCCTTCAGTATCAAACATATGTAAGAGATGTTCCAAGCTCTTTACTGAAGAAAGGAGTAATTTTATTATCTGCAGAATATTTTAAAAGATACTTTATTTTTACCCCTTGGAGTGATTTAGGTAGCCTATGTGTAAGCAAATGAATGAATTAAGTAACATTCTCAAACATGTGTGATTTCTTGGTTTCATTGATTTGAATCTAGTGCAGCAGTAAGTAATGGATAGAATTAAGATAGTAAAAGTTGACTTATGCAATTGTGTGGTGTTAGATTGATTTACGACTCAAACGAAATCAGTCTTACAAGTAAGACTAAATTGAATATGTGACATGGAGTGATAAATTGAGAACACTACTGAAAGTATTTAAACTGTTAAAAATTGAAGAAATCTGTCCAAAGAGTAGCACATTCATAGATTTTGCGAGATAAGATAGAATATATGAGCAGTTGAGATTGATTTAAGTTGGTCTCAATACATCAGTTTGAAGTTTAGCAATGAACAATAAGTCAGAAGAGTCCCAGCTGATGTAGCAAAGACCTTTCACCAATAGAGGAACTCCAGCTTATGTACTTTCACTTACACCTTCATTGCTGTTATTATTATTTTTTAATTATGAACCCTGCACTTAGTTAGATGTTACTTGAGGAGAAGGATAACACAATTCTGTTCCACTGGCAAATCAAACATATGCTTAGCAAAAAAACAAACAGACAAAAAAAAAAAAAAAACAAATGCCCCAAATATTTGAATTGCAGACCTGAGGTATTTTCTGAAAACCTCTCAATTTTTTGGAGTTTATTAAAAGATAGAAAGTAATATAAAGTTTAAATGTTAATTACTTATGAGTGACCTTTCTGAATTGCCCATTTGGAAGACTTGTCTCTGAGATGATTTAAAAGAATCTCAGATAGTGTGTTTTCTAAATAAAATTGATTTGTTAAAAGGTCATACACATGATTTAGAGATATGAGGGTCAAGGAAAGAAAATAACTAATTTCAAATAAAATGTTTACAGTTTAGGCGGTCTTTAATGAAATCCTACCTGGCATTTTGGCAACATCAGGCATTAGAGACTTAATTTAATGAATCAACAGGGAACTGAAGCTTCCATGTTACACTGTTTTGTCTAGAGTGAATTTTAATTTGAAGTGAGCCAATGTGATATAGAAATATTGGTAACCTTGGAAAATGTCTACAGAACCCCTTCTTATTCATAAAAAAATGATTTTTAAATTACCAAAATATCATGTCCTAAATATAACAACTCTTAATAAGTTGTTACATATATAGCTATTTATCTCTCTATGACCATTCTGTATTTACAGATATAAAACCTGCTTATTTTTTATATATTTATATAACAACTTATTAATAACAGACACAATAGCAGATATAATAACTAAACTGGATTAAGTGCTCACTATATATGAGGAACTATGCTAAGCATCACTTACACATGTTATGAAAATTTCCATATCACTAGCTAACTATGTGCATATACATTGTAAGTTTTGATAGCTGCATAGTGTGTTATTATATGATTATACTATAACTTATTTAGCCAATAAACTATTGTTAAGCATTTATGTAATTTCCAAATATTCGTGTTTATATATACTAACATAAGATTCTTTTTAATTTGTGCATCCAAATTTATTATGTCAGGATAAATTGTCAGAAGTATAATACCCAAACCAAAACATTTACATGTTCCTTTGAAATTTCATTATTTAGCTGTTGTATCAAAAGATAAAAAATAGAAAACAGGGAGGTTTTTGAAATGGATTGTTGAACTGTAAACTCAGTAATCCCATGCCAGTCTATACGCCCAAAAAAACTTTGTGAGGCTTCCTTCCCTACATCCTTGCTGACTCTGGTTTTATGTGTTTCAGTCTTTGATGAGACTGGTCAGTCTTGAAACCAGTCAGGTTTATTTTATTTATGGATGCACTCAATTGCTACTCTTTCTCCTAATAGATGAGATCAAATATTAGGATATCTTAATTGATGAACCATGCAGTGTGTTTTCATGACATAGACAATGTGTTTATATATCAGAGACAGTAGGGAAGATATAAATAATACTATCATTTTAGTTCAAAGGTGAACCATGAAAAAGCTTCAGAAATATTTCAGCCCACTTTCTTCATATACAGAAATAACAAATGGCAATATAAATAAGAAATAAGGTGAGATGTGACATCATCCACAATAAAATAATTCTCAGTTTATGATATAGAGCCGGTACAAAGGAAAAACAACAACAACTGCATTTTATCTCTTTTAGAGCCCTGTGTGGGGCTAGAAATTCACAAGTCTCTGTCTTTGCTCATGCTGGTTCCCCAACATGGTTTTCCAGCCCTGCTATTGGTTTCTTCTTTGCCTGTTTACATTGTACTTATCAATGGGACCCAGATCAAAGGCTAGTGTCTGTTTGCACCTTCCTTAATCTCTCTAATTAGGATGATTTTTTTTTTTACTTTGGTTCTTTCAATATGCTTTCTCTATCTTTGTGTTCATTTTAATTTTGCATGGTTAGGTGTTAATAAAGTCATTTCTCTGATTTTTATGCGTATTCCTTTAAGTGGTATATATTTTACTCAATTGTGTAGCATAATCAGAACTCAATATTACAGTGACTGGCAAAGTACATAAAATATTTGTTGAATGAGTAAGATAAAGTGTTTTATTTGTAATGCTTTTCAGATAGCATATAGTATTTGAAACTCATTGGAGAATCACTAAAAATGACACTGAATTATTTTCAGGAGAAGTTTTAAGCTTTTCATTTGAAAATAGTCATGTATTTATCTATAGCACATATAATAGCATTTAAAAAAACTCTCATTAAAAGAATGTCCTCCATTTTTATATACCTGTATATAAAATATAATTGTATAAAGCATGCTTTATATACTTTCCACTTCTAGAAATAATAAAATCAGCAACTACAATCTCCCATTTTTTTTAAAGAAAAACCTACTACACTTCCCTTCATCTAGAATTGAAATGGTTCATATATCTATTTACTTTTGTTCTCTACCAATAAGGAGTTGGCAATATGAGGCCGAGTGTGGTGACTCATGCCTGTAATCCCAGCACTGTAGGAGGCCAAGGTGGGTGGATTGCCTGAGGTCAGGAATTTGAGACTAGCCTGGCCAACATAGTGAAACCCCATCTCTACTAAAAATACAAAAAATTAGCTGGGTGTGGTGGTGGATGCCTGTAATCCCAGCTACTCAGGAAGCTGAGGCAGGAGAATTGCTTGAACCCAGGAGGCAGAGGTGGCAGTGAGCTGAGATCTCACCATTGCACTCCAGCCTAGGCAACAAGAGCAAAACTTCATCTCAAAAAAACAAAGAAGTTGGCAATATGAGGTAAAGTTGTATTTGAGGGCCACATGATAAAAATTGCTTTCCTTTTTTCCTTGAATAATGCATCAGATAATTTACTTACTTATTTATGTATTTATTAGAGATGGGATGTTACCTCTGTTGCCCAGGCTGGAATACAGTGGTACAAACACAGCTCATTGCAGCCCCCAGCTCCTGAGCTCAAGCAATTGTCCTGCCTCAGCCTCCTGAGTAGCTGGGACTACAGGCATTCTTCACTATGCCAAACTAAGTTGTTTTTTTTTTTAATTTTGGTGAACACTCGGTCTCACTATGCTGCTCAGGTTGGTCTCAATCTCCTGTCCTCAAGCAATCCTTTCTCTTCTGCCTCCCAAGTCATTGGTATTACAGGTCACTGCACCCAGCACAAATTATTTTTTATCACTTTTCTTTACTTACATTAAGACAGATGCTCCTTTTTTGGCATGTCTTATTTTCTTTGAGCTTGAGAAACACATACACCAAAAAACGTTTGGAGAGATGACAGTTTTTTTCTGCCTAACAAATTTGACTGTGTACATTTTGATTTATTTCTTTGAAACACCAGTCTGATCCAATAATCTTACTTTAAAGCAAACTTGGGAAACAGCCAAACTAGGATCCTTGGTGTGCTTAAACAAAACCCAAGTGTTTGAGAATAAAACATGTATCACTTATGCATATAATGATTCAGTCCAGATGAACTGGGAAAACTTGTTCTCATTTTTTTGAGGCCCCTCTTGACCAAACTATTCATATGTAATTAGAAGCCACTTATAGAGCTTCACTAATAAGTAATAAATGCATTTAATTTCATATTGTTACCTATTTTAAAAATGAAGAATTTGTGGGTCTCATTGACAAACATAAACTTAAGATCACAAGATAATAAAATACCTTTGAATAATAACACAAGATGCTTAGTCATGTAAAGGAACATTAAGAAACCCAAATTCTGTTGCTGGACTTTTCGTTAGTATTAAATAGGCCATTAGATTGAACAAAAGCTTTTCATGATAAATTAGAATTGCCTTAGAGTTTTTATCTTGCTTTTGGATATACATGGGAGAGTTTAAATATGAAAAACTAAATTTCCCAATTAAACATATTAAATGTATTTTAATTTATGTATTTCATTCATGTTTAATAATGAGGAGGAAAAGTAAATTGTATGTTGTTAATTGTCTAAATCTTGCTTTACAAAGCATATTTTTATTATTGGGCTTATTAATATTTAACTAGTTTAATAGTTTAATAAATAATTTTCTTTAAATGATAATTGAAGAACTTTCTTTAGTCTTAGTTGGGTACACCTATCCATGGGAGTGCAGGCTGACCAATAAGCCAGAACCAAGGACCTATCAGAGGTAGACTGTAGGCTCTAATTTTTGAGCAACAATAGTACCATGATTTGGTCATTATTATTCCAATTTCACATGATTAATTTGAATTTAGGTATGTCTATTTACTTGACCACTTTTTTGATGAGAGAAAGAGCAAAGTTATGAACTTAAATTTGTCTAAAACTAAATCTTATATTCAACAGCCAAAGTACCAAAGAAATAAACTCGAGTATATGTGTGTGTGTGTTTGTGTGTGTGTGTATATATATATATATATATATATATATATATACACATATATATATACACACACACATAGGTACAGACCTCCCTAAAAACCAATAAGGGAAAAAAATTTCATCCATGTTTCTTACTATCCATTTACTGCACTGATAACAAACAGTGTACATTTTAAAAATATGTTGGTATATGTTACACAGAAACTTATAAATTAAAACATAAAATCACAGACCCACCTTTGGAAAATTTAATAAAATATCTAAACATTACACTTATTGAGCTGGACACAGCTTAGAATTGTTTGAACTAGTCCTTCCAATGTGTTTTGGCAAAACTTATAATTGTCATTTTATCAGCGATTGATTCAGAAAACATGTAGTGACCAAAAACTACAATAAATTTAAGGATATTTTAAAATGCTTTTGTGTTCTTGTAAATCACAGTGACATCACCACTCATTATGAATTAATAGTATATATACATACACACACACACACACACACACACACACACACACGATTGTCAATCCATAGATGAAGCTTGGTGCACTTATGGATTCACGGACCCACAACTACTCTTTGGAGTTGCAGTTATTGCAGCCCACAAGTGTGGAACCACAATGAAGTAACTGGGGCCCACAGTAACCACAGATGAAGTAACTGGGGCCCAGAGAAATGATTCACCTACAATTATATAACTGGTAAGCACCTTATCACAATTAAAACCCAGAATTCCTAAATGTTGGTCTTACGTACTTTTCCCTACACCAAAACTTCCCATCAATTTTGTTGATGTCTCCTTTGAGAATCAGATGCCTGTTACCCCAGGGAAATGCATATGTGCCCATCCATGTGAAATGCTGCACATAATCCTAAGAGGGTTCACAAACTTTTTAGGGTCTACTCATGAGCCCCCTGGTAATAACACCTGCCGAAGCTACCACCTTAATTTCTATGTTAAAAACCGAGGAGTGGGTGGGCTACTGGGCCCTGCTTCTGAAGTTAAGTGATTGGGGGAGCTTTTTAAATCATATTTTTAAAGTGTACCTTTCCCTCAATTTTAACCAGGATCACTTGATCATCATAATGTGCATGTATTAATGGCTTTATTTGAGCTGTTAATAATGTCCTTAAAAATATTTTTAAGAAATCTGAATCAGCCATCCCATTACTGGGTATATACCCAAAGGACTATAAATCATGCTGCTATAAAGACACATGCACACGTATGTTTATTGCGGCATTATTCACAATAGCAAAGACTTGGAACCAACCCAAATGTCCAACAATGATAGACTGGATTAAGAAAATGTGGCACATATACACCATGGAATACTATGCAGCCATAAAAAATGATGAGTTCATGTCCTTTATAGGGACATGGATGAAAGTGGAAATCATCATTCTCAGTAAAGTATCTCAAGAACAAAACACCAAACACTGCATATTCTCACTCATAGGTGGGAATTGAACAATGAGAACACATGGACACAGGAAGGGGAACGTCACACTCTGTGGACTGTTGTGGGGTGGGGGGAGGGGGGAGGGATAGCATTGGGAGATATACCTAATGCTAGATGACGAGTTAGTGGGTGCAGTGCACCAGCATGGCACATGTATACATATGTAACTAACCTGCACATTGTGCACATGTACCCTAAAACTTAAAGCATAATAATAATAAATAAGTTAAAAAAAAAGAAAGAAATCTGAATCTCACTGTTATTTCTTTAAAATTAATTGAACACACACACAAACAAGAGAAAATAGAAACTTAAAATCCTTCCTGTCTATACTGGTGACTTAACTTTGTGATGTTTTCAGTAGTAAAGCCAGCCTTTAGCTAGGAGTTCATAAATGTTGAGAAGCATGATCTTTTTCCAGAGAAAGTGCCTACCAATTTGTGTGGATTCTGGTTGCCAAGAGACAAAGTTTAGTCCATTCAAATTAAGTTCAATGGTCTAAAAAATGCCAATTTTATGATAAAATGCTATCTTTTGTGGTAGAAAATGTTTATTTAAAATATTTAGGCCTTTAACATGTACTCTTTAAATAATGACAAATATGTGCAACTTTGAAATTGAGGGTTTTCTTTTACTTTTTCTTTATCTTTTTCATTTGTTTGTTTCTCATTCACATTGCAAATTCAAAATAATGATGCCAAACAGTCAAAAGAATCTAAGTCTGAGGTTTTACTTCTAGAATATATTCTTTCCGCCAGACATTCCAAAGGCTTTAATTTTCAATTCTGGGGTATTTGGCTATGTGTAAATAGCCCTAGAAGAATCGAAATAAGGCCAACAGGAGGAGGGAGCTTCCTGAACTATATTGACTTCCTTCTTTTTGGTTCACCTTTAGTTTTTGAGCATTCCACTAAGTTCATCCAAACAACCCCAGGATAAAGAGGGTTTTCTTTATTTAAGATGTCATGAGGCTGACAACAAATTAGCATTGTATGCATTGAAGTTTTAGTCTCCTGAAAAGAAAGGCTACAAGAAAAGAAATTGGTCATAGCATTTTCCTGTGAATAGTTCAAACATGTAAATAGTTGAAATGTATATATTTAACTGTTAGTTAAATAGTTGAAATATAATTATCAAATAATTAATTTATATAGTCAAAATAGATGGACTAGATTCACTCAATCATTGAACAAGTATTTGCTGAGTAGCTCCCATAGATGTAAAGAGCCATTCTAGGTGTGGGATAAACAATGAACAGAGCACAGAACTGCCCTCATAGGGTTAACATTTTGGTGGATCTTAGATCGATATCATTTAAGAAATAGATTTCTCTATGATTTAGAAGTCTAGCTCCAATGGAGCATACTGTAAGATCTGGGAAAACAAAAACAGTCATTTTGAAATAAAATTAATATACAGGTGAAAATTCTAGCTCCAATGAACCAAAAGTTGAGTTGACAAATAGACAAAGTAGTCTTTCAGCAAATACAAAGGTATATGTGAAGAGATAAAGACTGAAAGGATGGAAAGGTCAAGTTTTATATGAACACCATCAGTAGATATATACTTAAGTTTTATATGAACACTCTCAGTAGATATAAACTTAATGCCTGGATGATATCTGTGGCTATCATTTTAAAGCAATAAGTACTTATTTTACCCATAAAATGTTATCTTTTAACATGCTAGTGGTAATCACAGTGGATTTGTGTTACTTTTCACAACTCACACTGTAGAAAACAAAGTATAATTTGAAATTTGACATTAGAATAGCATCCAGGGGAGTCAGCCTGGTTTTTGACTTTAGAAGGATTTGGTTTTGAATATGGGCTCTGCAGACTGCTCCTTGTGGCCTTATCTGTAAGACACAGAAGTAATGCATGCATTGAGAGTTTAGAGAATCAAATGGGAAAAGGTGCAGGAGGCCCCTTACATTGTTTTGTGCATATAATAGCTGGTCAATCAGTGGCTGGACATTTGTATTTACAGGACCAGAATTTGGATTTCATGTGCTTGATTTAATCCTGTGCTCCTTTGAGAGTGCACCTAGCTGTCTCCAGATATAGTAAAGGGGAAAGTTTTAATGGGCAGGAAAAGAAGAAATGTGCCTCACTTTTTTTTTTTTTTTTTTTTTTTTGAGACTGAGTGTTGCTCTGTCACCCAGGCTAGCATGCAGTGGCACAATCTCGGCTCACTGTAACCTCTGCCTTTCAGGTTCAAGCTATTCTCATGCCTCAGCCTCCAGAGGAGCTAGGCTGGTCTTCAACTCTTGGCCTCAAGTGATCTGCCTGCTTTGGCCTTCCAAATTGCTGGGATTATGGGCGTGAGCCACCACAGCACCCGGCCAGTGCCGCATCTTAGAACACTCTTGAGGTGCTTTCTGATTTTTAGGTAAGTGTTTAAACCCATGTAATACATTACAATTGACTCAGTAAACTATTATCTATGCCTTGAAATTTGGATTAGGAACCCCTAATGGTGAATAAGGTTATGTTGTAAGGATGTGATATGTCAAATATCAGAGAGAACTACAGGACGGGTCAGCAATTAAGTTGCTAATGGGGCCAAGCACAGTACAAAGTAAAGGTGGAGGATGAGGTGGGACTTTGGGAGATGAAGCTAGTTTCTAAGGAAAAGGAAAAAAATAAAGCAGCAAAAAGTAGTCCTATCTCTGATCCTTTCCTCAACTCTGAAAGAGTAATAGCTCTTTTCTTGGGCACTAAAACCACATTGAGACACAGTGGCCATTTTATAGGTGTCAGTTATTTTATCTTTATTATTTTTATTTAAATCATGACACTGTTGAGCTAATTAAATCCTTCCTGACTATCTTCAGGCCAATCGATCATTTCTTTGCTTTGGTATCTATCTATGTTTCAACAACACGTGTATTTACATACAACTACATAATTTTAATAAAAACACATGATCCTTATAACTCTTCAGGTTTTTTCCTAGCTGAAGTAAAACATCTGTGAGATATTTACAGCCTCTCTCCCCCAAAATGATTTTTTTAAATTTATTTTTATTGTGTATAGTTAATATATACAAAATGATGTTTTGATAAACACATACACAGTGAAATGCTTACTATAGGTAAGCAAATTAGTATACTCATCACTTTCCATAGGTAACTTATGTGTGATGAGAGTTCCTAAAATCTACTTTCTTAGCAAATTTAATTATATAATACAATATTATTAACTGTAGTTAATAATATTATAATGCTGTACATTATAATATCAGATATCTAAACATTCATTTTACATAGCTGCAAGTTTGTACATTTTTGACTTATATCTCCCCATTTTCTCTTCCTCTGTGTCCCTGGTAACTAGCGTTCTACTTTCTGTTTCCATATATTTGACTATTTCTTAGAATCCACATATAAGTGAGATCATGCAGTATCTATTTTCCTGTGTCTGGCTTATTTGACTTAGTATAATGTCTTTCAGATTCATTATATTGTTGCAAATGGCAGGATTGCCTTCTTTTTCAAGGCTGAATAGAATTCATTTGTATGTATATATAAAATGACAATTTATTTATCCATTGATGGACACTTGAGTTGTTTTCATACCTTTGTTCCTGTGCATGATGCTGCAATAAACATGGGAATGTAGATCTTTCTACAAGGTGCTGACTTCATTTCCTTTACGTAGATACCTAGCAGAGGTATTGCTGGTTTTATAGTAGTTATATTTTAAATTTTTTAAGGAAGCTCCAAACTATTTTCCAAAATGGTTGTACCAATTTACATTCTCAGAAACAGTGTACAAGAGTTACCTATTCTCCACACCCTGGCTAACAATGATTATTTCTCATTTTTTTTTTTGATAATAGCTATACTAACAGGTGTGAGGTGATATCTCACTGTAGCTTTGATTTTCATTTCCCTGATGATTAGTGACATTAAACATCTTGTCATATGTCTGTTGGCAATTTGTATGTCTTCCTTAGAAAAATGTCTGTTCAGACCTTTTGCCCATTTTTAGTATTTATTTATTTTTCCCTTTAATTTTTATTTTAATTTTTATGGGTATATAGTAGGTATACATATGAATATATATGTGAATATATATTCATATGTATACTCACATAAATACGAATATATATGAATATATATATTCACATATACAAATATATATATATTCATGGGGTACATGAGATATTTTGATACACAGATACAATGCATAATAATCACATCAGAGTAAATGAGATATTCATCACCTCAGGCATTTATCCTTTCTTGGTGTTATGGGCATTCCAACTATACTCTTTTTGTTATTTAAAAATTTACAATAAATTGTTGAGTGTAGTCACCCTGCTATGCTATCAAATACTAGATATTATTCATTCTATCTAACTATATTTTTGTACTTATTAACCATCCCCACTTTTCCTCTACTCCCCACTACTCTTCCCAGCTTCTGGTAACCATCATTCTACTGTATACTCCATGAATTCAATTATTTCAATTTTTTGCCCCTGCAAATGAGTGAGAACATAAGTTTGTCTTTCTGTGCTTGGCTTATTTCACTTAACATAATGTCTTCCAGTTCCATCCACGCTGTTGAACATGACAGGGTCTCATTTTTTTATGGCTGAATAGTGCTTTTGTGTATATGCACTACATTTGCCTTATCCATTCATCTACTGATGAACACTTCGGTTTGCTTACAAATCTTGGTTATTTTCAATAATGTTGCAATAAACATGGGAGTCTAGGTATCTCTTCGATGTATTGTTTTACTTCCTTTTGGGTACATACCAGTAAAATTACTGAATCATATGGTGGTTTTACTTTTAGTTTTCTGAGGACCCTCCATACTGTTCTCCATAGTGGTGGTAGTAATTTATATTCCCAGTCTTTTATATCCTTGCCAGCATTTGTTATTTCCTGTCTTTTGGATAAAAGCCATTTTAAATGGGGTGAGATGAAATCATATTGTAGTTTTGATTTGCATTTCTCTGATGATCAGTGATATTGAGAAACCTTTCATTTACTCGTTTGCCATTTGTATATCTTCTTTTGAGGAAGGTGTATTCAGATATTTTTCCCATTTTAAATTGGATTATCAGATTTTTTACTATTGAGTTGCTTGAGCTTCTTATAAATTCTGGTTATTAATCCCTTGTCAGATGTAGAGTTTGCTAATATTTTTCCCATTCTATGGGTTGTCTCTTCACTTTGTTGATCATTTCCTTTGCTGTGAAGGAGATTTTTAACTTGATATGATCCCCTTTGTCCATGTTTACTTTGGTTGCTTGTAGTTGTTGGGTGTTACTCAATAAATATTTGCCCAAATTCAGCCTTAGAGCCTTTCCCAAATGTTTTCTTTAGTAGTTTTGTAGTTTAAGGTCTCAGATTTCAGTCTTGAATCCATTTTGATTTCATTTTTGTGTACGGCAAGAAAAGAGTATAGTTTTATTCTTCTGCATATGGATACCCAGTTCCAAACACCATTAATTGTAGAGACTGTCCTTTCCCTAATGTATTTTCTTGAGTCTTTATATGGATTTATTTCTGTGTTATCTATTTTGTTACATTGGTCTATGTGTCTGTTTTTGTGCCATCACAATGCTGTTTTGTTTATTATAGCTCTGTAGTATAACTGGAGGTAATGTCATTCATCCAGTTTTGTTCCTTTTGCTCAGGATAGCTTTGGCTGTTCTGAGTCTTTTGTGGTTCCACATAAATTTTAGAATACTTTTTTCTATTTAGGTGAGAAGGTAAATGGTATTTTGATAGAAATTTCTTTGAATTGCAGATTGCTTTGGGTGTTATGGGCATTTTGACAATGTTAAATCTTCCAATCCATGAACATAAAATATTTTCACCTTTTTTGTATCATCTTCAATATCTTGCATCAATGTTTGTTAGTTTTCATTGTAGAGATCTTTCACTTTTTTGGTTAAGTTTATTCCTTGGGATTTTATTTTATTTGTAGCTAATGTAAATGGGATTACTTTCTTGATTTCTTTTTCATATTTTTCACTGTTGACATATAGAAATACAGTTTTTTTGTATTTTTATTTGGTATTCTGAAACTTTACTGAATTTATTCTAAAGGGTTTTTGATGGCATCACTAGGAGTTTCTAAATATAAGTTATCATCTACAAATGCAGATAATTTGTTTTTTTCTTTTACAATTTAGAAGCCATTTACTTCTTTCTATTGATGGCTCTTACTAGGACTTCCAGAATTATGCTGAATAACGGTAGGGACAGTAGGCATCCTTATCTTGTTCCAAATCTTAGATCCAAGGCTTTCAGTTGTTGTTATGTTCCTTCTAAGCCCATTATTATTATCATTATTTTTAAATGGAGTCTCACTCTGTCTCCCAGGCTGGAGTGCAGTGGCACGATCTGGGCTCACTGCAAGCTCCGCCTCCTGAGTTCCCACCATTCTCCTGCCTTAGCCTCCAGAGTAGCTGCGACTACAGGTGCCCGCTACCACGCCCAGCTAATTTTTTTTTGTATTTTTTACTAGAGATGGGGTTTCACCGTGTTAGCCAGGATGGTCTCGATCTCCTGACCTTGTGATCTGTCTGCCTCAGCCTCACAAAGTGCTGGGATTACAGGCGTGAGCTACCGCGCCTGGCCTAAGCCCAGTATTTTGAAGATTTTTACCATAAAAGAATGCTGAATTTTGTCAAATGCCTTTTCAGCATTGATTAAGATGATCATATTGTTTTATCCTTCATTCTGTTGATATGGTGTATCACACTGATTGATTTGTGTATGTTGAACCATCCTTGTATCCCTGGGATAAATTCCACTTGGTCATGGTGAATGATTTTTTTTAACAATATTGTTTTTAATCACACTATTTTTAACACAATGAAATTTCACTTATTAAAAAAAAAACGCAATGGTCTTTTAAGTGTGGAATATTAAGATATTTTCAGGACTGAGGGTACCATAGATTCTATTAATTTGCTGATATCTCATTCACTTATAAGGAGGCCAGCTTTGAAAGCCATTATAACCTGCACATATATGTTTTTTAAAAATAAAAATAAGAATGCCGTACACTTATGTAGCACTTTGCCTGTCAAAGTAGATTTGTTCCGATTTTCCACTGGGTAATGTGAGGTGAGGCAGGTATTGTCACTGGGGTCTCAGAGAACAAGGGTTGATAGGTGCAGCAAACCACCATGGCACATGTATATCTGTGTAACAAACTGGCATGTTCTGCACATGTATCCCAGGACTTAAAGTAAAATGAATGATGTTTTTAATGCATTGGTGAATTTGGTTTGCTAGTATTTTGTTGAGGATTTTTGCATCTATGTTTATCAGAGATATTGTCCTGCATTTTTGTTTTTTTGATGTGTCTTCATCCTGTTTTGGTATCAGGATATTACTGGCCTCATAGAATTAGTAGTGCTTCCAATGAGTTTGGTAATATTCTCTCCTCCTCTGTATATTGGAACACTTTGAGTAGTATTTGTATTAGTTCCTCATAAGTGTTTGCTAGAATTTAGCAATAAATCCAGTGGGCCCTGAGGTTTTTTTTTTTTTTTTTTTTTTGGCTGGGAGAATTTTTCTTATGACTTTAATCTTCTTACTTGTTATTAGTCTATTTCGGTTTTAGATTTCTTCATCATTTGATACTGGTAATTTGTATGTGTCTGGGAATTTACCTGTTTCCTCTAGGTTTTCCAATTTATTGGCATATAGTTGCTCATAGTAGTCTACAATGATCCTTTGGATTTCTGTGGTATCAGTTGTAATATCACCTTTTTCATCTGCTTTTAAAATTTTGATCTTCTCTCTTTTGTTTTTAGTCTGGCTAAAGGTTGGTTGATTTTTTTTATCCTTTCAGAAATCAATCTTTTCATTTCATTGATGTTTTGTATTTTCCCCTGTTTCAATTTCATTTACTTCTGCTCTGATCTGTATTATTTCTTTTTTTCTACAAATTTTGAGTATGCCTTGCCCTTATTTTTCTAGTTATTTAAGACATGTTATTAGGTTTTTCATTAAAAATTTATATGCCTTTTTAATGTAGGCACTTATTGGTATAAACTTTCCTCTTAACATTGCTTTCTCTGTATCCCGTAGATTTTGGGATGTTGCATTTTCATTTTCAGTGGCTTCATGAATTTTTAAAATTTTTGTTTTAATTTCTTCATGGGCCCACTGGTCATTCAGGAAAATTTTGTTTAACTTCCACGTGTTTTTATAGTTTCCAAAGTACCTCTTGTTATTGCTGTTTAATATTATTCTATTGTTCTCTGAGAAAACACTTGACATGATCTCATTTTCTTTTAATTTTGTGAGTCTTGTTTTGTGGCCTAACATATAGTCTCTCCTTGAGCATGATGTATGTGCTGAGGAAAAGAATGTATATTCTGCAGTTGTTAAATAAAATATTCTGTAAATATCTATTAGATCCATTTGGTCTATAGTGCCTATTAAGTCTGATATTTCTTTATTGATTTCCTGTCTGGATAATCTGTCCAATCCTGCAAGTGGGATGGTGAAATCTAAAACTATTATTGTATTGGGATCTATCACTCTCTTTAGCTCTTATAACATTTGTTTTATATATCTGTGTTCTCTAGTGTTAGGCGCATATATATTTAAAATTGTTATATCCGCTTGCTGAATTGACCCTTTTATCAATATATAATGACTTTCTTTGCCTCTTTTTGTAGTTATTGTCTTAAAATCTATTTTATCTGATATATATATATATATATATATATATATATATATATATATAGCTACTCCTGCTGTTCTTTGAATGCCATTGGTGTGGGATATCTTTATCCATCTGGTTTTTTTTTTCAGTGTATGTCTTTATAGGTGAGGTGTGTTTCTTGAAGGCAGCATATTGTTGAGTTTAGTTTTAATGCATTCAGTCACTCTACTTTTTTTTATTGGAGTGTTTAGTCTATTATATTTAATGTTATTATTGATAAATAAGGACTTACTACTACCACTTTGTTATTTGTTCTCTGGTTGTCTTGGGGTCTTCTCTTCCTTCTGTCCTTCCTGTCTTACTTTTTGTGAAAGTGTTTTTCTCTGGTGGTATGTTGTAATTTTTTGATTTTTATTTTGTGTGTGTGTGTGTGTTTATATTTTTTAGGTTTTTTGATTTGAGGTTACCATGAGGCTTGCAAATAACATAACTCATTACTTTAAATTGATGACTACTTAACTCTTATTGCAAAAACAAAGAAAAACTAATAAAAACTCTACACTTTAACTTCATACTTCTTGCTCTGTAAGTTTTTGTTGTTTCTATTTATATCTTCTTATACTATATATGTCTTTAAAAGTTGTTGGAGTTATTATTTCACATAGATTTGTCTTTTAGTCTTCCTACTCAAGATACGAGTAGTTTACACACCACAATTACAGTTACAGTATTTTATATTTGTCTGTGTACTTATTTCCAGTCAGTTTTGTACTTTCAAATGATTTCTTATTGCTCCTTAATGTCTTTTTCTTTCAGATTAAAAACTTTCTTTAGGAAAGATCTGGTATGGATGAAATCCCTCAGGTTTTGTTTGCCTGGGGAATTTTTTTATTTCTCCTTCATGTCTGCAGGATATTTTCACTGGATATACTATTCTTGGATAAAAGATTTTTTTGTTTGGTTTGTTTTTGGTTTTGTTTTTGTTTTCCCTTCAGCACTTTAGATATGCCATGCCACTCTCTCCTGGCGTGTAAGGTCAAGGCTTTAAGTCTGCTGCCAGATGTATTGGTGCTCCTTTGTATGTTATTTGTTGCTTTTTTTCTTGCTGCCTTTATGATCCTTTCTTTATTTTTGATGTTTGGGAGTTTGCTTATTAAATCTCCTGAGTTAGTCTTATTTGGGTTACATCTGCTTGTGTTCTATAACCTTGTTGTACTTAAATATTGATATATTTCTGTAGGTTTGGAAAGTTCTCTGTTATTTTTTTCAATACACTCTCTGCCCCAATCTCTCTTTCTATCTCCTATTTAAGGCCAATAACTCTTAGATTTTCCATTTTCATGCTATTTTATAAATCTTGTAGGCATGCTTCATTTTTTTTTGTTATTGCTTTCCTCTGTCTGTGTGTTTTCAAATAGCCTGTTCAAGCACACAAATTCTTTCTTCTCCTTCATCCATTCTGCTCTTGAGAGACTCTGATGCATTTTTCTGTTTGTCAGTTAATAGGGCTGTTCCAGAATTTCTGCTTGAGTTTTTAAGATTATTTTAATCTCTTTGTTAAAATTATCTGATGGAATTCTGAATTTCTTCTCTGTAATATCTTGAATTTCATTGTGTTTCTTCAAAACAGCTATTTTGAGTTATCTGAAAGGTCACATATCTCTGTTACTCTGGGATTGCTCATTGATGCCTTATTTAGTTTGGCAAAGTCATGTTTTCCTAGATGGTCTTAATGCTTTTGGATGTTTGTCAATGTCTGGACATTGAAAAACTAGTTTATTCTAATCATTGCAGTCTGAGCTTATTTATACCCATAATTCTTGATAGGGCTTTCCAAGTATTTAAAGGGAATTGAATGTTGTTCTAAGTCTTTGGTCACTGTATGCATTAGGGGGCACCCCAAGCCCAGTAACACTTTAAGTCTTGCTGACTTATACAGGTGCCACCTTGGTGATCTTCAGTAAGATACAAGAGAATTCCCTGTATTACCAGGTGAAGTCTTGTTCTCTTTACTTACTTTCTCCCAAGCAGTGTCTCTATTTCTCTTCGTACTGAGCTGCCTGAAGTTGGAGAAGGGGTGTCACAAGCCTTCCTGTGACTACCATTGCTGGGACTCTTCTTGGTCACAGCTGAGGCTAGCACAGTACTGAGTCTTGCCCAAGGCCTATGGTGACTACTGTCTGGCTATGGCTGCTGTATATTCAATGCTCAAGGGCTCTTTAGTCAGAGGTAGTGAATCCTGCCAGGCCTAGGTCTTTCATTTCAGGGCCGCAGGTTCCCTTCTGGCCCAGGGTGAGTCTAGAAATGTCATCTGGGAGCTATGCCCTAGTATTGGGGTCTTTATGAGTTAGCTTTGTGCTTTATTTTACTACGGCTGAGCTGTTACCGAACTTGCAAGACAAAGTTCTCTTTACTCTTCTCTCTCTTTTCCTCAAGCTGGAGGAATTCTCCCAGAATTGTGAGCTGTGTTGCCAGAGTTGGAGGAGGGATGACACTCCCTTTGCTGCTCCAGCTGGTTTCTTACTGAGTTACATGCACCCCAAGTCCACTGGCTCCAAGCCCAGCAAAGCACCAAGACTGCCCAGGAATTACAGTCCTTGTGGTCTAGGCAGCCTTTCTAATTTATTTAGGATCTCAGGGCAATTTAACTCATGGTGGTGGTGCTAGCCATGGCTCAGGTTCTTACTTCTCGGATGTGCTATTTCCCTTTGACTAGGGCTGGTCTAAATCCTTCCTCCTTGGAGGCTGGCTGAATTCTGCCTTGCATTACTTTCCCCTGTGACAAGTCAGCACTGAGTTATAATGTGAAGTCTCAAAATCAATGCACTCTCCCTCTCCCAAGCATATAGATTCTCTGTCCTACTGCCTTGTGGTGAACTGGGGGATGGGGGAGGGGTGGTGTACGCAAATAAAGACTGTCTTTCCTACCTTCTTTCATACCTGTTTCCTTGATATGAGGTTAAAGGCATACACTGTAGTTGCTAGCTTGATTTTTGGTCATGAAGATGCTTTCTTGTGTAGACAGTTGTTCAATTTGGTGTTCCTGCAAGGGGAACGATTGCTGGATGCTTCTCTTCAGCCATCTTGTTTCTCCTCCTACCAAATGAATAATTAAGAAGAATAAATGGCACAGCCATTATTTACCTAATTATCAAATTTATCGTATTATTATCTTATCTTATAAGAAATTTGTTGTGACCATAGCCTTTCAGGATTGTTTGACTATTCTGTGGTAGTTTTTGTTTTCTTTACTTAAGTAAAAACTTCATTTTCTTCAGAAGATAAAAGACTATTTGGCCTTCAGTTTTGTAGACAACCATGAGACTAAAAAACTGTTCTTAAGGACCATAATGTCTGCACAACAAAACCTCTAGTTATCAAGCCTCTTCCTGACTGGCAGATCTGAAGTTAGAAGATGTTGGTAGTGGTGCTTTGAAGATCCTCCAAAGAAACCTGTTTGCAGCCCATACATATTGTCAGATTATTTCCTAAGAACTGAAGAAATGGATTGTCAAATAATTGTTGAAGATCCAGGTCCAAAAGCCTGTCACATAAGTATTAATGGAATTTTAAATTAATTAATGCCTTATATATTAATAGTATATCTTTGATTAGATAATGAGAGAATATATGACCTTTGCAAGAAAATTGAATTTAGTCTTGGATAACTACAACAGTTGTAATAGAAACAGATACTCTCCATAATGGGGCAAGGGAGCAAGAACTTATCCCCTTCCCCTTATTTTCAATTAATTACATTTCAGCTCTCCACTAATTTATTCTAATATGACCTAGATATCACTGGTTTTTGAATCAAACTTATGCTGCACATTTAAAAAAATGTCTTACAATTCAACAACAAAAGATGGTTGCATTTTGTTTTATAAACCACCAACCTTGTTACTTTAGGAAAGCTCTATAGGGCAGCTTTATTTCTGGGGAACTACTTCATAGTATATTTATTGATGTTTTCTTTTCTTCTCCTCCTCCTCTCTCTCCTCCTCCTTCACTGAATTTCTCTTGCTCTCAGTATAATTAAAAATTAGTTTTTTTTTTATACAAAGAGTAGGTAGAAGGAGTCAAACCTAGTGCTCAAAATAGTATAGTTATTGATTATTCCATCTTCCGGAAAATGTGACCTTTTTGTTTTTGTAAAAGTTACTAACATGGCACATGTATACATATGTAACTAACCTGCACAATGTGCACATGTACCCTAAAACTTAGAGTATAATAATAAAAAAAAAAACATTAAAAATAAAAAATAAAAAAAATAAAAAAAAACAAAACAAAACAAAAAAAAAAGTTACTAACAAAACCATTAAAAATCTTGTTAAGGAAACCTTAATTTTCTGAGTATTTTCTTACCCATACCTCAATATTGAGGCAAATTGAAGATGATAATCCCCTTTTTCATTTCATTTTAGATAATTTTCCATGAATAATTCAATGAACAGCTTTCATTTGACTTTTAATTTCTTTCATAGTCCCCAGGAATATTACAACATTTTTCTTTACGTTTGAAAAAAGAAGAAAAACACCTAATATGATTGCTAAGAAAAAGGAAAATTATTTTCCTTGAGTGTAAAGTGGATATTGTTGACCTTTAATTCACTATGCAGTTATTCACAAATTGTTTGTAGTAAGCTGGTAAAGTACAGGATCAGATATGGATCCTACCTTGGGATTCAATGGAACAGAGAAACAGGGCAGCAAGGAGGTATGCTGAGTCACAGAATAACCTTACCCCCTGCTGCCACTGCCTTAGTCCAAGCTGCCATGTCTCCTTACTTGTATTATTCTAACTGTTCTTGCTTCCTCTCCTGGATTCTGGCAGTGTATTCTGAATACAGCAACCAGAGTAAAACTTCTAAATTAGGCCAGTCATGTTATTTAGCTTCTTAGAGGCCTCTGGTTTATATCTTTTATCTCTCACAAGAATCTCACTAAACTCCATTAGGATAGAGAATTTGATGTGATTGGTCACTACTATATCCCCAGTTCTTGGGAGAGAGAATGCTTGATGTATAGGAACTATTTCTTCATATTTTTGAATTAATGATATTCTGGAAGCATGATGTCTCAAAGATAGAAATTTGAGCACCCTCTATAAGTCTTCAGAAGGTGATTGGAAATGTGGAAGGAGACCCTAGGTCAGTGACTCAGTGAAGCAAAGAAAGTCAACTTCATCTTTCTAGAGAAATGTCCAAAATGTATGCTAACTGGAGACATTAAGAGACATATGACACCAACATGCTGAGTGATTTATCAGAGCATTGGCAAGGTACAGAATTTACCCCATATGGTTCAAATGAAAATGGTTCTATGAAAGGAATGCATATGGTATGTGATCAGGATTAAAGGAGCAGAAGCAGCAGGAAACCATTAATACCCACTAGGGCTGAAGGAACAAGGAGAGAAAACAGTACTGTGTGACCAGTGAGATATGGAACTGTAGGCCACATGCAGTGGCTCACACCTGTAATCCTAGCACTTTGGGAGGCCGAGGTATGTGAAACACTTGAAGTCAGGAGTTCGAGACTAGCCAGGCCAACATGGGGATACCCCGTATCTACTAAAAATACAAAAATTAGCCTGGCGTGGTAGCACATGCTGGTAATCTCAGCTATTTGGGAAGCTGAGGCAGGAGGATTGCTTGAACCTGGGAGGCGGAGGTTGGAGTGAGCCGAGATTGTGCCACTGCACTCCAGCCTGGGTGACAAAGCATGACTCTACCTAAAAAAAAAAAAAAAAAAAAAAAAAGAGGGAGAAGGAAAAAAAAGAAGATATGGAACTGTAAAAGAGGGACCAACCAGTAGGAATTCTCATCAGAGAGGGATGCAATTTTTACCACAGAGAGGGATGCAGCTCTGAGACAGGGAAGGGGAAGGAGATACCCTGCATTCTCTCTTCTACATTGCCCTCCCCTACTGCCTTCCATTAACCCAGCTGGATGCCAGGCAGGAAGGGATCTCAACTGCTACCCTCTGCATGAGTTGGCCTTCTTGGGCTCAGAGCAGGGCAGAGAAGTGTCAAGAGACTGGATCTTGAGGGGGTGAGAATAGAGAGGCACAGGAGATATCACCATGGGATATAATCATGCTTCTGATTTTCTCACTGATCAGACCACACCTAGAGCACTGTGCTCATTTCTGGCCATTACCTTCTAACATGGTCATTGACAAACAAACCTATATAATACCAATGATCATGAACAGATACTGTAGGAACTGGGGTTATTAAGCTTGAGAATAGATGATTTAAGGATTATGCATAACTGGCTACATAATTTGCAAGGCCCACTGCAAAATAAAAATCAGGGAGCATTTGTTCAAAAGTTATTAAGAATATTAAAATAACAACAGGGAGGATTCAATCAAACATATTGCAACTCAAATTCTCAATCCCAAGTTTCATGCTCATGTATGTAGACCTGGGAACATGTCAGCCTCCATCAGACATTTAAGGTACTGGCATGAGGACAACAGGTCAATAGGTAAAGATTAGTCTGTGTCTTAAGAGAGTAAAACTCACATCCAAGGATTGGAATTTTACCAAGTGCTTTTGTTTGTTGTTTTAAAATAAGTTCAGCTGTTTCATAATGAAATATACTTTCTATTACTGGAAAATCTTTAAGAGATACTATAGAAAGATTGAATGTTAGCATGGATGTTGGACAAAATGACTATTATGGATGCTTTCAACTATAAAGATTGAGACATCTGACATTTTTAAAAAACTTATGAACTGAAATATTATTCTTCATTATGGACAGATATTAGCCTGAGCCCTCCCCACTCCCACCAACACATACACATGCATGCATATACATACACAGTATATAATGATCTCCATGGCAAAAGTGTGACAATGCAGAGAAAGAGAGAGCAAATCAAATGCATAGAGGGCAAATGCAAGCCTTTACCTGTGCACTTTAGGAAGCCAAGACCAGATGAGAGCCTTGTTTTCTAGTCTAATGTTATTTCCATGAAATATGAGAGAATAAAGTTCCTTAGGATAAGTCAGCCCCTTTAAGAAAGTAACAAACATCAATTTGTTTGATGGCAGTAAATTGAAAAATGTTGCATTATCATTATTTTAGTTATACCAAAGTATGTACATTTTAAAAAATGTATTATCTTGATGCAGAATACCTATTGAAAAATAACAATGTTATTTTTGAAGCAGTACTCCTGCTTCACAATCTCAATTTTTGAATGCTCTAATACTCTTCATTTGGTCATTTTAGGAAGTTATACAGATACATGTTCCTCTGAACTTCGCCAGTACTTACAGTATTGTACAATACTTATTTGTGACTTCTCATCAACACCCAACTGGTTAGATGCTGTTATTTTTACTGGTTGTATATTAAGACAATAAATAATTTCATACTTGGGTAGCAAAGAATTGTTACTGACTAGTTCATATTTCTGGGTTCCCCACCACCATTTCCAAAAGAGGGACTTTTTCTTCTTCCCAAATAAAACTGTGCACAGATGCCAAATGCATAAGGCAAATGAAAGTAAAACCACTGTATTTAAAGTAAGCACAGTGAGCACAGAGCCCTACTAATTTACTTCCCCCTCATCTCCAATTTTAGCTTCTGAGGCAACACAATGTGTAAACCAGTGATCTGGTTCAACTTGCTCAATTTACGAATAAGGAAACATAGCCTAAAGAGGTTTAGTGAGGTATTCAAAGTCAAACAGCTTATTAGAAGTAGAGGCAGGATAAAAACAAAGTCTGTGAACCCTAATGCTGTTTTCTATACACTATGCTACCTGGGTGGTACACGAATTAAATACACTACCCATCGTATGGATAGAAAAGAGTTTAGAGTATTCCAACAGTGAGGGAAAGTGTCACTTTTGAGTACAAAAAATCTATATGCTTTCTCATTTGTTTGTTTTAATTTGTTAAATTTGTTTAATTTGTTAGCTTATTTAATTATTCATTTTTCACAGGAAATGAACAGGAAACACAGGATAGATGAATAAATAGAAAATGATAAAGATACAGACACCACACAAGCTATGCAATTACAGTTCTGTGTAGGCGAAAGACTTGTTAAAAATGAATCTGTTCTCTTATGAGTGCCCAGAGACTCCAACTAGTTATCCTTATGCCTGGAGCAGAGCTTTATATACAGTGGGGACTAGTCCCTTTTTTATTGTTTTTAGATGTTCTATGGTAAATATTTAATATTTTTCATCTTTTGGGAATACGTGACTTGCATGGAAAAATCAAGAAGTGACTAGGAAAAAATATATTCTTATTTACAAAGCAACATTTTTTTTCCAAACATAACTGGATGCATTCTCTTGTTATTTTAGAGCATTTCAATAAAAGATTTAAACCTTAAAATTCAGGAGAACTTTGGATTTATGTTTTTGTTCCCATTCTCTAGCTACTGAAAAGAGATAGAGACCAGCAATTTTAAAATATTTCTTGGATTTTGGGTTGCATATTTTAGGACTTTATCTGAAACAAACAAAAAAAAATGTTCTACATTTTGTGTTTTTTAAATATTGAGCCCATTTCTATGGCTATATATTGATGTGAATAGACATTTCACCTACTGGATTCTTGCTTGAAATACATTTTAAATGTATGGTTTATCATGTTCTTGCTTAAAACTGCTGCTGATTCAAACCATATAGGATATTTCTTTTTGTCTAACCATTTGACAATCTTAGACATATATAGTCTAAGCATATATGTTTGAGAATTGTTCAGGTTTTTGTCTAATTCACTCCCTCTTCACAGTCTCAGCTAAAGAAAGAAAGCCAATCAAAACTATACCCATCACAATGTAAAATGATGTAACAGCTGCGGAAACCATTTGGTCGTTCCACAAACAGTTAAATGTAGAGTTTACATGTGAAACAAAAATTCCACTCCTAGGTATTTGAGAACTCCTAGGTTCTCAAAGTATTGAGAACAGAAACTCAAACAAATATTTGTATATCAATGTTCATAAAAACATTGCTTATGATAGCCAAATAAACTTGGTGTTCATCAGTAGATAAACAGATGAACAAAATGTTGTCCTGTATATTCATACAATGGCATGTTTAGCCTTAAGAAGGAATGAAGTCTGATACATGCCACAACATGGATAAACCCTGAGAACACTAGACTGAAAAAATAAACCAGATACAAGAAGACAAATATTGTATGATTTCAATTATTTGAAATATCTGGAATAGATACGTTGATGGAGATAGAAAGTAGAGTAAAGACTACCAGGGACTGGAGAAGTGGGAACTGGGGAGTGATTGCTTATTGGGGATGGAGTTTCTATCTGAGGTGAAGTGATTTTGGAAATAGTGCTAATAGTTACTTAGCACTGTGAATGTGTATGATGCCACTGAATTTTACCCTTAAAATGGTTAAGATGGAAAATTTGATTATATGTATTTTACCACAATTTAAAAAAAAAGTATATACTCATAATCTCTAAAGGAAAAACACAAGTAGCAGGAAAAATCATATTTGTCCTCAAAATGACTATTATTGTAGTAGGTGGGCTTCATGCTCCAGAGGTTTGGGCACTAATATTAGATGAGAATGAATTTGTTATTATTGTGCTCCTCATTCGTGCTAGACACTGCTATGGTAACTGGGGTTACAGAGGTGAGTAAGAAAGGCACACCCTCTGCATCTTGGAGATACCAGTGAGGATGGCCAAGAAACAACAAGCAAACATAGAAAGAAGCAAATTTAAGTTATAAGTGCCATCACGGAAACAAGCAAGAGATGAAAATAGAAAATGTGTGTGTTTGTGTGTGTGTGTGTGTTCGTGTGTACTGGTGAGGATGAAGAGTTTGGGAACATCCTGCTTTATTAAAAAGAAGCATGAGATTCAGAGTAAAAAAAAAAAAAGTAGACAAAAATTCAGAAAAAAAAGGGATGGCAGTGTAGTCTGGCCATTGATTTACCCGGCAGTGGAAAGTAGAAAAGAATAATATGAATGGGTCTGGAGACACTCTTTACCTTAGACACCAGCCACTTTGAGGGAGGAAGTATATGAGTAAGAACAGGATGGCAATTTTGCTAATATACTACATGTATGATAAGTTTTAGATTGCTGTTAAATGTTGTTTGGCTAGAGAAACCCAGGATTAATAGAACCATGCTTTACAAATCATCTATTTCCCACAAGGCTTCCAAGGCAATAATATACTCAAGGAACAAGGACAAATGAGAAATGAAAGTTCCACTTTAATTTTAGTTGGGGCAGTGCCTGTAACTGCCAATTAAATGTTTTGAAAAATCTGGATTCAAGTACAATATGTAAATTTGGACTCAACGTCCCGAAGAAAGGACTTCAGCCTCAAAGTCCAAGTCTTACCACTAACAGGCTGCCAAGTTCAAAGTGATTAGGGTTTCTGACCATCAGAGTACTAATACAAGGCAACTAAGAATGCTAGAATAATGGGTTTCCTTGCAGTATGGAGAGAAGGGACCACCATATGCATATAGGTAAACTCACACTTTGTAAATGTGACTCATTCACTGGGCATTCTGAAATCTGAACAAACAGTTTAATATCTGCTCTTGGTGAAGTTTTAGGTTGAACTGAGATATTAAAAGGATTTTCACAGTCAAATAATGAGGAAATCATAATTCATGTCAGTCAGAGAGAGAAAATGACCCCAAACTTGAAGACTGTATTCCAATATACCTAGAAAATGAGGTACTTTGTTAAAATAAGGTATAATAGGATAAGAAGCTGAAAATAGAACTTAAGGCCATACTACTTTAAAAAAACAGGCAAAAAAACAGCCTCTTATTTTTATGCTTTGAGCAGTCATTTTTAAGCTTGTGGAAAGATAGTTACCGAATCTGGGTTTAGAAAGATATATTCTGGGGGCTATGTGTGAAAGAGGTGGTGCAGAGGAAAGAAACTCCTAGCAGGGATGGTAGTAAGCATGCAGTCACTACTTACCAAACACAAGATGATCATTTTTATTCATATTACTAGAAAAGTGACTAAAAATTTTTTTCCATCATGTAAGAAAATATGGTGAATCATGACCATTATTTTCAAAATATATCACGCAATCATAGACTTTTCAGGAGCAATACCTCCTATTACAGTTCCTAGGTAGAAGACAGGGGAGAGGAGGTTTGCAAGATGGACAAAGTTGACAAGTATTTTCATGGCACATATAATTTTCTCAAATATGGAAAACATGATGTTTGTATGGAATGCTAAAATATGGATAAGTATAGATAAGAAATATTGCCCCATATTTTCCCTCATTTTAATAACCATGGTCAATATTTTAGGGCATATTCCTATGTTTTCTGTGGAATTGTTTTATAACCACTTTCTCCAAAATTGTCTTATGTTGCATTTAGTGTCCTCAGATAATATTGTTTCTAATCATGGTGGGATTACACACAAATTATATAAATTACATACAACAGACAGAAAAATTGTTTTTTTCTTGTTTTTTTGTTTTATTATACTTTAAGTTTTAGGGTACATGTGCACATTGTGCCGGTTCGTTACATACGTATACATGTGCCATGCTGGTGCGCTGCACCCACTAACTCGTCATCTAGCATTAGATATATCTCCCAATGCTATCCCTCCCCCCTCGCCCCACCCCACCACAGTCCCCAGAGTGTGATATTCCCCTTCCTGTGTCCATGTGATCTCATTGTTCAATTCCAACCTATGAGTGAGAATATGCGGTGTTTGGTTTTTTGTTCCTGCGATAGTTTACTGAGAATGATGATTTCCAATTTCATCCATGTCCCTACAAAGGACATGAACTCATCATTTTTTATGGCTGCATAGTATGCCATGGTGTATATGTGCCACATTTTCTTAATCCAGTCTATCATTATTGGACATTTGGGTTGGTTCCAAGTCTTTGCTATTGTGAACAATGCCGCAATAAACATATGTGTGCATGTGTCTTTATAGCAGCATGATTTATAGTCCTTTGGGTATATACCCAGTAATGGGATGGCTGGGTCAAATGGTATTTCTAGTTCTAGATCCCTGAGGAATCGCCACGCTGACTTCCACAATGGTTGAACTAGTTTACAGTCCCACCAACAGTGTCAAAGTGTTCCTATTTCTCCACATCCTCTCCAGCGCCTGTTGTTTCCTGACTTTTTAATGATTGCCATTCTAACTGGTGTGAGATGGTATCTCATTGTGGTTTGGATTTGCATTTGTCTGATGGCCAGTGATGATGAGCATTTTTTCATGTGTTTTTTGGCTGCATAAATGTCTTCTTTTGAGAAGTGTCTGTTCATGTCCTTCGCCCACTTTTTGACAGGGTTGTTTGTTTTCTTCTTGTAAATTTGTTTGAGTTCATTGTAGATTCTGGATATTAGCCCTTTGTCAGATGAGTAGGTTGTGAAAATTTTCTCCCATGTTGTAGGTTGCCTGTTCACTCTGATGGTAGTTTCTTTTGCTGTGCAGAAGCTCTTTAGTTTAATTAGATCCCATTTGTCAATTTTGGCTTTGGTTGCCATTGCTTTTGGTGTTTTAGACATGAAGTCCTTGCCCATGCCTATGTCCTGAATGGTAATGCCTAGGTTTTCTTCTAGGGTTTTTATGGTTTTAGGTTGAACGTTTAAGTCTTTAATCCATCTTGAATTGATTTTTGTATAAGGTGTAAGGAAGGGATCCAGTTTCAGCTTTCTACATATGGCTAGCCACTTTTCCCAGCACCATTTATTAAATAGGGAATCCTTTCCCCATTGCTCGTTTTCCTCAGTTTTATCAAAGATCAGATAGTTGTAGATAAGTGGCATTATTTCTGAGGGCTCTATTCTGTTCCATTGATCTATATCTCTGTTTTGGTACCAGTACCATGCTGTTTTGTTTACTGTAGCCTTGTAGTATAGTTTGAAGTCAGGTAGTGTGATGCCTCCAGCTTTGTTCTTTTGGCTTAGGATTGACTTGGCAATGTGGGCTCTTTTTGGGTTCCATATGAACTTTAAAGCAGTTTTTTCCAATTCTGTGAAGAAAGGCAGTGGTAGCTTGATGGGGATGGCATTGAATCTGTAAATTACCTTGGGCAGTATGGCCATTTTCAAGATATTGATTCTTCCTACCCATGAGCGTGGAATGCTCTTCCATTTGTTTGTATCCTCTTCTATTTCCTTGAGCAGTGGTTTGTAGTTCTCCTTGAAGAGGTCCTTCACATCCCTTGTAAGTTGGATTCCTAGGTATTTTATTCTCTTTGAAGCAATTGTGAATGGGAGTTCACTCATGATTTGGCTCTCTGTTTGTCTGTTGTTGGTGTGTAAGAATGCTTGTGATTTTGGTACATTGATTTTTATCCTGAGACTTTGATAAAGTTGCCTATCAGCTTAAGGAGATTTTGGGCTGAGACAATGGGGTTTTCTAGATACACAATCATGTCGTCTGCGAACAGGGACAATTTGATTTCCTCTTTTCCTAATTGAATACCCTTTATTTCCTTCTCCTGCCTAATTGCCCTGGCCAGAACTTCCAACACTATGTTGAATAGGAGTGGTGAGAGAGGACATCCCTGTCTTGTGCCAGTTTTCAAAGGGAATGCTTCCAGTTTTTGCCCATTCAGTATGATATTGGCTGTGGGTTTGTCATAGATAGCTCTGATTATTTTGAAATACGTCCCATCAATACCTAATCTATTGAGAGTTTTTAGCATGAAGGGTTGTTGAATTTTGTCAAAGGCTTTTTCTGCATCTATTGAGATTATCATGTGGTTTTTGTCTTTGGCTCTGTTTATATGCTGGATTACATTTATTGATTCACATACATTGAACCAGCCTTGCATCCCAGGGATGAAGCCCACTTGATCATGGTGGATAAGCTTTTTGATGTGCTGCTGGATTTGTTTTGCCAGTATTTTATTGAGGATTTTTGCATCAATGTTCATCAAGGATATTGGTCTAAAATTCTCTTTTCTGGTTGTGTCTCTGCCCGGCTTTGGTATCAGAATGATGCTGACCTCATAAAATGAGTTAGGGAGGATTCCTTCTTTTTCTATTGATTGGAATAGTTTCAGAAGGAATGGTACCAGTTCCTCCTTGTACCTCTGGTAGAATTCGGCTGTGAATCCATCTGGTCCTGGACTCTTTTTGGTTGGTAAACTATTGATTATTGCCACAATTTCAGATCCTGAAATTCAGGTCTATTCAGAGATTCAACTTCTTCCTGGTTTAGTCTTGGGAGGGTTTATGTGTCGAGTAATTTATCCATTTCTTCTAGATTTTCTAGTTTATTTGCGTAGAGGTGTTTGTAGTACTGTCTGATGGTAGTTTGTATTTCTGTGGGATCGGTGGTGATATCCCCTTTATCGTTTTTTATTGCGTCTATTTGATTCTTCTCTCTTTTTTTCTTTATTAGTCTTGCTAGCGGTCTATCAATTTTGTTGATCCTTTCAAAAAACCAGCTCCTGGATTCATTACTTTTTTGAAGGGTTTTTTGTGTCTCTATTTCCTTCAGTTCTGCTCTGATTTTAGTTATTTCTTGCCTTCTGCTAGCTTTTGAATGTGTTTGCTCTTGCTTTTCTAGTTCTTTTAATTGTGATGTTAGGGAGTCAATTTTAGATCTTTCCTGCTGTCTCTTGTGGGCATTTAGTGCTATAAATTTCCCTCTACACACTGCTTTGAATGCGTCCCAGAGATTCTGGTATGTTGTGTCTTTGTTCTCGTTGGTTTCAAAGAACATCTTTATTTCTGCCTTCATTTCGTTATGTAGCCAGTAGTCATTCAGGAGCAGGTTGTTCAGTTTCCATGTAGTTGAGCGGTTTTGAGTGAGATTCTTAATCCTGAGTTCTAGTTTGATTGCACTGTGGTCTGAGAGATAGTTTGTTATAATTTCTGTTCTTTTACATTTGCTGAGGAGAGCTTTACTTCCCAGTATGTGGTCAATTTTGGAATAGGTGTGGTGTGGTGCTGAAAAAAATGTATATTCTGTTGATTTGGGGTGGAGAGTTCTGTAGATGTCTATTAGGTCCGCTTGATGCAGAGCTGAGTTCAATTCCTGGGTATCCTTGTTGACTTTCTGTCTCGTTGATCTGTCTAATGTTGACAGTGGGGTGTTAAAGTCTCCCACTATTAATGTGTGGGAGTCTAAGTCTCTTGTACGTCACTCAGGACTTGCTTTATGAATCTGGGTGCTCCCGTATTGGGTGCATATACATTTAGGATAGTTAGCTCTTCTTGTTGAATTGATCCCTTTACCATTATGTAATGGCCTTCTTTGTCTCTTTTGATCTTTGTTGGTTTAAAGTCTGTTTTATCAGAGACTAGGATTGCAACCCCTGCCTTTTTTTGTTTTCCATTTGCTTGGTAGATCTTCCTCCATCCTTTTATTTTGAGCCTATGTGTGTCTCTGCACATGAGATGGGTTTCCTGAATACAGCACACTGATGGGTCTTGACTCTTTATCCAATTTGCCAGTGTGTGTCTTTTAATTGGAGCATTTAGTCCATTTACATTTAAAGTTAATATTGTTATGTGTGAATTTGATCCTGTCATTATGATGTTAGCTGGTGATTTTGCTCGTTAGTTGATGCAGTTTCTTCCTAGTCTCAATGGTCTTTACATTTTGGCATGATGTTGCAGCGGCTGGTACCGGTTGTTCCTTTCCATGTTTAGCGCTTCCTTCAGGAGCTCTTTTAGGGCAGGCCTGGTGGTGACAAAATCTCTCAGCATTTGCTTGTCTGTAAAGTATTTTATTTCTCCTTCCCTTATGAAGCTTAGTTTGGCTGGATATGAAATTCTGGGTTGAAAATTCTTTTCTTTAAGAATGTTAAATATTGGCCCCCACTCTCTTCTGGCTTGTAGGGTTTCTGCTGAGAGATCCGCTGTTAGTCTGATGGGCTTCCCTTTGAGGGTAACCCGACCTTTCTCTCTGGCTGCCCTTAACATTTTTTCCTTCATTTCAACTTTGGTGAATCTGACAATTATGTGTCTTGGAGTTGCTCTTCTCGAGGAGTATCTTTGTGGCATTCTCTGTATTTCCTGAATCTGAACGTCGGCCTGCCTTTCTAGATTGGGGAAGTTCTCCTGGATAATATCCTGCAGAGTGTTTTCCAACTTGGTTCCATTCTCCCCGTCACTTTCAGGTACACCAATCAGACATAGATTTGGTCTTTTCACATAGTCTTATATTTCTTGGAGGCTTTGATCATTTCTTTTTATTCTTTTTTCTCTAAACTTCCCTTCTTGCTTCATTTCATTCATTTCATCTTCCATTGCTGACACCCTTTCTTCCAGTTGATCGCATCAGTTCCTGAGGCTTTTGCATTCTTCACGTAGTTCTCGAGCCTTGGTTTTCAGCTGCATCAGCTCCTTTAAGCACTTCTCTGTATTGGTTATTCTAGTTATACATTCTTCTAAATTTTTTTCAAAGTTTTCAACTTCTTTGCCTTTGGTTTGAATGTCCTCCCATAGCTCAGAGTAATTTGATCATCTGAAGCCTTCTTCTCTCAGCTCCTCAAAGTCATTCTCTGTCCAGCTTTGTTCCATTGCTGGTGAGGAACTGCGTTCCTTTGGAGGAGGAGAGATGCTCTGCGTTTTAGAGTTTCCAGTTTTTCTGTTCTGTTTTCTCCCCATCTTTGTGGTTTTATCTACTTTTGGTCTTTGATGATGATTATGTACAGATGGGTTTTTGGTGTAGATGTCCTTTCTGTTTGTTAGTTTTCCTTCTAACAGACAGGACCCTCAGCTGCAGATCTGTTGGAATACCCTGCCATGTGAGGTGTCAGTGTGCCCCTGCTGGGGAGTGCCTCCCAGTTAGGCTGCTTGGGGGTCAGGGGTCAGGGACCCACTTGAGGAGGCAGTCTGCCCGTTCTCAGATCTCCAGCTGCGTGCTGGGAGAACCACTGCTGTCTTCAAAGCTGTCAGACAGGGACATTTAAGTCTGCAGAGATTACTACTGCTGTCTTTTTGTTTGTCTGTGCCCTGCCCCCAGAGGTGGAGCCTACAGAGGCAGGCAGGCCTCCTTGAGCTGTGGTGGGTTCCACCCAGTTCGAGCTTCCCGGCTGCTTTGTTTACCTAAGCAATCCTGGGCAATGGTGGGCGCCCCTCCCCCAGCCTCGCTGCCGCCTTGCAGTTTGATCTCAGACTGCTGTGCTAGCAATCAGCGAGACTCTGTGGGCGTAGGACCCTCTGAGCCAGGTGCAGGATATAATCTCGTGGTGCGCCATTTTTTAAGCCGGTCCGAAAAGCGCAGTATTCGGGTGGGAGTGACCCGATTTTCCGGGTGCGTCCGTCACCCCTTTCTTTGACTTGGAAAGGGAACTCCCTGACCCCTTGCGCTTCCCAAGTGAGGCAATGCCTCGCCCTGCTTCAGCTCGCGCATGGTGCGCGCACCCACTGACCTGCGCCCACTGTCTGGCACTCCCTAGTGAGATGAACCCAGTACCTCAGATGGAAATGCAGAAATCACCCATCTTCTGCATCTCTCACGCTGGGAGCTGTAGACTGGAGCTGTTCCTATTCAGCCATCTTCCCTCCTCCCCAGATAATTTTCTTTGTAAAGGAGAAAACATGTAAGCTTTGGAACCAGAAAAGGATGATTGTGCATCACTACTTACTAGCCCCATGTTTGACCAACTTTGTTTTCTTGGGCGCTATAACAAAATACAATAAAACAGGTCCCTTAAAACAACAGAAATACTGTCTCACAGTTCTGGAGGCTAGAAGAACAAACTGCAGGACCATGCTCCCTCTAAAACTTGTAGGGAAATTCTTCCTTGCCTCTTTCCAGCTTCTGAGGGTTTGACAGCAATCTTTGGTGTTCCTCGGCCTATGGATACATCACTCCAATCCTCCATCTTCACATGGCCTTCTCTCTGTGCATGTCTGTCTCTGTATCCAAATTTCCCTCTTTTGTAAGGAAACCAGTTATACTGAATAAGGGCTCACACTAGTAATGTTTAACTCGATTAATAATAATAATTAATAATAATCTTTAACTCAAAATATGTTTAACTCAATTGACTCTGTAGAGGCCCTATTAAAAATAAGGTCACATTCTGTAGTAATGGGCATTTGGACTTTCACATCTCTTTTTTGGAGGCAGGAACATAATTCAACCAAAACACCAGTTTGCTTAATTTCCCAAAACTTCAGTTTCGTTATATGTAAAATGCAAATAATACTGACTGTCTGTAGCATTAATTGAAAGATTAAAATAAATGGACTAAGAAATAAACTATGGAAAACCAACTAGTATAGCAGCTGCTGTATCACAGGTGCTCAAATATATATATGGGCACCCTGTTA
Organism: Homo sapiens; assembly: GCF_000001405.40. NCBI lineage: Eukaryota > Metazoa > Chordata > Mammalia > Primates > Hominidae > Homo > Homo sapiens. Next base: position 182,824 of record NW_019805495.1, read on the forward strand.
TCCAGTCATATAAGTCATATATACACACACACACACACACACACACATAAACACACAGGTTTGTGTGTATGTGTGTATAAAACTTTCCCTTTTCTCCCAGGTATTTATGTCTCTTTGGTGTTCACACAAAACATGATGTATTTTTCTTTCCACTCGTTACATTATATTTGAACTATATATCCATTTGTCTATCTGGCTTGCTACTATTTTGATATTAGAAACTGTTGCAGTAATTTTTAGATTAATACCTAACTTTGTTTACTAATTAATAATTTACTTATCAAGTAAAGGACTAAATGGAAAAATGGATGGATGAACATGACTAAAGCTTACCAAAAATGCCCTTTATACCGGAATTTCTCTTAGTGGGTCAGAGTTTAGGTGGTATTCAAACGTATCAAAGGCATATACGTATTTTGCTTTTTGTATGTGTTTGTGTACATTCTCATTATTGTTACTTGTCAGTTTCCTAGGTTTCCGACTGTGATCTTTAGATTTTTTTGACTAGCCTACAAACTTAGATTTTTAAAATCCGAATGACATCTACAGCAGTTTCCCAGGAGCTTTCTTTCAGAATATCTGCCAAAATAATTTATTGCTGTCTTAGGTTATTTCATCTTGAGCAACATGAACATTCCGTCAAGCAGAGGGTATAGGGAGAAGTCTCATCAGTAAATAAGCTGGCTAAAATTTAGATGTCCATCAATCTCTGTTAAATTTTATCTCATATACCCTGAGATAGGAGAGTAATATAACCATTTAAAAATAAAACTTATTTCTTGCCCATTTACTATATTTGGAAGAAAAAAATAGTGGATAATTAGGAAGTGGAAAATTTTGGAAGAAAATAATTAGTAGACTTACTAATTATTTATAAGGGAAAGAACTGAGAACAGTAATTTTAAAATATATCCATGTTCTTGAATATTTCCACCCTTAAGTAACTACAGAGGAAATGGACTGATTTACCATGAAAGATTACTATAATAATAACCTACAGATTGAAATTTAAGCTCCATTTAGGGGCTGGAACCAATTATTTATAATACTAGAATGGTCTGAAATAATCTTGTATTATCCTGCAAAAAAAATCTGAAGTGGGAATAAGCCCACACCTCATTTATGTGTATAAAACAATCTCAGCCTTACATCTTTTAAGAAAAGTCTGAATGACTGCCTTATTTCCACATTTCTTTGCATAAATAAGGCAGGGCAAAAGTTTTGTCAGCTGATTAAATTTATATGCAATTTTGGTAAGACATTGTTTTCTAGTTCCACAATATATTTTTGTCCAGTCCCCCGAAATTTGAGTTTGATTCACTCACAAAGTTGATCCTCCCAACTTCATTTAATAAAATGTAAGAAGACTTTAAAAGATATATTAGGAATAACTAGTTAGATATGGAGACTGTCTCATATTAATTATTTATTTCATGAGTGTCTGCTAAATATATAAACAACTCTGCTTGTAATTATTTATGGGTACCCAGGTGGCATAAAAAATGAAGCAGAGACAGAAAATTAGATGTAGCTTCTACCTTAGATTGATAAAAACCATAAATGCAGAACTACACAGACTAGAGTGGATAGTATTAAAAACTATATGTATAGTGATGCACTGGTAAATGTATAACAACCTGGTTTCTGAGGAAGAAAAAAATCTCTGCTTTCTAACATTAGTTGATTTGCATGGCACAAGCACTCCTATCATGACCAGTTTCAAACCACAAATGTGAAATCACTGAACATAGATTTGGGAAGAGATGGACACAACTCTTGAAAGTCAGTGTGACAAATTGAAACACACCACTGCTTACATATAGATATGTAAAGTGGATGACTATTTTAACAGATACAAAAGCAAAGAATCTATGTGAATTTTTAACTAAAACTGAAAATATTATATACCTAAAAGCATGTTGGTTAAAATGATCATTTTGAATATCTAAATCTACACAGTCATAATTATACTGATACTATTAAAACATGGTATAATGGCCTTCTGTATGGAGCTCATATTAATTGTAATAAAATAAATATTCAATTATATAAAATTTTAGAGATCATCTACTGTATATTAGACATTGTGCTATGAACAGGAGATACACAGATGGCTAGGACTTAGTTTCTATTTTTAAATTATAAAAAGGGCCACCAAATGGATAATTCCAGTAGATAGAAGAATAAATACTAAGATAGAGGTAAGCATCTGTCCCGCAGTACAGAGAAGAGCCATTTAGCCCAGTCTTGTTTGGGATGGTTTTCTGGGAAAATGATGTTGTCAAAACCACCTTATGAAACACAGGCTTTGTTACTTTAGAGTTATTCCTAGTATTGCCAACTACAACTTCGATCCCATATTTGAAGTGATCTCTATAAATTTTGTTGAAGGTAAAGCAGGTCCATGATTTTGTGGGGATGGTAAACAGAGGCTTAAAATAAGATAGAACTTTTAGGCCAGTTATCAGATCTTTAATGGAACTTAAACATATTACCTGACGTGGACAGGTAGGGAGAGCCCTAGAGGAATGCTGATGGATTGGGTAACTTGTGAGATCCGTGTGTGAGCTTAGTCAAGTCATTTTCTGGTATGTCAGTTTCCTTATCAATGGAAAAATAATGGTTTGGGGTGGATAATAATAATAAAATAATAGCTAATATCTATTGATTGACTTTGATGTTGTTATATCCCTTGACCTACATTAATTCACTTAGTTCTCACAACAATCCTATAAAGTTGATATCCTTCTTTCTCTTTTTATTTTAGATAAATCTGAGATAATTGTAAGCTATATACAATTTCAATGTTAGGAAAGACCTGAGGTAGTATTCCAACCTAGTTCTTTCTGACTCTAATCTCTTAGACATTTCCTGAAGTCGTTTCCAGCCTTCATGTTCTTTGACCCCAGAAGTATCTTGGAATGTTTCCCTAATTGCTGTGATGACAACACAGCAGAGCTAGGGAAATCAAAGACCTAGGCTATGTCCCTTCATGTTTGTGCATTATGGTGAGTGAGCTCTGAAAATGCCAGGGAATTTTGCCATCAAGTCTTCACATTAACTTTTCAGCAATATTCCTCAGTTTAGGAGGGAGGCCTATCCACTCCTTGTCCTTTGAAAAGTGATCATTTGCTTGATTGCACTCAACAGAAGACTTCCCATAGCCTCTGATATTTTCTTTTTCATTTCTTCTGAGTTGTTTATTTTTAATTTCTTAACATTTTTGAAGCCGCCTATTCTGAATGCATCTCAAACTTAGGGCTAAAAAGCCAAATGCTTCAATTTTGTTTTCCCATCTCTTAGGCAAACAGCCAAAATAAATTCCATAATTGAGCCAGGTTTTTCCATAACTCTGGAATTATATAAGTAGTTCCCATTGCAGGGTGTAGTTCCCAACCTTTTCTATATTTCTTAGCATGGCTAAATTCTTCTTATTCTTTATGATTCAGATGATCCCCTGAGAAGGTCCCAAAATGCCCCTGTGTTAACTTTATATGCTGCTTTTCTCTTTCTGGCTTAGGCTGCAGACTGCCTAAGGGCAGAGAAAAGTTTCTTTTGTTGTTGTTGTTGGTGGTTTGTTTTTTTAAATGAGTTTATCTTTTGAACCTGATGCAATGCCAGTATAACTTAGAGTGGAAGAACTTGAGATCTGTAGTTAGGATGTCTAGGTTTAATTCTTACCTTTGCTACTTAATAGTCATGTTTACTTGGGAACATTTAAAAATTTCCCCCAGACTCACATTCTGTCTGGGAAGAGAAGATTCAACAACTCACTTCAAAAGGCTTTTGTGAGGATTAAATGGTTCATGTAAAGCACTTGGCATGGTATCTAGCACATACTGAGTATTCAAAAACCATTATTATTTTTATTAGGTACTCAAATGTTAAATGAAGAGTAAGAAAATGAATGTAATTATTCATTCAGAAAATATTTATTGGTGCTAGACCCATTTCTAAGACCTGGAAGGGTAGCAGACAGCACATCCAAGTTGCTCCCTGGTTTTTCTAGAGCTTACATTCTCTCAAAGGGAGAAAGACACCAAACAGAAAAATAAATATGTGTGAAAATAAAGCAGAGTGGCCGGGCACAGTGGTTTACGCCTGTAATCCCAGCACTTTGGGAGGCCGAAGCAGGCGTATCATGAGGTCTGGATTTCCAGGCCAGCCTGGCCAATGTGGTGAAACCCCGTCTCTACTAAAAATACAAAAATTAGCCGGGCATGGTGGTATGCGCCTGTGGTCCCAGCTACTAGGGAGTCTGAGGCAGAAGAATCTCTTGAATCCAGGAGGCGGAGGTTGCAGTGAGCCGAGATCGTGCCACTGCACTACAGCCTGGGCGACAGACCAAGACTCCATCTCAAAAAAAAAAAAAAAAAAAAAAAAAAAAAAAAAAAAAAAAGCAAAGAAAAGGAAAGAAAAGAAACCAGAGTAAGAGGACAAGCAACAGCAGGGGAAGTGTTATTTTAGATAAGGTAACCAGAGATAGACTCCTGTTTATGATAATATTTATTCATGCACCTGAGTGAAAAGAGGGATAGATCTGTAACTCTGTGGGTTGGGGCAGGGGCGGAGCAAAAGCAAAGGCCCTGAGGCTAGAGGGTTTCTGTCATCATCAAAGAAAAGCAAGAGAAAGGACTGATTTGGTAGAAGAGGAGATATGAGAGGATGTTTAAGAGGGAGAATGATAGGAGAAGAGGGTGAGCATCAAAGTGTGACACATTTTTAAACTAGTACAACTTCTGTGGAAAACAGTATGGAGATTTCTCAAAGAACTAAAAATAGAATTACCATTTGATTCAGCAATCCCACTACTGGCTATCTGCCCAAGGGAAAAGAATTCATTATATCACAAAGATGCCTGCTCGCATATGTTTATCACAGCATTATTCACAATAGAAACAATATGGAATCAACCTAAGTGTCTATCAAGAGATGATTGGATAAGGAAAATGTGGCATATATACTTAATGGAATACTATTCAGCCATTTAAAAGAAGAAATCATGTCTTTTGCAGCCATGAGGATGGAACAAGAGGCCATTATCTTAAGTAAAACAAATCAGACACAGAAATACAAATTCAACATTCTCACTTATAAGTGGGAACTAAAATAACATGTTTGCATGAATGTAGAATGTGTAACGATGGATAATAGAGATTAGGAAGATTGAGTAGTGGAGAGGAGCACAGATTATCAGCAATTACTTAATAGGTACAACATACATTATTTGGGTGATGAACACCCTAAAAGATCTGACTTTACCACTGTGCAATTTAGGGATATAACAAAATTATACTTGCATTCCATATATTTATTAAAAAAGGTGTGACAGATTTTTAGGGATTGTTGGCCAAGTAAAAACTATAGATTTCATGCTGAGTGAGATGGAAGGAATTTCAGGGTTTGGAATAGCATTATGAAATGAATTGAAGATGCTCTCATTGAGAATGAAATAAATGATTAAACGGTCTCGAGATAGACTCAGATAATTAAGGGTATATTAGCGAACTGATGAAGAAGATGCATTAAAAAGATAACATTCGGGGAAGGGCAGAGAGTTGACAAATGAGGTGTTAAGAAGTAAAACTAGACTGACCTCACAAAAGAGAAAATTAAGACAAAGGCATTGTGATTTATGCACAATTGTCAATTTGTACATGTACATATATGGGTCCACTTGTCAAGCTTTCATTGCCTACAGCTCTTTTGACTTTTTATTTTCCTTCAGGAGCCCATACTTTAAAAACATTTTCTCAACCAAAGATAATTTATTTATAATTAATTCATGCCATCATATTTTTTCAAAGCCATAAGTAACCTCAATCTCAACTTCCAATGGGCAACAACAAACCAATGTCATCCTCTCCTGGAGTCACCATTCTAGCCAAGAGCAAATGAACCTATGATTTCCATCAACCTGTACTGCCTTATTGCAATTAATATATTCTATCCCTTGGTTTCTTTTAAACACTGGAAATAGCTTTAGCTTGTATAATCCCTTTTCTTTTTCGGTGGAATCCTAGGAGTCTCTGACCATAAGTGTGGGATTCAAATTACTCATGTAAGCCTACAGATAGAATGTGTATCTTACATAACCATTATATACATATTCCATCATATACATGCATGTTTTACACACAATGCATTTTATCTCTAGAATATATGTATATACTGTGTATATAGTGCTTTCAAATAAGGTCATATTCACAGGTTTACACAGTTAGAATGTGGACTTATCATTGTAGGGAATACCATTCAATTCACCACAGAGGTATTTATTGGAAAAATGTGTATTGGAAAGGAGAACTATCAGGCTGCATTATTTGTTAAACATCTAAGATTATTATGTTAATATAAAAGATCTCATAAACAGAAGCTCTTATTATCTAGTCAATAGTTGTTTTATTTCTTATTGATATATTATTATGCTGCTGAATTGTGAATTTAATTTGAGGCATGAATGTGTCATACATCTTCATCCAATCAGAAGATTCAGTTCAGATGTGTCTATATAATATATGTGTTTATCTTTCAGAAACTTTGTAAGTAAAGAATATTACCCTTAGAGATAAGTCACTCTCACTGGAGAGAAGATTGTGAGGTAGGGAAGAATGTGGAAATTAACCATCTCTGAGTACATGTTCCCAACGATAGGGCCATATTGATGAGGGGTCGGAAAGCAGGAGCCTGCCAAAGAGCAAAAGATAGGCCTGTGTGGACAAGAGGTTACTTTATTTTATTATTCATTCATTCATTCATTCATTTATTCATTTACTTATTTTGAGATGGAGTCTTGCTCTGTCACCCAGACTGGAGTGCAGTGGTACAATCTCAGCTCACTGCAGCCTCTGCCTCCCAGGTTCAAGTGATTCTCGTGTCAGCCTCCCGAGTAGCTGGAATTATTGGTGCCCACCACTACACCTGGCTAAGTTTTGTATTTTTAGTAGAGACGGGGTTTCGCCAGGTTTGTCAGGCTGGTCTGGAATTCCTGACCTCAAGTAATCTGTCCACCTCGGCCTCCCAAAGTGTTGGGATTACATGCATGAGCCACCATGCCTGGACAAGGTTACTTTATTAAACAGGGTAGGACCTCTTATTAGATTGGTTCACCTGGAGGATGGTCTTAGTGATACCTGACTTTGAGTCTCTTTCAGTCTCTCTGCAAAGCTCATTTTGAAAGACATTTCTGAGTCACCTACTAAATGCCAGACACTGAGACGAGCAAATGAACAAAAAAAAAGTCTCTGACTCTAGAGAACATCAACCCTGGAGTGTGGCAAGGCAGGAGGCAGTGGTGGGGGACAAGGAAGAGAAACATATGCATTCTCTACATTCAAATCTTATTATACTTTAATTTCTTAGAGAATAAAACAGGAGGGGAAGTCAGAACAAATAAAGGGCAATATCTGAAAACTGTTAAGGACTTTAAAATTATATTCAAATTTATTTAAGTACTCTTAAATTTACTTAGTGTGTAACAGAAGAGAAAGCTGAGTTATATTGGTTACCTTCTGTTTTGTAAACACAAATTAATTTTACAGTGTCTCTGTTAGCCAGATAAAACCATTGATATTTATTGACAAGTAAATCAAAAGCATTTGTGGTTACTGGCTTCTTAATTTCATCTACTCTTGTTTCTGTCATTGGGGAGTTTTCAGCACTTATATTGGTCTATTTTGATGAAAGACTCACAACAGAGGGCAACTAAAACAAGAGTGTCCCTCAAGTGATTTTTCTAGGATGTGAGACATACATTATTACTTTATTAGTCCTCCCCAAATTTTGAGAACATTCATACATAAATCTGAGAGTTATTTTCATGAGATTATCTCACCAGATGGCTTACTTAAATATTTGTACCATTGTAGAAGTAATTACTTCATCTGGGAGAAAAAAAAAGTTCAAAAGCCCTGGATTATTTTTGTCTGTTTTCATTTGTTTCATTTCTATTTTACTGTCTAGACAGGAGCAAACTTACATTTCTATGATAAATAGATGTTGGTAAGGTTTTGGAAAATACATATATGTCAAAATATAGGAAATTCTCTGTGTCAGAAATAACCACAATTATGGTGTAATGAATGTAATACTCAACAGAGAGTTGGAAAATAAGGCATAAATTTTGGGTTTTAGTAAATATGAGCTATGTAACCTTGTGCAAGTCACTTAATCTTACTAACATCATATTCACCTGCTAAAAATTGAGTAAATAATGGAAACTCCATTGAGCCATTATATAAATTAAAACATAATGCCACATTTGAAAGTGCTAAGGAATCCATGCCAGAAAAGGCAAATTAAGGAGTTAATCAATTACCATTATTAATTTTTAAAATACTAAATAATTACTAGTTTAAACATCTAGTACTGCTAGTAACAGATTATATTTTGCCTAGCTATTTGAAGCAGTTAAAAAGAGTTCCTTTGAGGATTTGAGGCAGTTTGGCTAACAGGGAAAGAATCCTGGCCTGTAAGCAGATACCCGAGTTCGATTTCCCGGTGTTCTATTTGCCTGAAGTGACACCTTGGGTAGATTATTTGACTTTTCAGGGCCACATGTCCTCCTCTATATAATGAGGATGGTTATGAAAAATAAATTACTACTTGTAAAGTACTTAAGAGGCTTGTCTGGAGTGTTATGTCAGCCCTGTGGATGTTAGCTAGTAGTGATCATCACTGAGTTTTCCTGAAAGCCTGACAACAGCTGGGAGGCCACAGCTGGCCACACTCTAGTGTCCCACAAAGGGACCACAGGAGTCTCCTCCTCTGGCCTTCCATGACCCCACTCTGTCCAAGACTGCTAGTAGTGCCACACAAGGACATAGAAACTGAGAGCAAGACTGAGAGAATAAGACTAAGATAGAGAGAATTGTGAAAATAGAACAAAATGCTATTTTATCAAAACGGAGTAGAGTTTGGAAGGCTTCTAGTGCTCTATCTTCTCACTAAATATTTGTATGACTTTCAAATGTCACAATTTCTCTGCAGCAGTATTTACTCATGCGAATATTAGAAATTATTATAATTACATTGAACATTTGTTTAGGGTTTTACGATTTACAAGGTGGAAGAGCAGAATAACTTAATTGTGAACACCAGAGCTTTGGAATCAAGCAGGATTAGATCCCAGGTTTGTTGTTTACTAGCTGGTCAAGTCATTTAACTTCTCTGTGCCTCAGTGTTTTAATTTGAAAACTAGTAATTCAGAAATGTTCCTCAGAATTATTAAAGATTTAAATAAAATTGTTTTTATTCTCATATATATATTTATAGAATCTCATAGCAGAAAATTTGGCAGTGGTGATGCACATAAATGGGAGCTTTAAAAACAATTTTTCAGAGGGAGGAGCCAAGATGGCCGAATAGGAACAGCTCCGGTCTACAGCTCCCAGCGTGAGAGACGCAGAAGATGGGTGATTTCTGCATTTCCATCTGAGGTACCCGGTTCATCTCACTAGGGAGTGCCAGACAGTGGGCGCAGGTCATTGGGTGTGCACACCGTGCACAAGCCGAAGCAGGGCGAGGAAAGATCCAAAATTGACTCCCTAACATCACAATTAAAAGAACTAGAAAAGCAAGAGCAAACACATTCAAAAGCTAGCAGAAGGCAAGAAATAACTAAAATCAGAGCAGAACTGAAGGAAATAGAGACACAAAAAACCCTTCAAAAAAGTAATGAATCCAGGAGCTGGTTTTTTGAAAGGATCAACAAAATTGATAGACCGCTAGCAAGACTAATAAAGAAAAAAAGAGAGAAGAATCAAATAGACGCAATAAAAAACGATAAAGGGGATATCACCACCGATCCCACAGAAATACAAACTACCATCAGACAGTACTACAAACACCTCTACGCAAATAAACTAGAAAATCTAGAAGAAATGGATAAATTCCTCGACACATAAACCCTCCCAAGACTAAACCAGGAAGAAGTTGAATCTCTGAATAGACCTGAATTTCAGGATCTGAAATTGTGGCAATAATCAATAGTTTACCAACCAAAAAGAGTCCAGGACCAGATGGATTCACAGCCGAATTCTACCAGAGGTACAAGGAGGAACTGGTACCATTCCTTCTGAAACTATTCCAATCAATAGAAAAAGAAGGAATCCTCCCTAACTCATTTTATGAGGCCAGCATCATTCTGATACCAAAGCCGGGCAGAGACACAACCAGAAAAGAGAATTTTAGACCAATATCCTTGATGAACATTGATGCAAAAATCCTCAATAAAATACTGGCAAAACAAATCCAGCAGCACATCAAAAAGCTTATCCACCATGATCAAGTGGGCTTCATCCCTGGGATGCAAGGCTGGTTCAATGTATGTGAATCAATAAATGTAATCCAGCATATAAACAGAGCCAAAGACAAAAACCACATGATAATCTCAATAGATGCAGAAAAAGCCTTTGACAAAATTCAACAACCCTTCATGCTAAAAACTCTCAATAGATTAGGTATTGATGGGACGTATTTCAAAATAATAAGAGCTATCTATGACAAACCCACAGCCAATATCATAGTGAATGGGCAAAAACTGGAAGCATTCCCTTTGAAAACTGGCACAAGACAGGGATGCCCTCTCTCACCACTCCTATTCAACATAGTGTTGGAAGTTCTGGCCAGGGCAATTAGGCAGGAGAAGGAAATAAAAGGTATTCAATTAGGAAAAGAGGAAATCAAATTGTCCCTGTTTGCAGACGACATGATTGTGTATCTAGAAAACCCCATTGTCTCAGCCCAAAATCTCCTTAAGCTGATAGGCAACTTTATCAAAGTCTCAGGATACAAAATCAATGTACCAAAATCACAAGCATTCTTATACACCAACAACAGACAAACAGAGAGCCAAATCATGAGTGAGCTCCCATTCACAATTGCTTCAAAGAGAATAAAATACCTAGGAATCCAACTTACAAGGGATGTGAAGGACCTCTTCAAGGAGAACTACAAACCACTGCTCAAGGAAATAAAAGAGGATACAAACAAATGGAAGAGCATTCCACGCTCATGGGTAGGAAGAATCAATATCGTGAAAATGGCCATACTGCCCAAGGTAATTTACAGATTCAATGCCATCCCCATCAAGCTACCACTGCCTTTCTTCACAGAATTGGAAAAAACTACTTTAAAGTTCATATGGAACCCAAAAAGAGCCCACATCACCAAGTCAATCCTAAGCCAAAAGAACAAAGCTGGAGGCATCACACTACCTGACTTCAAAGTATACTACAAGGCTACAGTAACCAAAACAGCATGGTATTGATACCAAAACAGAGATATAGATCAATGGAACAGAATAGAGCCCTCAGAAATAATGCCACATATCTACAACTATCTGATCTTTGACAAAACTGAGAAAAACGAGCAATGGGGAAAGGATTCCCTATTTAATAAATGGTGCTGGGAAAAGTGGCTAGCCATATGTAGAAAGCTGAAACTGGATCCCTTCCTTACACCTTATACAAAAATCAATTCAAGATGGATTAAAGACTTAAACGTTCAACCTAAAACCATAATAACCCTAGAAGAAAACCTAGGCATTACCATTCAGGACATAGGCATGGGCAAGGACTTCATGTCTAAAACACCAAAAGCAATGGCAACCAAAGCCAAAATTGACAAATGGGATCTAATTAAACTAAAGAGCTTCTGCACAGCAAAAGAAACTACTATCAGAGTGAACAGGCAACCTACAACATGGGAGAAAATTTTCGCAACCTACTCATCTGACAAAGGGCTAATATCCAGAATCTACAATGAACTCAAACAAATTTACAAGAAGAAAACAAACAACCCTGTCAAAAAGTGGGCGAAGGACATGAACAGACACTTCTCAAAAGAAGACATTTATGCAGCCAAAAAACACATGAAAAAATGCTCATCATCACTGGCCATCAGACAAATGCAAATCCAAACCACAATGAGATACCATCTCACACCAGTTAGAATGGCAATCATTAGAAAGTCAGGAAACAACAGGTGCTGGAGAGGATGTGGAGAAATAGGAACACTTTTACACTGTTGGTGGGACTGTAAACTAGTTCAACCATTGTGGAAGTCAGTGTGGCGATTCCTCAGGGATCTAGAACTAGAAATACCATTTGACCCAGCCATCCCATTACTGGGTATATACCCAAAGGACTATAAATCATGCTGCTATAAAGACACATGCACATGTATGTTTATTGCGGCATTGTTCACAATAGCAAAGACTTGGAACCAACCCGAATGTCCAACAATGATAGACTGGATTAAGAAAATGTGGCCCATATACACCATGGCATACTATGCAGCCCCAAAAAATGATGAGTTCATGTCCTTTGTAGGGACATGGATGAAATTGGAAATCATCATTCTCAGTAAACTATCGCAAGAACAAAAAATCAAACACCGCATATTCTCACTCATAGGTGGGAACTGATCAATGAGATCACATGGACACAGGAAGGGGAATATCACACTCTGGAGACTGTGGTGGGGTGGGGCGAGGGGGGAGGGATAGCATTGGGAGATATACCTAATGCTAGATGACGAGTTAGTGGGTGCAGCGCACCAGCATGGCACATGTATACGTATGTAACGAACCGGCACAATGTGCACATGTACCCTAAAACTTAAAGTATAATAAAAAAAAAAAGAAAAAAGAAAATTATATTCACCCAAACCTTTTAAGGATGAATTAAAGCTTATAAGGTGGAAGGGAAAGGAAAGTGCCTCCTTTTATTGGAAAACTTTGTGAGTTCAGGCTAATTCTAAAGGCCCTCAACCTTAGCAGTATTGAGAGTTTGAACTGAATATATATATTTTTTCAGGTGGTCTTTCCTATGCATTGTAGAATGTTTGACATCATCTCTGACCTCTACCTACTAGATGTCAGCAGCACCTCTTTCAGCTAAGAGAGTATAAAATGTCTCCAATTACCAAATGTCCCTCAGGAGGCAAAAATGATCCTGCAGAGAACGACTACCATCAGTAACTTGCTGATGTTCACCCAGCAACAGTATTGCAAGCAAATTTATTTCATGCATCTTACCTGATTAAGAGTAGTTGCCCAAAATATGGCATTAAGAAGGAATAATAGACTTTTTGCAGATTAAAGAAAAAATGTTTCATTATGAATTTTTTGTGTCTGCTGTGGGACCAGGAGGGGAAATATTGGGCTGTCCTTTATAAATTCTGACTTCTAGCTAGTAGTGCTAGACAGAAGAAAAGGGATGAACCCTATGAATATTTGTATCAAAATTTTAAGTTTGGTAAATGTCAGTTTATCCAACTGCATATTTTTTCTTGCCTGTTAAGAGTTTCAGAGGAGTTTGAATTTCCTTTTGCAGTTCCTCAACTTTTTCTTTTTTAGAAGGTTGATTTCTTCCAGACATACAGTTATTATTAAGGAATAATTTTTTAGGTTTAGCCATCCATGATTGAACTGATGTTTCATCCTGTGTTTCAGAACACTAGTTGGGCAGTTCACTGGATTAGGGTATTTTGTCCTGGAGTTCAGGGTCTGGGATGTTGCCCTTAAAAGGATCTGCAAGCTCAGACATTTAACAAATTTTGCACTTTATGATGGTTAATTTTATGTGTCAACTTGACTGGATTGCAGGGTGCTCAGATATTTGGCTGAATATTGTTTTTGGTTATATCTCTGAGGATGTTTCTGGAGATTAGTATTTGAATCAGTAGTCTAAGAAAAGCAGACTGACCTTCACAATGTATGTGGCCATCATCTAATCTTTTATGATGCCCAATAGAACAAAAGATAGGAAGGGAGGATTCACTCTCTCTGTTTGATTTGGGACACCATTCTTTCCCTGTTCTCAGACTAGGACTCACACCATTGGCCTTCTGGTCCTCGGAACTGCACCACTGGTCTTCTTCAGTCTCAAGCTTGCTTGAGATTTTGCTTCCATAGTATGGGATTTTTTTGCTTCCATAATTGTGTAAGCAAATGCCTTACAATAAATAAACCTCTCTATATTAATAGATAGACAGATAGATAGATAATAGATTCTCCTATTGCTTCTGTTTCTCTGTTGAACCCTAAAATACTCTCATTTCCCACTCTGCCCCATCTTGACTCTTGTTGTTGATACTTGCTATTGTTTTATTTCCTCCTCTTTTTCCTATCCCTTTCTACATATCTTCCTTTGGAAATCTTTGTTGTTTTCTTCTTGTTTATGATATGATGCCTTTCCCTTTCGGAATGTTCAGGAAAGTTTGAAATGCTTCTCTGATAATTGCCTTATTTATGTATGTCAGTGATTAGATGCAGAAGTGTTGGAAACAGGCAAGCTTAGATTTGAGCCTTGGCCTACCCTCTACTAGATGTAGTTACCTCATCAAATTCATTAGATTCATCTATGAAATGGAGTAGTTATTGTGTAAGTGATATATTTGTTGCAAAACTTTCAATACATATTACCTTCTCTCTAATAGGCAGTTAATAATACAATTTGAAATGCCTTGTCCATTTCTTTGCCTGGAGAACCTCCTTCAAAATTCTAATTTTATCCTAATGTTACTTTTCTCAATTCTAGTGCTGTTTCTTCTAAAATATTATAAAAACTAATCTTTTTTACTAGTAAACATATGTTTTTAAACTTCTACATCACAAGCACCTAACATAGTGACTAACACTTAGAAGATGCAATAAATATTTGTTGAATTGCATTTGATCACACAGACCTTAATTCTATAATAGATGTAAGAGGCATAGTATTGCACAGTGTATGCCAATAAGCAGCAAATATTTTCATAGAAAAACCAATTTAAAATAGTTCACATATTGACATTATTGTTTAAAAATAGCATAGATGTTAAGAAGCCAAGTGATAATTATATGGTGGATTTGTTTTTTTCCATTTTTGCCTTTACAAATAATCAGATTAGCTTGTGGGAAAAAATAATGAATACCAATAGTAATAAATTCTTCAGAGTTTATAAATATTTTCACAATCCAATTATGATAGTTAATACTCATTGTTGATTGTGCAAAATTTTTACTATATTATTCAATTATAATGGTTTAAGATATGATTATGGTTATTGTTCCCTCTTTACAGTTAAAGAGACAGCTTAAGGTTTAGTGATGCACTTGAAGTCACAAAGCTACAAGTTGAGGTTAAAAATTCCAACCTGTCTACTGCCAAACTTATGTTCATCATTCTTTATAGCCTAACTAGTATGTAGGGTTACCTCCATTTTACTGATGAGGAAACTATTTCAAAAAGATTGTAATTATTTAATTATGTGTTACAAATCACTTTCCCCCATCCAAAACAATTGAATTCTACAATGAAAAATCAACTCATTCTTTTTTTAATTAATTTACTTTTTTAGTTATTTTCTTAATTGTTTCAATAGGGCTTACAATATATATCTCAATTTATCAGTCTGCTTCAAATTTACACTAACTTAATTCCAGTAATAGGTATATTTTAATCCAGAGTTATCACTGTTGTCTACTCTCTTAGTTCAGGCTACTATAACAAAAATAGCGCCAGGTGGCTTCAAAAACAGAAATTATTTTTTCTCACAGGCTGGAGGCTGGGAAGTCCAAGGTCAAGGTGGCAACAAATCTGTTGTTTGGAAAGGCTTCACTTCCTGGTTTGTTGATGACAATCTTCACATTGTAGTCTCATGTGGGGGAGAGCAGAGAGAGAAAAAAAATGTGTTCTTTCATTTCTCTTTTTATGAGGGTACTAATTCATTCACAAGGATTATGTCTTCATTACCTAATATTGTCCCCAAATCCCCATTTCTTAATACTCTCACTTTGGGGTTAGGATTTTAACATATGATTTTTTGAGGGGAACACAAACAGGAATAGGAACAAACAAGCAGTAAAGATAAAACCGATTCTGCCATTAAGTTCCAAGTTCAAGCACACAGCCAGAAAAAAGTTCTGAAATTCTGAAGGTTAGTGCCTGGGAGGCACTAGAACACAGGTTAGAAAATTGCAGCGGTGGGACCAAAGAGAAAGTACCTTAGTGCCATAGATGGAACTCAAGATGAAGCAGCTACATTGTCTGTGGTATAAACCTGGTGTTCGTTGTCACCCGCCAGGAAAACTTAGGACACGGACAAACACAAGGAGTACAGGAGCTGAGGTTTAATAGGCAGAAGAGAAGAGAAAGATAAACAGCTTTCTTTATAGGGAAAGGGGTTTCTGAGCAGAAAGGACTGGCTGACAGCAAATGTGCCAAATTTTGTAGTCCAGTTTGAGGTGGCGGTGTCTGATTTACACAGGGCTTATAGATTGGTTCGATCATGTATGATGTTTACATAATGCACAGGGAAGTCTGGTCTCCCAACCCTAATGTTATTATGCGAATGGGCTGTCCAGTTGATCAGCACCATCTTGTCTACTCCTTACAGTGCACATAGCTAACAGAGAAGAGAAGATGGAGCCACCATCTTGAAAATGTCTAGTGCTTAGTTTCTGCTGGCATTCACCCACACAAACTCCCAGCTTGCTTGTCTATGTCTGCAGGTCAACTTTCCAGGCTACTGTTTGTTAGTAAATGATTTGGGGCTGTGTTTCATTAAAAAGAAAAGCATTACCAAAGACTGTTATACCCCTTGCTATCTGCCTAAGTGATTTCTTCTTAACTCCTCTATCATTCCCCTCTCTGGAGTGGTAACCCTAACTGCTGTTAAGGGGTGTTTGATGATGACTCTTTCTGGCTACTTCCTGCTGAAAAGGGGCATCATGTGGGGCACAGCAGCTAGGGCTCCTCTTGGGTCGATCTAAGGGTTCCTGGAAGAAAGATACATCCATCTGTGGTTCAGTCTAAAACTCCATTTGGAGTTTGATTGCTGTCAGTCATTCCAATGGGTCATGATACTGGTTTTCCTCCACCAGATGCTGCTGAAATATTAATATACAAGTAAGATTCTTTTTTGAATAAGTGGTATTAGATTTGGGTAGCTAGAGTAACTTTAGTGTTAACCTTGGCTAAATCTTTCCTGTAATTATTAATTCCCTCATTACTTCAACAGACCATCTAAGACGTGCTTAAACTTGTCCTAACATCCTTCTTTTTAAACGACCAACTATTCTTTTTAGGACAGGTATTTACCATCCTTGTAATCTTTTCATGACTTCCACAACCATCTATAACATGCTCAAACCTTCTGACTTCTCCTAAACATCCCTCTTTTAAACAACCAACTGTTCTCTTTAGGAGAAGTATTTATCATACAAGATCCTTTCTTAGGTAAAATATTTTTCCTTTATAACCTTTGTATATAGCCAGGATGTGACATTACCAAACCCAATAAGAAGTTCTAGAAGATTCAGTGATAGTAAAACTTTCATACTTCTTTTTCTTTTTTTTTTTTTTTGGTAACTGTTATCCATCCTGTAAGGATAATAATTAAGCAAAATACCATAGCAATGGAAACTCTCTGTCTGATATTCCAGTTAGAAGGTGCAACTGTGTATAGCCCTACTGCGAGTAGTAGAGGGAGTATAGCAATTTTTGCAAGTGTGGTGTAGTAGATAATTTTCATCTTAAAATTGTACCTGCCAAGATATAGAATTTCCCTTTGGGGGATCTGTGAAGTTTCTTGGCTTTATTTTCCCAAACAAATAAACCTCTGGGTTATGGGCACCCTACTCACTTTCATTACCTGGCAGAATTTGCTGAATAATTGCCCAGAACTAGCATATTTATCCAGATTTTCACATTACCCATCTCTTTTTGTTTCTTCCAAGCTGCAGGAGATCACCACTTGATTCACAGAAATAAGCAGGGTTAGTCTAAAATGTAGGTAAAAAGCTTAAAAACAATTATTGTGACTAGGATTTAATGACAAATGTATGATAAGCTTTGGAGCACAATTTCTCTCTCCAGTCCTCATTTTTGGTAAAAACAAATTATGATAGGACTGTGTTGTTTGTAGAATAAACTTTAGCCTTATACTTGGCACGAATATTTGCATAAAGTGCAGCAAGAATAATTTTCCCTACATAGGCCTTTTGGGTTGGCTTTGATGGAACTCTGTTCCCTAAGGAATCTCAGATAAGACCTCTTCAAGCCGAGTTCAGCAATGGGTTTTTATCCCCAAATACTTTACACTTAAGGTCCCAAGATAAACTTGGAGGTCCTGGACATGTTAGAAAGTGACATTCTTTACTGACCACAGGTTAAGAAACCTGTCCAGGGACTGTGTAGACAAGGTATGAGGCCAGTCTTCCCCAAGGTGCTTTTATCAGCTCTGCAAGCTGAGATTCACTCTTTAAAGGGGGAAGCATACACTTCTTGTCAAAGCTTTGATGAAATAACCAGTTTTTCTAATTGTGTCTTATTGAAAAAAAAAAAGACTTTTTGTGGCACTGATGCAAACAACTATATTGCCATAAGTTAAGATTACTCACAGATAGTTTCCAAATTCTAGAGGAACCAGGTACAGGGAAACAAACCTGCTCTGAATTTTGTTCACAAGAGTATAACTTACTCAATTATTAAAGGCTGTACATAATTCAAAATAAATTTCCTTGACTCTGAAAAACAAAATAAGGATCAGCAATATCCTAAGCAAAAGTCAAAAAGATTGCTTTAGCTTTCTGAGTACAGTCCATTTAAGTCAACTCTTGTTTCACTTGATATTCATAAACACGTCAGTTCTTCATGAGTCCTGTACATTTTTTGTAATGTTACAATCTTCAAAGCTATTGGAAATCTGCATTTGAGAACAGCTGTTAAAGTCTTATAGCTTGATTATGTCCCATCTTTTGAGAAGGAACACAACAAGATAAAAATTGTCTGTAAGTGACAAAATTTTCAGGGTAGTTACAGTTAAAAACATGACTGGCAAAGTTTAGTTATCTCCATGGTTTACAATAATTTTAAAATTAATTATGATTGATAGCATATACTTAGACATTAGAATTTTAGAAATCCCATACAATTTTGGAACATATATTGGTATTATTCACAAAAATATAAGTTAAGATTGGACATCATTTTGGCAATCCCAATGTGATTAAACATGTCAAATAATCCTGTTCACCTATTTTCTGAATGTTTCAGGGGCACCCTGAACTATCTAGAAAGCCCGGCATCAGGAAAGACAATTTTGAAACTTGAAGTTTGATTTTGGGATGTCTGTTAAATGTTAGAGGTTTAAAACAGTTGATATTAAGAAATAGAATTCCAGATAGTCATACATTACTTATTTTGCCAAAATGATGACTCAAAAGGCAAAAACCTTTCATTAGCCTTTACTATTACATAAAAATCCTGCTCAAAGCCAAATTTTACCTTTGCACTAATTTATTAATGTTAACCCCAATTTGATTAAATGCCACCCTAAAGACAGTTCCATCTAATCTTAACCAATTTGACCATGAGATGAAGTCCTTACAAACCTTTTATAACCCATTTTGCTAAAGGGAAGATTAGTGTCTTGAGACAGCCTTGCGATGCTTTTATTTCAATGCTCAATTTATGAAAAGACCATCTTTCCACAACATGCTTAAACCTATAGCTTTATCTTATCAAATTTAAGATAATTCCTCATCCCTGGGCAATATTTACATTTCTATAGTTTCTTATAATCCTTTACTAAAAAACACATTTTACTGTTTTTATACACCTTGCCTTTAAAACTGTTCAGTGATCTTAAATACATGCTGCACTGTTAACTCTTAGCAACTTTTACATTTGGTGAGAAACCTGGTTAGTAAGCAATTCTAGTTATGTACCAGGCGTGGAGCCTAGGACCCAGACAGAAATGCAGATAAGATCTGACTCTTTCCAGCATCTAACTCCATGTGTCCCAGGCCTTACTTATCTGTAAATCATGCAGTATGCAGCCTTTGAACATTTAGCAAACCTAGTATCTGTTTTACGATTTAGACCACCTATTTGGATTTTGATGACCCTTGCATTTTACCAATAATCCTTAAGATTATTTTTATTTCTTAAAAATTAAAGTCACATGAACTAAAACATATTTGATTTAAGCACTATTTTTTAAGCCAATTAATTAGAGCTTTTATTATAGACATTAAACACAACACATATATAGTGACATAAACAGAAGATTCAGCACTTGTAAGAGTTTTCATTTGTCAGTTTCTTAATTGGATTACTGGCTTCAGGGTGGAGCCTTTGGTGGAACTGGGCCAGGCAGCATTCATTTTTAGGGCCTAATAAGTAGGCACAGCTGAAGGCAAAGGCAGATCCCTAAAATTAAATGTGCCATTTTATACTAGATTTTTGATCCCCTAAAGGAGGGAGATACTATGGGAGAAAATAGTGCATTGCTTCTACCATGTATTTCATTGCAAGGCAACCCAAAGCTAATCAGCTTTATCCCCCATGGGAGTATCATCTCTCAGTCAGGGGTGGGGATGTTTCCATATCTTTCAGGCGGCCAAGAGCATGCTTCTCTGATTTATAACTACTATTTGCCATCCCTTAAAGTGTATTTCCTACCTCCTTATTACACATCAAAGCTCTCTCCTAATGTGAAGTATTTTGATACACCCAAAACTCAAAATAATCAGAACACACAAAGCAAAACTGAAAAGAGCCTTTAATTTTGAGAGGGCACTATCTGCTCTTAGTTCCTGGGGTTTCATGAGGAAAAGAGAGTTTTTTCCCCCCCACAATGGGGTCTGTGGCACCTCCTCTGTTTTTCCCAAGGACTACCAGAAGTTATCTTAGGGCCTCTCATGCATGCATTAAGAGTGTCAAGAAATAAAATGGAGAAAGATGATTTAGTCAACTGAGAAAAATTTAAAAAAAAAAATAAACTTTTTCCAGAAAACAAGATCCAAGAAGAGAAAAATATAAAGGCCTTTTAAATATATTTATTACTTGAATACCCAGTTTTAATTAAGCTGAGCACTCTTTAACAAAATCCCTTTAAATCCACTGTTACTCAACTTTAGCTATGTCAAGCAGTTAAGATTTTCAGCTTTTGAACTTTACAAAAAGTAACCTCACAGGTGAAACCAACAAGCCTTAATTATGTTACGATGTAACAGTGAGTGTACAAGGTGTTTCTAAGGGGTGACAAATGGCTTTTGAAACTGTCATTGCAAAATTATGACTGAGATGGTGAAAGAGATCTGACCCAAAGAACTCTATTTTTTTTCAAGCCTGCAAGCTGTCCTTGTCTGTCCCTGGGTGTAGGCTGAACCAACTTTGGGAGGCACCTGGTTTACAGTTTAGACTCTAAAACAAAGATGATGTCAGCCCTTTCTTAAAATATACTTTCCTCTTGCCTGGGTACCAGACCAAGAAACTAGCCACAAGATTAAAATCCATGGCTTAGGAGTCACACAGCTGGAGGCTACAAGATTTTGACCATCCCTTAACAGCTCTCAAGATTAGTGCTTAAGATATTTTGTAAACCCTGCCCTTGATCAATCAGCTGGCAGCTCCCTGATTGACAAAGTGACTTATCTGATTTTGTGGCCCTCACCCAGAAACTGACTTAGCATAAGAAGTCAGCAAACATTGTAAAATGGTGGAGACTAAAACAAATTATTGCCATATGGTTACAGGTCATGTTCCCAAGGACAAGAAGCAAGATGGAGGCCTTTAGCCAAGTTTGTTACTGATCATTTTGTTGGGCTGGCTTGAACAGCAGGCTTAGGGGGTCCTGGGCCTGCATCCTAACCTAAAGTAACTTTTCTTTTGACGGAACCATACAGAAAGACACACAAAGCACACCAGATTGTCTACAATTTAAGGCCAACCTCACAAATCCTTTCTCATTAATTAAAGCTTTTCAGAGAATATAAACAGTGATCCTTATTATTTCTTTTGCCAGTTTGCACAGGGATAGAGAAGCCAAAAACCCAACTAGTAAAAAAAACTTTTACCCTTTTGCCGGCATGTCAGGCTTCTGGGTTTTCTTTCTCCCCCAGCTCAACTCTAAGCCAAGCATTTTAAGGTTTGTGGAAATTAACTTCTCCCAGGTTGAATGAACATCATAAAAGGGCCATTGAAAACAGTGAAAAAAGGAAAAACACCATAGAAGAGTCTGGGGCTTCCAATTAGGGTTTCAAGAGGTATTGCCTCTCTTCTTGCTGGGAATGGTGTTTCCCCTATTTCTTCACTTTCTCTATCTTCTCTTTTCCCATTTGGCCTACTATAGGAGACCTATTGCTCACCTCAGAAATCCTCTGATGCTTGCAGAGCTGTCTGTTTTAGCCGCAGTTAGGGTTTGGCTTAGGAGCAACATAACATCCCTCCATGAGAGGTCAAATACCTGAGTTAAATTCTGGAAAACTTCTATATGCCCATCAGGGTCATTAGAAAATTGGCCTAAGTCTCCCTTTAATTGCCTGAGGTCCTGCAATGAGAAGGGTACTTGAATCCTAGTGGCATCACCTCAATTATGTATTTTCTGTAGGGGTAAGTGAGAAGGTGATGGAATGGAAAATTTTGGACATGGTGGAGGTAGAAGAACTGGTGGTGTGGTTGGAGGTGGCCCCGGTTAAGGAGGACTGGAAGGGCTGGTACACCCAATAGCTGCCTCGGATGGTTCCCCTGGAAGTTGCTTTTCTCATTTTGGGGAATTATTCTCTTTTGGCCTGCCTGATATGATTGCTAAAAGAGCTGGATTCATTTTGCAGTGCTTGCAAGGATCTAGTAAAAAGGCCATGCCCTTGTGCAAAAGAAAATGAGCTGCTTTTTCTTTAAAGTCTCAGGTTAAGAGGAGTCCCTGTACTTCAGAATGCACTCCAGGGGAGTACAGGCTGAATATGGTCCCATCTAGAAAGAGAAATGACAAAAAGGCTTCCCTTTAGTCTCCTTCCTTTTCGTGTGACACAGAGTGGAGAGGAAGACAGTGGGAGCATTCCCCTTGCTGTATTCCCTCCATGGTTCCTGGGTCCCGGCACCTTGTTGAATATGCCACCCATGGTTGCAGGCATGACTGCCAGCCATGGAAACAGAGGCATTTAGAGATTGGGGTTTGTCACACTCACCCAAGTGGCTCTAGTCCTCTGTCCTCTGCCTGTGATTTCCCTTTGACTTCCTAGACTTATGTGGCCTGTCTGGCTTCCGGAAAAATAGATCTCAAAAAAACAAAACAAAACAAAACAAAACACTACATAATAGTTGGGCAAGGCCTCTTTAATGGAGGGGCTAGACTGAAATCTATACCTGATATTATGGGCTGTACTAAAGCATTTACCCTTAGATAATGGTTCTGGTTAACTTCCAGACTTAAAATCCCCTTACTAATTAAGTACCATTCTAATTGGAGGCAGAATAGGTGCCTTAAAAATGTAGGGACTAAATGGCCATTTTCCTGCTGATGGGACAGTATCAAGAACTAACATTCGGTTCCAGGGGACATTTTAATCCTAATTGTTGAAGGTAGAGTTTTCCTGTTAACAGAAGCAACATAAAGCATGGTGTCTAGTAGAGGGATGCAAAAAGGGAGAGAATTGGTTAGCTAGGGTGTTTTGGTAAAGGACCAATGATGTGCCTCATGGAAAAGATCCCTATTACACTAGGTGGGGCTGCTGGCCTTGAAATGTCATGTGCTTTTCAGACCAAGGGCAGAGAGAGATGCTCCCTATGGTGAGGGTGACCCTCTGTTCCTTGAAAATCACAAAGATGCCCTCCCTTGAGCTATATCCCTGGTTACTATGACATTCCCTCATCTTACCAAACAAGATTACCTCCCTGAACTATAAAATTTCCCATACATTGCATACACAGAGAGGATGAAATAGATATGACGATCGAAGACAGGAAGGGAGGAAATTATGATAAAAGGTTGGAGATTCTGTTACCGACATCTCATCAGGGTAGTCAGAGGCTGGGGTCAGTCCAAATACCTTTGGATAACAATGGTGGTAACCCTGGCCGGAAATCCTCAGGTGCACCAGGACTTCTTCCAGCCCCACATGACAGCTAAGTCCTCCATGAAAGGAAGCTGGTTCAAACAGGGCCAGTATGCCCAGTGACCCATGGGTACTGGGGGATGCTCCATGTTCTCCCTAGCAATCCTGTCCCTCAAGTCTTGTAAGGCTGGCAGCCATGCTAATCATTTTTAAATGGCTGAAAGGGGCCCCATATTTGGTTTGATCTGGTTCTAAAATGGAAGCCAAGGGCCTCAGAATAAAAGGACAGAGTTGGAGTCTGCTCCTCTACTCACCATCTCGATGAATGTTGTATGTTGTTATCCCGGACGAGCCCCCATTATAAAGCAGCTATGTCTGGGGTGTAAACCCAGGGTTTGTCGTCACGCATCAGGAAAGTTTAGGACACAGACACACATGAGAAGTTTACGAGCAAAGGTTTAATAGGCAGAAGAGAAGAGAAAGAGAAACAGCTTTCTCTATAGAGATACAGGTCTCTGAGTGGAAAGGACTGGCTGGCTGCAAATGCACCAAAATATATAGCCCAGTTTGAAGGGGCAATGTCTGATTTATATAGGGCTCATAGATTGGTTTGATCAGGTATGATGTTTACATAGAGTGCAGAGAAGGCTGGTCACCCCACCTTAATCTTATTATGCAAATAGGCTTTCCGGTTGATTGGCACCATCTTGTCTGCTCTTTACAGTATACATGGCTGGCAGAGAAGGGAAGAATGGAGCTGCCATCTTGAAAATGTCTAGTCCTTAGTTCCTGCCAACATTCACCTGTGCAATCTCCCAGCTCGCTTGTCTACATCTGCAGCTCAACTTTCCAGGCTGCTATTTGTTAGTAAATGATTTGGGGCTGCTTTTCATGAAATAAAAAGCGTGACTGAGGATTCTCAAACCCTTGCTATCTCCCTAAGTGATTTCTTTTTAACTTCTATATCAAAGAGACTGGAGATTTTTTTATGAGAACTGCATATTGCCTCTTTGGTTTGGTTTGTTTTAAAGGCAGGTTATCTGTGGAAACCTTATTTATATATTAATTTGTTTCTCTTACTGGAGCTGAAAAACTTTTTAAGGAGGGATACTGTACTATTCAAATACCTTTCTAAAGTCCCCTAACTCCCAGCTTTAAACACAGCTGGTTTACCAAAAAAAAAAAAAAAAAAAAAAGGTAACTACTATAGAATTCAGAAATTTTATTAATGATGACTGTAATTTAAAAATCAAAGTTCTCGATGGATTTTTCTATAGGATTTCTAATTATAATGAAATTTAAGTGGAATAATCATAATGCTTTTACTGAGTTGCCATTTGTTGTATATTTATAAAACATACGTTTCAGAGGATTTAATCTTGATTTGTATTTTTTTCCTTTCTGCACATTGAGTTGTGGTTCAGTAGATGGAAGATCTAAAACATAACAATTACATATTTAAACTGATTTAAACTAGAGCCTAAAAAATAGGATAAAACAAGAATGGGATGTACCTCATTTTATAATATATATAAATTCAGAAACATTTATAAACATATTATATAAATAAAATATTATTTTAAAAATGGCTTCTTTTCAGATCTTAGGAATGAGTAATTCAGTTAAGGCAGTAATGTGGAAATTTTGAAATATGGAAATATTATTCAATTTTAAGGACAAATATGGTGTATTAGTCTGATCTCATGCTGGTAATAAAGACATATCCAAGACTGGGTAATTTATAAGGAGAAAGGTTTAATGAACTCACAAATCCACATGGCTGGGGAGGCCTCAGAATCATGGCGGAAAGCAGAGGAGGAGCAAAGTCATGTCTTACATGGCAGCAGGCAAGAGAGAGAGCATGTGCAGGGGAACTCCCCTTTATAAAACCATCAGCTCTCATAAGATTTATTCACTACCACAAGAATAGCATGGGAAAGACCCACCCTCATGATTCAATTACCTCCCACTGGGTCCCTCCTGTGACACATGGGAATTATGGGAGCTATAATTCAAGATCTGGGTAGAGACACAGCCAAACTGTGTCATTCTACCTCTTACCCCTCCCAAGTCTCATGTCCCTTTCACATTTCAAAACACAGTCATACCTTCCCAGCAGTCCCCAAAAGGCTTAACTCATTTCAGCATTAACTAAAAGGCCCACAGTCCAAAGTCTCATCTGAGACAAGGCATGTTCCTTCCTCCCATGAGCCTGTAAAATCAAAAGCAAGTTACTTACTTCCTAGACAGAGTGGGGTACAGGCATTGGGTATATATACCCATTCAAAATGGAAGAAATTGGCCAAAACAAAGGGGCTACAGGCTCCATGCAAGTCCAAAATCCAATAGAACAGTCATTGAAGTTCCAAAATGATCTCTCTTGACTCCATGTCTCACATCCAAGTCATGCTGATGCAAGAGGTGGGTTCCTATGTCTTGGGGCAACTCTGCCCCTGTGACTTTGCAGTGTAGAGCTCCAGCTCTTGTCATGAGCTCGCATTGAGTATCTGTGGCTTTTCCAGGCACACAGTGCAAGCCGTAGGTGTATCTACCATTCTGGATTTCTGGAGGACAGTGGCCTTCTTACAATTCCACTAGGCAGTGCCCCAGTGGGGACTCTGTGTGGGGCCTCCAATCCCACATTTCCCTTCCATAGTGCCATAGCAAAGGTTCTCCATGAGGGCCCTGACCCCATAGCAAACTTCTGCCTGGACAGTCAGGCATTTCCATACATCCTTTAAAATGTATATGGAAGTTTCCAAACCTCAGTTCTTGACTTCTGTGTACCCACAGTCCCAACACCATGTGTAAGTTGCCAAGGATCGGGGCTGCAGATGAAACAGCTGGGATGCAAGGCACCATGTCCTGAGTCTGCCTACAGCAAGTGGGCCCTGGGGTCTGCCCATTAAACCATTTTTTTCCTCCTAAGCCTCCAAGCCTGTGATGGAAAGGACTGCCATGATGGTCTCTGACATGCCCTGGAGACATTTTCCCCACTGTCTTGGTGATTAGTATTTGGCTTCTTGTTACTTATGCAAACTTCTTCAGATGGCTTGAATTTCTCCCCAGAAAATTGGTTTTTCTTTCCTACTGCATCATCAGGCTGAAAATTTTCCAAACTTTTATGCCCTGTCACCTCTTGAATACTTTGCTGCTTAGAAATTTCTTCCACCAGATACCCCAAATTATCTCTCTCAATTTGAAAGTTCCACAGATCTCTAAAGCAGGGACAAAATGCCCAGTCTTTTTGCATAGAAAGAGTGACCTAGTTATCCCAACAAGTTCCTCATCTACATCTGACATCACCTGAATGGGACTTCGTTGTCCATATCATGATCAGCATTTTGGTCAAAGCCATTCAACAAGTCTTTAGGAAGTTCCAAACTTTCCCACATCTTTCTGTCCTCTTCTGAGCCATCCAAACTGTTCCATTGTCTCCCAGTTACCCACTTCCAAAGTTGCTTCCACGTTTTGGGGTATCTTTACAGAAGTATCTCACTCAACCAGTAACAGTTTACTGTATTTGTCTGTTCTCACACTGCTATTAAAGACATACCCAAGACTGGTTAATTTATAAAGGAAAGAGGTTTAATGGATTCACAGTTGCACGTGGGTGGGGAGACCTCAAAATCATAGCAGAAGGCAAAAGAGGAGCAAAGTCATGTCTTATGTGTTGGCAGGCAAGAGAGAGGGCATAGGCAAGGAAACTCCCCTTTACAACACCATCAGATCTTGTGAGACTTATTCACGGTCATGAGAAGCATGGGAAAGACCCACCCTCATAATTCAGTTACCTCCCACTGGCTCCTTCCCATGACACGTGGGAATTATTTGGGCTACAATTTGAGATTTGGGTGGGAACACAGCCAAACCTTGTCATATGGAAATACAAAATAATTAATAATAATAAACATGACATCAGCTGTTTGATCTTGAATTCAATGAAATTATTGAAATTATTAGCTATTTATAGGCTGACATATTTATTAATAT
Organism: Homo sapiens; assembly: GCF_000001405.40. Taxonomy (NCBI): domain Eukaryota; kingdom Metazoa; phylum Chordata; class Mammalia; order Primates; family Hominidae; genus Homo; species Homo sapiens. The sequence continues at coordinate 210,644 of NW_019805495.1, forward strand.
AATAAATAAATTGTAGTCTCCACACAATTTTACAAGGGGCTGAATGAGAGGTGAATTTCATTCTATCAATTCTTTTTTTTTTTTTTTTGAGACGGAGTCTCACTCTTTCGCCCAGGCCGGACTGCAGTGGCGCTATCTCGGCTCACTGCAAGCTCCACCTCCTGGGTTCACGCCATTCTCCTTCCTCAGCCTCCCGAGTAGCTGGGACTACAGGCACCCGCCACCGCGCCTGGCTAATTTTTTTCTTTTGTATTTTTAGTAGAGATGGGGTTTCACCATGTTAGCCAGGATGGTCTCGATCTCTTGACCTCGTGATCTACCCGCCTCAGCCTCCCAAAGTGCTGGGATTACAGGCATGATATTTTTCTTTTTATCATTTATTTATTTATTTACTTATTTTGATTCAGAGTGTCACTCTGTTGTTCAGGCTGGAGTGCAGTGGCAGAATCTTAGCTCATGGCAACCTCCACCTCCTGGGTTCAAGCAATTCTCCTTCCTCAGCCTCCCGCATAGCTGGGATTACAGATGCTATCACATCCAGCTAATTTTGTATTTTTAGTAGAGACGGGGTTTCCCTGTGTTGACCAGGCTGGTCTCAAAGTCCTGAGCTCAAGTGATCTGCCCACCTTGGCATCCAAAAGTGCTGGAATTATAGGTGTGAGCCAACGTGCCCAGCATTCCATCAATTCTGATTTGTATTTTGTATAGAAAATGACAAATTTCCAAGAACTCCAAAGCCTCAAACAGTTTTATATAAGTACTCATTATGCCACTGGATTCTTTCTTAAGTAGGATATGATTTGTATTCAAAATTTTTAAATAATTAGTTTGTAATTTTCACAGAACAATAAAGATTTTTTTTTTCCATTTTGTGTTTCACAAAACCCAAGAGTCTCCCATAGGAAATTGGAGTATTGAAGCTGAAGCTAGCAAGAGCAAAACAAATGGCCACTATTTAAATGAGAACTAGAAAAGTCTAAAAGAGAACTGAGTTCACATGATTTTCATCCTTTGTTACTACAGTCTCCATTTATACTTGAACTCAGTTTCATCTTTTTGAAGAGTTACTGCTTTTCTTCTAGTGAAGAGAAAATAAATACGTTTTTGATTGCTTGCTATTCCATATAACTGAAACCAAACTAACTTGTTTTTTAAGTTTTCAGATTCTTTTGATATATTATAGTTTAATATCATTATTTTATCGCAGAAGATGTTTATCTTTTGCCATCTGCCAAGTAACTTTCTACAGTTATTAAATCCATGAAGTTCATCTCTTGTTGATCATCATAGTTGAAGAAATCAAGGTGACAGTTTTTTTTTTTTTTTTTGAGGCCTATTATGGTTAAGCATGGTAACATTTTTAGAGAAATTGTTTAAAATCATTATGATAGTCTCAAACTTTTAAAGTCTCAAATCCATTAAAAATTAAAGTTTTTAAGAGGATTCCTTTAGAAAGAAAATGAGATGGAGTTAACAGTCTTATTTCTAATAATTTTTTTTTTAATTTGAAGCTTACGCTGAAAAATACATGTCACTTAATGTCCTTCCCCTGGCTATATAAATCCTACTAAGGGACCAAAGAAAATGCCACCTTCATTTAGGCTTTCCCGGACTTCTCTAATATATAGTGTTATTGCCTTTTACCGTAATTCCTGTCATTTATTGAGGGTCAGTGTTGTGTCCTTCTTGACCTATATTAACTATTTAATTTCACAGCAATTCTATAAGATAGGTTTTGCAATTTTTTTCCACAGGCAGTACACTGAGTCTTAAAGTGATTTGTGTAAAGTTACACAAATAGTATGTGCAGAAAGAGAATTGACCCCAATCCAATAAGACTTTAAAGTCTAGACACTTCCCCATCACACTTAGTTGTTTGTACCTCTCCTTTGTCAGTAAATCATGTTTCCCTTAAAACATTCTATTTACTTAAGATTTCCCGATAGGATAACAAATTATTGAAGCCACATGTCTTGTCATGATATAAGTCAAATGGTTTTGTGGGAAACACAATGGACCAGGGTCAGAAGACCTCCTACCAAGTTCTTGCTCAGTAATAACTTTAAAGAAATTCAGAAATTTCAAGTTTAAAATGAGGAAAGAATTGTATTCCAGGGTTGTTGTTTAAATGTAAATATAAGGAAGGCTTTTTATAAGGTTAATTCAGTGTATGTTATTCTTATATGGAACTATACCAATTTTGGGTCCTATTCACAAAAAAGCTGACTAATACATATTGTTAGAATGAATGAATAATATGAGAGTTAGAGAAATACACAAAATGTACAATTTTTATTCACTTTTCTCCTATTGCCATAATCTCTTCAATGCATATTTGCAATTTCAGTTTATTTATTCATGTGCTCTACCTAATATTTATGCATTGCTTGCTCTTCACATTTTTGTTTCTGTTAAGACCTTCTTTTTCCTTTATTTCATGCTTCTTTTCTCTCTCTTCCCTACCTCATAGCCTTCTTTGTTGGCAATCAAACAGCCAAAAATTGCATGCTGTCTATTTCATGCCTAGCAAAAGATGCTTCTATTCTTGTCTAAGACTTGGCTGGCTCATGTCAAAATTCTCATACCATCTCCTCTCCAGTCTTTCATATTGAAATCTCAAGCATTTCTCCAGAAATTCCCTGTGTACCCAAACCACTTCATTAAAGGCTTATTCATTTTCTTCATTAAATACATGTATCTATTTCTCTATAATAAGACTAGTGTTTAGTTTTGTTTCCTCCCACCCCACCTTCCATCCTCATGGAAATATTAAGTAATATTTAATAAAGACTGAAAATTTACTGCAAAGAAAGAGCTGTGATTTCAGCTCTATAGGCAATCTGCTGAGAGCCTCATAGTACTAAAAGCAGATTATCTGATAATGCTTGCCATACTGATCATTTCATCTACCGAGGTAGATGAAAGGTAGATAAAATAAACAGGTAAAAAATATTTACTCAGGAATTATTTCATATTAATCGAGAAAAAATATGCTCATATAAATATAGAAAGGTGATGAAAATCTTGGAAACATATGGCTGACATTATAAAAGAAAGAAAGGGAAGGAGACTGGTTGCAGGTAGATTTCTCACCAGCTTTTTTAATGTGTGTGTTTTTCTTACATTTATTTATTACTCTAAATTTCTCTTTTGAAATTTGCTAATTATTCATTTTTCTACTAGCATTGCCATTTTTTATTAATTATTAATATAATATTCATATCTAACTTAAAGACTTAAGCTCTTTTATGGTATGTCTATTTAAAATTTTCCCAATTTAAAAAATTGTATTGTTTATTTTCTTGTTGTTGAGTACTAAGATTACTTTCTATATTCTGGATACAAGTCAGATCTGTGATTACCTGATACTTCCTCCCAGTTTGTCATTTTTAAGAGAGGAAAATGTTACATTTTAATCTATTTATTCACTTTGCACTCATGACCCCTTTTATTACATTTATATTTAGAGTCCTTCTCAGTTAAATATTTATACAAAATTTTTCCTCACATTTTATATTTTATTTACAATTTCCATAGTATTTCTTATCCTATAACTGACATCTAAATTTATATACAACAAAATTCACTTTTTGAAAAAATTCTCTCTTTATTGCTTTTGACAAATATACACATTTTTATCATCAAAACTAGGTACAGAAAAGTTTCATCAACCGCCTCCCCCCGCCAAATTGCCTAAAAGTAATTTGTGCCATTCTCTTTTATGTGCTGCAATTGCTGATCTGATTTTTATTCTTATAGTTTTTTCTTTTCCAGAAAGCCCTAAATGGAATCATACAGTATGAAACCTTTTTAGTCTAATTTCTTTCTCTTAGCATAATACATTTGGAATTTATCCAAGCCATTGCATGAACAACTAGTTTGTTTCTCTTTATTGATGATGAGTATTCCATTGTACTGATGAACTACACTTGGTTAATTCATTCATGTTGGAAAAGACAGTCTCATGAGTACAGTCTTTCTCCTACTTAGCCACCTAATGGATTTTGGGCCTGGAATACTTTCTTCCCAAGATAAAGAGTGCACACCACCTGTGCAGGGCCTATTGCCTTGTGTGAGAATATCTTTCTCCATTGCCAGCCTAGTATATGTCCCTTTGTTCTGTTTAAGCAAGTGTATCACTTGGCACTTGGCCAACTCCACTGTGGGGAGGGAATAGGGACCTTCTGCGGCACTCAAGGAGTGTGCATGGGCAATTACCCTGCATTCATTGCTAGGAGAGACCCCCTGGCCATGGGGTATTGAAAAATACTCTCAGAATGAATTTTTCTCTGTTTCCTCTCTATGTAAATAAAGAGTTGTTCCATCCAGTGCTTGACGGTGTTGTGATTCCCATGATAACTGCAATACCAAAATGCAATGGGCAGAAATATTTGGAGTCCTCTCCAGGGATTGGCAACTGGTGCATGGTGTCCTGCTTAATAATTCACCTATCGAAGAACATCTGTGCTTTTTTGCTTTTTCCAAATTTGGCAATTTTATATACCTGGAGTAAATAAACTTTGTGTAGATTTTCTGTGAACATAAATTGCTATTTCTCTTGGATGATTACAATAAGATTGCTGAGTCATTTGGTATATTTTACTTTCCTTCTCTTTCTTTCCTTCTTTCTTTCTTTCTTCTTCTTTTTTTTTTCTTCCACAGAGTCTCTCTGTCACCTAGGCTAAAGTGCAGCATCAGCATATTGGCTCATTGCAATCTCTGCTTCCAGGGCTTAAGTGATCCTCTTACCTCAGCCTCCCAAGTTCCAAGTAGCTGAGACTACAGGCATGTGCCACTATGCCCAGCTAATTTTCATATTTTTTTTGTAGAAACAGGGTTTTGCCATGTTGCCCAGGCTGATCTCAAATTCCTGTGCCCAAGCCATACATCCATACATCTGCTTTGGCCTCCCAAAGTGCTGGAATTACAGTGATGAGCCACTGGCCCAGGCTGATATGTTATATTTCTTAATGATAAACTGCCTTAATAATAAACTGCTTAATGAAAAAGATAAATATTTCTCTTCCCCAAATATCTATACCATTTCGTATTCTCACCAGTAATGTATGAGAGTTGCCCTTGCTTCACATCTTTGCCAGCATTTAGTTTCCTTTTTTTCACTTTAGCCTTTCTAATACTTGTGTGAAATTATCTAATTGTTTTTAATTTGCATTCTTCTAATGTCTAATGATGGAAATATTTTCATGTGCTAATTTACCAGGGTAATTAGCATATTATTCACCTCAAACACTTGTCAAAATCATCTCTTCTTGCTACTTTGAAGTATGTAATACCTTATTCTTGGCTATAGTCACACTACTGTGCAATAAAACACCAGAACTCATTCCTCCTATCTAACTGTAATTTTGTTCCATTTGACTGACCTCTCCGCTCCCCTCTTCCCTGCTACTGTTTCCAGCATCTGGTAACCACTATCCTACTCTCTACTTCAATGAGCTCAACTTATTAAGATTCCAATTATGATTGCTATCATGCATTATTAGGCCTTAGGTGCTTGGCTTCTTTAACTTAACATAATGTCTTCCAGTTTCATCCATGCTATCACAAATAACACAATTTCATTCTTTTTTTATGGATGAATAGTATTCCATTGTGTTTGTATACCACATTTTTTATCTGTGTTTAGGGAATCCCAAATCATGCCCATCTATGTTGGTGAACTTAATCAATAAACATTTGTGTTCTGACTGCTCCACCAATGGGCCACTCTCCCTTTTGTGTCCTGCTCCTTGGGGCTTCCCTGTTGTCAGAGACAGAACAATATTGAAGTTAGGCCAATTAATCATCTACAATGGCTTCTAAATTTTCAACTGGAAGAAAGAGTCACATGCCTCTTACTTTAAATGAAAGCTAGAAATGATTAAGCTTAATGAGGAAGGTGTGTCAAAAGCCCAGATACACTAACCAGCCTAGGCCTCTTGTGCCACTTAGTCAAGTTGTGAATGCAAATAAAAAATTTTTGAAGAAAATTTTAAAAATGCTACTCCAGTGAACACATAAATTATAAGAATCTGATACAGCCTTATTGCAGATACAGAGAAAGTTTTAGTGGTCTGGATCAAACCAGCCACCACATTCACTTAAGCCAAAGTCTAATTAATAGCAAGGCCTTGAATCTTTTCAACTGGCTCAAGGCTGAGAATGGTGAGAAAGCTTCAGAAGGAAAGATTGCAGCTAACAGAGTTTGGTTAATGGAGTGTAAGGAAAGTAGCCATCTCTATAACCTAAAAGTGCAAGGTAAAGTAGCAAGTACTATTGCAGAGGTTGCAGCAAGTCATCCAGATATAAGATAATTGATAAAGGTGGTTACACTAAACAATACAGTTTCAACGTAGACAAAGCAGACTTATATTGGAAGAAGATGCTATCTAAGACTTTCATGCTAGAGAGGAGAGGTGAATTCCTGCTTCAAGGCTTCAAAGGACAGGCTGACTCTCTGTTAGAGATAATGCAGCTGGTGACCTTAAGTTGAAGCCAGTGTTCTTTTATTGTTCCAAAAACCCCAAGGCCCTTAAGAGCTATGCTAAATGTACTCTGCCTGTGCTCAAAAATGGAATAGCAAAGCCTGGATGACAGCATATCTGTTTATAGAATGCTTTACTGAATATTTTAAGCCCACTGTTAAGAACTACTCTTAAGAAGAAAAGCTTCCTTTCAAAATATTACTGCTTTATGACAATGCACCCAAAAGCTCTGATGAAAAGTTACGAGGAGATTAATGTTGTTTTCATGCCTGCTAAGACAACATCTATCCTGAAGCTCATGGATCAGGGAGAAATTTTGGATTTCAATTCTTATTACTTCAGAAATATATTTCATAATGCTATAGCTGCCACAGATTGTGATTCTTCAGATTAATCTATGCAAAGTAAATTGAAAATCTCTTGGAAAGGATTCAACATTTTAATTACTATTAAAAATATTAGTGATTCATGGGAGTGGGTCAGAATATCAATATTAACAGGAATTTGGAAAAAGTTGATTCCAAGCCTTATGGATGATTTTGAGGGGTTCAAGACTTCAAGTAGAGGAAGTAACTACAGATGTAGTAGAAGAGTAAGAGAACCAGAGTTAGAAGGTGAGCCTGACAATGTGAATTTATACAATCTCATGGTAAAACTTGAGTGGATGAGAAGTTGCTTCTAATAGATAAGCAAAGAATGTGCTTTTTTGAAATGGAATCTGCTACAGCAAAGATGCTGTAAGCCTTGATGAAATGACAATGATTTAGACAATTACCTAAATCTAGTTGATAAAGCAGCAGCAGGGTTTTAGGGTATTGACTCCAATTTTAAAAGCAGTTCTACTGTGGGTACAATGTTATCCAACAGCATTATATGCTACCAAGAAATCTTTCATGAAAAAAAAAAACAGTCAATTCATGTGGCAAACTTCATTGTTATTTTAAGAAATTGCCACAGCCACCCAAACATTCAGCAGCCACCGCCCTGATCAATCAGTAGCCATCAGTATCAAGACAAGATCCTCTATCAGCAAAAATATTATGCCTTGCTGAAGGCACAGATATTCATTAGCATGTTTTAGCAAAAATGTATTTTAAAATTAAAGTATGTCCATTTTTTATACCTAATGTTATAGCACACTTCATAAACTACAGTGTGGTATTATAACTTTTATATGCACTGGAAAAGCAAAAAATTGTGTGAATCACTTTACTCTGATATTTGCTTTATTGTAATGGTCTGAAATCAAAACAGCAATATCTCCCATGTATGCCTATATATTCTTAATATTAACCCCTTTTCAGGTGCATAGTTTGCAAATATATTCTCCCATTCTGCAGTTTGTCTCTTCACTCTTGATTTTTTCCTTTGCTGTGCAGAAGCTTTTTAGTTTGATATAATTCTCTTATTTGTTTACTTTTTCTTTTGTTGCTTCTGCTTTTCAGGTTTTATTGAAAAAACTTTTGTTCAGAGCCATGTCATAAAGCATTTTTTCCTGTGTTTTCTTCTAGTATCTCATAGTTTCAGGTCTTACATTTAAGTCTTTAATCCAATTTGAGTTGATTTTTGTAAGTGGTAAGAGATACCGTTATAGTGTCATTCTTCAACATGTGAGTATCCAGTTTTATCATCACCCTTTATTAAGGAGACTGTCCCTTCCCCAATGTGTGTTCTGATACTTTGTCAAAAAGCAGTTGGCTGGAAATGCATGGATTTATTTCTGGGTTCTCTATTCTGTTCCATTGATCTATATGTCTGTTTTTTATGCAAATACCATGCAAGCATGAATTTAAAAGGATTCCTTGTACTTCCTTTTTTTTAAAATCATCTCAGAAAGATTGGTATTATTTCTTCTTTAAAAGCTTGATAGAATTATTTGGCAGTGAATATATCTAGTGCTGAACTTTCCTTTCTGAATCAATATCATTACTCATTATTGGTCTGTTCAGGTGTTCAGTTTTTCTGTGGCTTCATTATTCAATCTTGGTAGGTTGTACATATCCATAAATTTATCCATTTCTTCTAGGTTTTCTAATTTGTTAGGGGTATAGTTGTTTATAAGAGTCTGTAATGATCCTTTGTATTTCTGTGGTATATTTATTTTTAGTCTATATTCTGTTTATGCTCTGATCTTTATTATTTCTTCATTCTGTTACTAGTTTGGGGTTTATTTTGTTCTCATTTTTCTAGGTTTTAGAAATGCAACTTTTGCTTATTTCTTTGGAATCTTTCTACATTTTTGATATAAGTGTTTTTGCTATAAACTTTCCTATTATAACTTCTTTTTCAGCATCCCATAGGATTTGGTATGTTGGGTTTCCATTTTCATTTGTATCAATATTCTTCAAAAATGTTTCTTCACAATTTCTTCATTACTCATTAGTTGCCCAGGAGCATGTTGTTTAATTTTCATTTATTTGTACATTTTCCAAGGTTCCTCATGTTATTGATTCCTAGTTTTATTATATTTTGGTTAGAAAAGTTATCTGATATAATTTTAACATTTTTAAATGTGATAAGACTATTTTTTTTTACTTCACATATGGTCTATCCTAGAGAATGTTCCATGTGCAGATGAGAAAAATACATATTCTGAGGCTGTTACATGAATATTTCTGTAAACATTTATTAGGTTTATTTGGTCTACAGTGTGGCTTAACTCTGTAAAGAAACTGATGTTTCACTATATCTGGATGATCTGTCTATTGCCAAAAGTGGGGTGTTGAAACCCACCACTATTATTGTACTGCAGTGCAATCTCTTTCTTTAAGTCTATTAATGTTTTCTTTATATATTTAGGCACTCCTATGTTGAGTGCATGTATATTTATACTTGTTATATCCTGTTGCTCTATTGACCCTTTTATCATTGTGAATGTCTTTATCTTTTTACAGTTTTTGGCTTAAGCTCTATTTTGCCTAATGTAAGTATAGCTACTCCTGCTTTATTTTAGTTTCCATTTGTGTGGAATATCTTTTTCATTCCTTACTTCACTTTCAGTCTTCATGTGTCTTTATAGATGAAATGAGTTTCTTGTATGCAGCATACAGTTGGGTCTTTTTTATTTTTAATTCATTCAGCCTTTCTGTTTTATTTTGATTGAAGAATTTCATTTACATTTAAGGTAAATGATAGGTAAGGGGTTACTACTGTCATTTTGTTACTTGTTTTCCAGTTGATTTGTTGATCCTTTTTTCATTTCTTCTTTTACATTTTTTCTTTGTGATTAAGTGATTTTTTCTAGTAATATGCTTTGATTCCTTGTTTTTTATTCAATACCTCACAATTGCTGTGTTTTCCCTCTCTAAATTCCCAGAGATGCTCTCTGTCACTGCCAGGGTGAGGAAGGGGTGGTGTCAGTGATTCAGGTCTGTTTATTAAAATCTCTTATTCTAGTTTCTATTTGTGTGAAATATATTTTTCATCCCTTCCTTGCAGTGGGAGAGGGAAGATCTTTGTAGCTTCCTATCTGCCATCTTCTTCTGCCTCCCTCACAATTTATATATTTTTAAATATTGCCTATCTCTTAATAATAATAGCTAATATATAAAAATATAAAGGTCTTGAAGGAGAAATAATTGCAACCTCACCTTAAATTATCATGAATTTATCTTTTAGAAGGCTCACTTTAATAAAATGTAACATTTAAATGATTACTAATTTGCATCACTTCTTTGTATTATAATTTTTAGATGATTGAATTTATCTTATTACATTGTGTTAGTGCCTTGTTTCCTACATCTTAATATGCTTCTTCCTTGGTGATTAATTTTATATTTCATTACTCTGTGCATTTATGATAATATGATATCTTCTGAAACATGTAGCTTTCATTAGTCTCACAAAAATTTCCAGGAATACCTTAACAATGCTTAATAATGTTAATTTGTTCCTCTCTGTCCATCTCATTTTGTTTCTCACTAAAAATGTAGGTTTTTCTATTAGTTGAAAGATAGTTAGATTTACAAGTTTCTGTGTGATATAATGGAAACAGTGCTTGATAAAATTCAGCAGCCTGTTTTTTTCCTAACATTTATTAATTTTGTGACCTTCAGTATGTTAATGAATTCTATTGAACTTTTTTTTTCATCTGTTTATAGGGTATAATTATTTCTATCCTGTTATCTCCTTTTTGTTATGGGATTACAAGATATTTAAGAGTCTAGTAAATAACTTTAATAAGTTATGTAGTTTGAAATTACAGCAATTTTTTCAACACCTATAAATTCCTTTTCAGTACACATAGTATTTTATATAACTCTGAAGAATGAAAATATCACATGAATAAAATCTTCCTTAATATGCTAGGGTCTTCCTTGCTAATGTGGATTTACCTGACTTAGATGGATTCTCTCCTTTCTTTCATTTCCATATACTAGAATTTGCATTCCATAAATATTCTTTTTACCTCCTATTCTTCATCCTAACTTTGCACTCAAGTCTGATTTATGCTCTATTGCTTCACTAAGACAATGCTTCACTAAGACAATGGTTCACTAACCACCATGTCTTGCTGCCTTCTTTCAGTCCTAGTTATCTTTATTTGCATTATGGCATTTAACACTATAGGGCACCTTTCCATTCTGGAATCATCGTCTTTCTTAGATGCATGTAGGTCTCCTCTATTTCCAGTGACCACTTTTCTTTCCTGCAGTAGGTTGAACAAGATTGCATATAAATACCTAAGCTTTGATATTAGAACTGATTTTAAGTTCTTATTTTGTGTCCCTTTAATAGTTATTTGACCTTGAGTAAGTTGTTTAATCTCTCTGCTGCAGTTTCTTCATCTGGGAAATGAGAATAATATTTCATTCCAGTCTCACTGGGTTGTTTTGAACATCATTGAGATTATGTGCATAAAAGCTTACCCAACTCTAACTCTCAATAATGTTAGATGTCATTGATATATTTTTTCAACATTTTTAAATTTTATTTTTAATTGACAATAATAATTGTACATATTCATGGAGTACGTAGTGGTGTTTTCAGTACATATAATGTATAGTGGTCACATCACACTAATTTAGCATATCCATCATCCAAATATTTAGCATTTCTTTGTATTAGGTGGGAGCATTCAATCTATTATTATTATTATTTTCAAACAACCTTTCTTCCCTTTAATCATTTATTTAATTCTGAGCAAAAGCTCTGGCGTAAGCTCTCTGTTCTTTCTCTTCACTCCGTTTCTTGGCTTTACCTCTCATTTTTACACGTACACCCACATCCCCCACTGCCCAGACCTCTCATGAGAGCTCCATTATTAGGTTAATTTTTGAGTCCAAAATGTCATTTTGTAGATTCCTTGTGGTAATCCATGTGTCCACAATGGAACACAACATTCCCTGTCAAACATCAGCTTCTACTGCCTGGCTATCCTATCTGTTAGTTGGTCTATCAGACTACAAACTATGAAATCATTCTTAACTCTTTTTTTTTTTTTATGTATTACTTAGCCCTAGACAAAATATGGTACCAAACACCATGATTTCTTTGTAGAAGTGGCTTTATGATTAACTCTTTCTTTGCTTTCTGTTGTCTGTGACCTATTTAAAGTTCTTGTCATTTCACAATTGGATTTTTTTCAGTAGCTTCTCAATGGATCTCTCTCACACACCATTTTTGCCTCCAGTCACCCTTATGAACCATTGCCAAAAAAATATTTTTAAATATTATTTTCATTCTATAACTTTCATGCTTGAGATATAAACTGTCTGCATTGCCTAGTGTATTACTAGGTTGCAACTCTGTCTGACTTGGGGACTTCTCTTTATTTTAGTGCTTTCTCCCATTGTTCACACATATGGGCCCTATGACTCAGAAAAATCTAATGACAACCAAAAACATAATTTATATCCTATCTGTCACTCCACTCCCTATAAAGCTCTGTCCCATATCTAGAATATCCTCTCATATAGTGAAGTATTTCTTCCTTTCTACCCTTTCTTTGTGGCCTAAAGTTCTAACCTCTCCCTAGAATTATTTCTTCCCTTATATTTTTTCTTACTTCTATTAGAAAGACAGGATGCTATCACTGTAAGTTATGGAAATTAAAATCAAGCAAAAAGAATCTACTGGTTTATGTAATTGTGAAAAAACAGGGATATAGTAGGGGCCACTAAAAAAATATAACCAGGGATTTTATACTGACAGATTCACCTCCTTACACCTATTAATTTCCCCTCTTTTTTGTAGAGGCATTCTTCTCTCTTTTCATTTCTTCATGAAGTTGGAACCATGGCTAATGACTGCTGTTGGCTCATATTTTTGAAGAGAATAAAAATATTTTTCAAGGAATAAAGTGATTCTCTATTAGCTTGAGTTTGAAAAACGTAAGCAAAAGGCCCGATGAGCAGTTTAGGTAACATCTCAGTCCTTTAAGCCAATAATTGAGGTTAGGGGGTTGAAGAGTTATAAATCTAAAATAAAATTGTACTTATACTTTATTAATATAAATTATTATAACACTTTTAAAAATTTATGCCTTACAATTTATTAAGTAAAGTGGATCATGTGCACACATCAAATAAACAGAGAAACAGGGATCTATTTCCAGGAAAAGGGATTATGAACAGTCATTGCACTGCTGGAGTTCTTGGAAACTGGACAGGTACCATTTTTGTGTCAATAATAACGAGTTTTTAATTAAACTTAAAGCACATCCATGATTATTTCCTTTTTCCATAGCTACCTACACAATTTCATGAGCGCATGACCCAGTGTAATCCTGAGTCCTTGAAATGTTTCTAAAACTGATTCATCCTTTCAGTGAAATAGGAATAGATAGGACTTCCATTTCCAGGATTTTTCTCAGCCAGAAGTGTCCCCTGGAGGCTTGGGCAGAATTACAGCTATCTTGAGATTAAAGGAAAAAAAGGAGCCACATTGGCTGCTTCCATCTGCTTCAGAGCAAAACTTGCTATTCCTATGTGTTAGGTAATCCCAAATGGTTTTTACATTTTAGTATCCCAAAGGTATGATTAAAGGATTCGTGCGGAAGGAAAACAGCAGACATTAGTGCAGCAGAGTTGAAAAAAGCCAATACTTTGGTACTATCCTGGGATTTCATCAGCAGCAAAATGAGGACAGGAGAATTAGACCATAAGTGATTTTATTAAAACACTAGGGGAATCCAATCAAGGTACTTTAGCCATTAAGATCCCTGATTACAGGGTTTATATCTGTTCTAATTTGCTTCGTGAGGTGCCTACGTAAGCAATAGAACAAGGACCATGTTTTTAAGAAGTACTAAGGTGTTGTTACTTTGGAAAAACTACTGAATACTCAGTGCATATCTAATGAGCAGTTTTCGTTTTAAATTTCTAGGAAGAATGCTTGGCAATAGTTGAATTAACATTTGCCAGGTATCTAACTGAGAATATAAGTTAGGAGCCATAGGTGTTAGTGAACCATGAAGAATAGATGGTTTTCATTCAGGAGTGTGTCATAGTTGTGACAAACACCAATCACAAAGAAGTTAGTAGCAAAATAAGAACTCATAAAAATGTGTGTAATTAATATTAAAAATACTACTCTAGCCTTATTTATATGTCAGGCTCTGATATAAGCACTTTCCATGCAAAATAGCATTTAATCCTCATAACCACCTTATGAAAATGTTATAGATGAGAAAACAAAGGCTTAGAGAGATTAGGTAACTTGCTCCAACATCCAAACTACAGATGTCAGAGCTAGGATTTGAAATCAGCTTTGATTAATTCAAGTGAAGTTCAAATTTCATCTAATTTCAGAGCCATTCTCATAAGAGTTCTTTATGATTGCCTACTGAGGAGAAGAAGAAATTATGAGACAGCTAAGACAGAAACTAAATTTTGTTGAGTGTTTATCCTGTGCCAGACTTTGGTCTGGTGATTGGCCTACTGTATCTGATATGATTAAAGAAACTGAAGCTCAGTGACATTTAAATAACTTGTCTAAGGTCATGTATCTAGGAAATTGTGGATACAGGAATCAAACTCAGTCTGTATATGGCAAAGGCCAATGCCCTTTCCAAGTATCATGATCTCTATGACAATACAATTAATTTCATCTAGCCTAAGGATTTGGGTACTTTTTGTGACTGCAAGTGTTGGTCAGCTGCAGAGGACTATATTAGTTAGCTTGAGATACTATAACAACAAACCCACAGACTCAGTGGTTCATAAACAACAGAAATGTATTTCCTTATAGTTTTAGAGGCTAGAAGTCCAAGATCAAGGTGTTAATAGGCTGTGTTCCTTCTGAGGATCTGTCTCCTTGGCTTGTAGATGCCATCTTCTCCTTGCATCTTCACATGATAATGTGCATGTCTATTCCTTAATCTCTTCTTATAAGGACCCCATTCAGCTAGATTAGGGACCACACATACGATTTTTTTTTGCCTTAGTTTCCTTCTTAAAGACCCTGTATACAAACACAGTCACATTCTGAGGTACTTGGGGTTAGGATTGCAACATAGGAATTTGCTATGCGACACAGTTTTGCCTATAACAAAAGCCAGCAGTGCTCTGACATGACACTAAGAAGTTAATATAAACTTCTTATGAAAAAAGACACAACAAAACATCCTAAAACTGAACAGCCCATATATTATATAGTCTTTGCTTTCATCACTTTCTTTCAAGTTACTGTCATTTCTCATCTGGACTCCTTACTACATTAGCCTCTAAACTAAGCTTCTTGCATTTTCTCATATTCAACCCCAAATGAAGTAACATTTTGCCAGTAATTTGTAGATTCATTGCTATTCCCATCAAGCTACCATTGACTTTATTCATAGAATTAGAAAAAAAACTACTTTAAATTTCATATGGAACCAAAAAAGAGCCCGTAGACCCAAGACAATCCTAAGCAAAAAGAACAACGCTGGAGGCATCACACTACCTGACTTCAAGCTGTACGACAAGGCTACAGTAACCAAAACAGCATGGTACTCATATCAAAACAGATATATAGACCAGTGGAACAGAACAGAGGCCTCAGAAATAACACCACAAATCTACAACCACCTGATCTTTGACAAACCTGACAAAAACAAGCAATGGGGAAAGGATTCCCTATTTAATAAATGGTGTTGGGAAAACTGGCTGGCCTTATGCAGAAAACTAAAACTGGATCCTTTCCTTACACCTTTTACAAAAATTAATTCATGATGGATTAAAGACTTAAACTAATACCTAAAACCATAAAAACTCTAGAAGAAAACCTAGGCAATACCATTCAGGACATATACATGGGCAAAGACTTCATGACTAAAGCACCAACAGCAATGGCAACAAAAGCCAAGATTGTATAGCATAATTCCAAAGATCATTATTTACTTTGTATTCCAGGGGAATGTCAAACTCTACCAAATTACATTAAAAAGTGGCTTTGCATATTGTCAATGCTTCATTTCATGGTAAACATCCAAAATCAGGCCTTTGTTCATTTTATGTGCTTTTATTTTTATGTATTTATTTTTTATTATACTCTAAATTCTGGGATACATGTGCAGAATGTGCAGGTTTGTTACATAGGTATACACATGCCATGGTAGTCTGCTGCAACCATCAACCTGTCATCTATATTAGGTATTTCTCCTAATGCTATCCATCCCTAGACCCCAATCCCCTGACAGGCCCCAGTGTGTGGTGTTCCCCTCCCTGTGTCTATGTGTTCTCATTGTTCAACTCCCATTTATGAGTGAGAACATGCAGTGTTTGGTTTTCTGTTCCTATGTTAGTTTGCTGAAAATGATGGTTTCCAGCTTCATCCATGTCCCTGCAAAGGACATGAACTCATCCTTTTTTATGGCTGCATAGTATTCCATGGTGTATAAGTGCCACATTTTCTTTATCCAGTCTATCACTGATGGACATTTGGATTGGTTCCAAGTCTTTGATATTGTGAATAGTGCTGCAACATATGTGTGCATGTGTCTCTATAGTAGGATGATTTATAATCCTTTGGGTATATACCCAGTAATGGGATTGCTGGATTAAATGGTATTTCTGGTTCTAGATCCTTGAGAAATCACCACACTGTCTTCCACAATGGTTGAACTAATTTACACTTCCATCAACAGTGTAAAAGTGTTCCTATTTCTCCACATCCTCTCTAGCTTCTGTTGTTTCCTGACTTTTTAATAATCACCATTCTAACTGGCCTGAGATGTATCTCATTGTGGTTTTGATTTGCATTACCCTAACGACCAGTGATTACGAGCTTTTTTCATATGTTTGTTGGCTGCATACAAGTCTTCTTTTGTGAAATGTCTGTTCATATCCTTCACCCACTTTTTCATGGGGTTGTTTTTTTTTTTGTAAATTTGTTTAAGTTCCCTGTAGATTCTGGATATTAGCCCTTTGTCAGATGGATAAATTGCAAAACTTTTCTCCCATTCTGTATGTTGCCTTTTCACTCTGATGCTAATTTCTTTTGCTGTGCAGAAGCTCTTTAGTTTGATTAGATCCCATTTGTCAATTTTGGCTTTGGTTGCCATTGCTTTTGGTGTTTTAGTCATGAAGTCTTTGCCCATGCGTATGTCCTGAATGGTATTGCCTAGGCTTTCTTCTAGAGTTTTTATGGTTTTAGGTATTAGTTTAAGTCTTTAATCCATCTTGAATTAATTTTTGTAAAATGTGTAAGGAAGGGATCCAGTTTTAGTTTTCTGCCTAAGGCTAGCCAGTTTTCCCAACACCATTTATTAAATAGGGAATCCTTTCCCCATTGCTTGTTTTTGTCAGGTTTGTCAAAGATCAGGTGGTTGTAGATTTGTGGTGTTATTTCTGAGGCCTCTG
Organism: Homo sapiens; assembly: GCF_000001405.40. Taxonomy (NCBI): domain Eukaryota; kingdom Metazoa; phylum Chordata; class Mammalia; order Primates; family Hominidae; genus Homo; species Homo sapiens. The sequence continues at coordinate 227,910 of NW_019805495.1, forward strand.
TTCTGTTCCATTGGTCTATATATATTTGTTTTGATATGAGTACTATGCTGTTTTGGTTACTGTAGCTTGATGGGGATAGCATTGAATCTACAAATTACTTTGGGCAGTATGGCCATTTTCACAGTATTGATTCTTCTTATTCATGAGCATGGAATGTTTTTCTATTTGTGTCCTCTCTTTATTTTTTTGAGCAGTGGTGTGTAGTTCTCCTTGAAGAGTTCCTTCACATCCCTTGTAAGCCTGGTTCAACATATGCAAATCAATAAATGTAATCCATCACATAAATAGAACCAATGACAAAAACCACATGACTATCTCAATAGATGCAGAAAAGGCCTTCGATAAAATTCACCACCCCTTTACGCTAAAAAATCTCAATAAACTAGGTATTGATGGAACGTATCTCAAAATAATGAGAGCTATTTATGACAAACCCACAGCCAATATCATACTGAGTGGTCAAAAACTGGCAGCATTCCCTTTGAAGTCCTGCACAAGACAAGGATGCCCTCTCTCACCATATTTAACATAGTATTGGAAGTTCTGGCCAGGGAAATCAGCCAAGAGAAAGAAAGAAAGGGCATTCACATAAGAAGAAAGGAAGTCAAATTGTCTCTTTGCAGTTGACATGATTGTGTATTTAATAAACCCTATCATCTCAGCCTGAAATCTCCTTATGCTAATAAGCAACTTCAGCAAAGTCTCAAGATACAAAATCAATGTGCAAAAATCACAAGCATTCCTACACAACGATAATAGACAAATAGAGAGCCCAATCATGAGTGAACTCCCATTCACAATTGCTACAAAGGGAATAAAATACTTAAGAATACAACTTTGTTCATTTTAAACTCTGTCATTATAATACTCTATTGTATCCTTCTGGAGCGCCACTGTACTCTCTTATCCTATTATTGCCAGTGTAGTCTTACTTGCAGTTTAATTCATGTTACCTGCCTTCGGAAACCTCTTCTATTGCACCTCTTTATGTATCAAGTTTGGGCCTCCCCCTTGTAATCTTAGCCTACTTGCCCTCCCATCGTATAGCCTCAACCGTAGGCAGACTGGATCTTGACCACATACTACCCACTTTAACCTGCCTATGCTCTGTTTACTCCATCTAGAATGCCAAAGTCAACTCCTTCTGCAGGGTCAAATTTAAATTATACTTTATGAACAGATCTTTTCCTAGTACAGCAAAACAAAAGTAACAATATTTTCCATTCTACATCATTAAACGTTCACCTTTATTGTACTGGATCTTTATAAAAAGAGAGTCTCTATTATAGCCAGTTAAGTCAGTGGTCCCTTCAAAGTCATGGAGTAACTGAAAATATGATAGAGATCATTGACTAGAAGAATTTTAGGATATTTTATTGGCATAGTCCAGTGTTGTGCTGGAACCAGTTCATCTAGGCAATTGTAAGAGAATTGTTAAATTTTTAAGTGTCTGTTGTTAAACACAGCCATTATTAAAAATTAAATTCTATAAACAATAATTAAGCTATAAAAAATTAAAGTTAAATATCAGACAATTCTAATTAAACATAATTCCTTTTAAAGTATTTTACAGTTTTCTATGCTCTTTAGGCTATTTTCAGCTCTACTGTCTATGTGGTCAACATAATATATATGAGTGTGTTGTTCCCCTCCGTGTGTTCATGTGTTCTCATCATTCAGCTCCCACTTATAAGTGAGAACATGTGGTGTTTGGTTTTCTGTTTCCCAATTCATTTGCTAAGGATAATGACTTCCAGCTCAGTCCATGTCCCTGCAAAGGACATGATCTCATTCATTTTTTATAGCTGCATAATATTCCATGGTGTATATGTACCATTTTTTTTTAATCTGGTCTATCGTTGATGGACATTTGGGTTGATTCCATGTCTTTACTATTGTGGATAGTGCTGCAATGAACATACACATGCTTGTATATTTATAATAGAATGATTTATATTCCTTTGGGTATATACTCAGTAATGGGATTGCTGGGTCAAATGACATTTCTGACTCTAGACCTTTGAGGAATTGCCATACCATCTTCCACAATGGTTGAAATAATTTACATTCCCACCAACAGTGTAAATGTGTTCCCATTTCTCCACAACCTCGCCAGCATCTGTTATTTCTTTACTTTTTAAAAATCACCATCTGACTGGCATGAATTGGTGTCTCATTGTGGTTTTGATTTGCATTTCTCTAATGATCGTGATGTTGAGCTTTTTTTCATATATTTGTTGGCTGCATAAATATTTTCTTTTGAGAAGTGTTTGTTCATGGCCCTTGCCCACTTTTTAATAGGGTTGTTTTCTTCTTGTAAATTTATTTAAGTTTCAGGTAGACTCTGGATATTAGACCATTGTCAGATGGATAGATTGTAAACATTTTTCCCTATTCTGTAGATGGTCTGTTTGCTCTGATGATAATTAGGAAGAGCATCAGGAAAAATAGCTAATGCATGCTGGGCTTAATACCTAGGTGATAAGTTGATAGGTGCAGCAAATACCCATGGCACAGATTTACCTATGTAACAAACCTGCACATCCTGCACATGTGTCCCAGAACTTAAAAAAAAATGAAAAAATAAAATCTTCCCTATAGATACAATATCAATACTACACAGTCGTTGTCACACTAGTCACCATATAGTAAAAAGACAAACATTAAATTTTATAATCAGAGTAATGCAACTAGTGTCACCATAGAAATATGCAGTGGATATATCTATTGACATTTATTCTATTTGAATTTAAAACTGAGAATTTTTAAGTGTTTGTTATTCATTTACTCTGCATGTTAACATAAACAATGTTTTTATGAAAATGCCTATATTTCCCCAAAAAACAATAAAGTTTACTAAGTGAAATAAACTAGTCACAAAAAGAAAAAAATATATATAACAAAACAATGTAGGGAGCAGGTCTAAAAATCTACTCTCTAAGGTTTCTTAGAATACATATAATTTTGTAATTGAGGAGACAAATTTACATAAAAAAGGTAAGCCATTTCCCAAAAACCATGTAAGTGATAAATCAAACAAATACATTTTCAATCACTGCCTCCTCACTCTGTCGAGGGCATTTGTGACTAAGCTGTGCTGTCCTTGATACTATATCTTATCTTAGCCCAGCTTAGTGCTTTTATATCACAATGAATGCAGAGTAGCTTCAATAACAGAAGCTGCTATACACAATGATTCATAGTGGATGCTCAGTAATTTACTTATGAAAAATTGCTGTTCATTTCCTAAAATGTATTTATTCAACAAATATTTAGGTTGCCTAGGCTCTAGAGATAAAGGGTGTAATTAACCCCTTTGTTTAACTATCTCACAGTCTTTTATGGAGTAAGACAAATACGTAATTACAATAAAACATAAACAATATCCTATGACATTGGAGGGGAGTTGAGCAATGAGAGTACAGTGGAAGATATCTGTTTAGAACAGTGGGCCAGGTGTGGTGGCTCATGCCTGTAATCCCAGCACTCACTCTGGGAGGTTGAGGCTTCCCAAAGCCTCCTGGGATTGCTTGAGCCCAGGAGTTCAAGACCAGCCTGGGCAACATGGAGAAATTTAGTCTCTAAAAAAAAATACAAAAATTATCTGGGTGTGGTACTGTGTGCCTGTAGTCCCAGCTAACCAGGAGGCTGAGGTGGGAGGATCACTTGAGCCTGGAAAGTTGAGGCTGCAGTGAGCCGTGATTGTACCACTGCACTGCAGCCTTGGTGACAGGAGTGAAACCTTGTCTCAGAAAAAGCAACAACAACAACAACAATAAAAACTTAACTTAGATAATTCTGTCACTTTCAGCTGACTCTTGAAGGATGGGTAGGAATTAGCTAAATAGAAGGGTATTCCAGGAATAAGAGAGATTGTGTGAAATTTAGGGATGTAAAAAAGCCTAGTGTATTTGATCTACGTATCCTTTGTTATGGCTGGAGCATGTGCTGTGCCTCAGGAAAAGGCAGGCAGTGAGACTGGAGAGAAGAGTCAAGCAGCAGATCATGAAAAGTTTGGATGCCATTAAATATCCTAAGAAGTTTGAATTCTACCCTGAAATGTATAGGATCTAAATTTCTTTGCATGCCTTAAGTGATACTGTCTAATAGAAATGTAATGCTAGCTATATTTGTAATTTTAAGAAAGAGTAAAAATAAATGATATTAAATTTAATAATGCATTTTATTTAACCCAATATATCCAAACTTCTATCATTTTAACATGTAATCCACATATTAAAGGGATATTTTGCATTCTTTCTTTTGTATTAAATCTTTGAAATGTATTTTGTGTTTTACACTGAACATCTCAATGTGGCAAGTGGCTATTAAACTGGACAGCACAAGTCTAAATTATAGAGGAAAGTCACCAAGGCTCTAATGCCTGAACACAGCATAGTTACCCACTCTTAAATGAGGCTCAAAATTTGGCAACAATGACAGCACAGCCATTACACTACATTTTAATTCTTTCTTCTCATTTCTGCATCCAAAGTGAGTTCCTCCTCTTAGTACTGTGTTTAGACACCAAGTCCTTCCAAAGGGAATCTGGCTACAACAGAACCCAGACAGCACAGATCCAAACTGGAGAAGGTGGTGGCAGGCCAGGGAGCTGCTGTCAAAGAAGCGACTTTTTTTCAGCAAAAGCTGTCAAGCATGAAGAGTTTTGGCTACGCTGTAGAGGATTTTCTGCCTTCAGCTGGTGATGGGAGAATTTCTGCATTGTCATTAGATCCAGTTAGAATCAAGGATCATTGGTGACTAGTGAGCTAAAACAGGCAAAATAAATAACTCACCAATCCACCCGACCCATTGACACACAGCTCCATATAGAGTTTTCTCCTTTCTGTGGAAACGGAATTACTTTTAATGAGACATGCACCGAAGGCTTCAGCTGTGAATTTGACAGCTTACAAAGAAAGCAGAAAGAAGTTGAATTCTGGAAGCTTAGAGTGCGAATCTGGGTCATAGCTTCTGTCTCAAGTTTTTATTTTCCTCTAGGAAGAATAGCCAGAGGAAAAAAATGAGGAAGACTCCAATATTTTTAAGAAGATTAAAAAAGTGATTTTTTTATTATGCAAATCTCAAACCATTTAAAAAAATAATAAAAGCTTGGAATATTACAAAAAATTTAACACCAAAATCACTGTTTTTGTCATTTTCTATGGCCCCTCTGAAGTTCCTCCCTCTTCAGCAATGATGTAGTTAAGTAACTAATACAATATAATATGGTAAGTCTATTTTCAAGAGCCCCCTCTTATTTTACAGGACTTTGTCCATAGAAAAGCTATGATTAAGCGTTGTGTATTTTGTAGAAAGGCTCTGAGATTTAAACACCATCTATCAGCAACATGAGGACTGAATCATTTAGTGCTAAATCACATACATCTATAATCTTTTGGAAATTAAGCAAAATACTTATATATTAAATAATATGTTTGCTGAGACAAATTCAATTCAGTAGCATTTGGAATTAGTTTCAAATGAAACATTTAGTAGCAGGCCTTTGGAAGAACCACAGGACTAAATTGAACAATTTTTACCCAGTGTCTTAAGAGTAACAATATATGGAAGGCAAAGAGAATGGGCTTTGAAATTTGACAGAATGAGGGTTGAAATTTCAGCTCTTCTATTTACAAGCTGTCAATTATTTGGCAAATTCTTTCAGCATCAACACCTTCTTAGAAATGTGGGAAATAATAGCAACTTCATTAGGTTGGTTGGTTTTAATAATAACACATTTGGAGTGAATAGTGCAATAATTTGTTCATATTATTATTAACCTTTTACCAAATAATTTTACAGGATCTAGATAAATGTTGAGGATGGTGATGATGATGATTATTTAAAAAATCGTGTATTCAGTGCGTACTCTGTTCCATGCTCTGGGCTAAGTACTTTACCTAAAATAACCCCTTCTTAATATGAGCAAACAAAACTTCTTGAATTTCCAGATTCTCTTCTAATCACCACCATACTCTTAGCTCTTGTTCACTGCCAAGTGTCTCAAAAAAGTTGTATAAATATATTGTCTTCACTTTTTTTACTCCCATTCACACAAGCCTACTCCTATATATCTTCTACTATGTTGCCAGAATTAGTGGATTTTTTTCACTACACATCTTACTTTAGTTTTCAACAGAGTAAATGTTTTTAAAAAAAGAATGTAAAAACAGTTTCTTTTCCTGATTTCCATAAGAATATATTATCTTGGTTTCTCTTCTTCTTCTTCATTGTCTTTGTGAGCTATTCCTTCTCAGTTAATGCACACATATTTGAATTCTTTAGGGTATAACTCAGAGATCTCTTTCCTTCACTTCCTACACTTTTATCTATTATTGTTGCTATCCATATTCTGAGGACTCCCAAATAGTTCCAACTCAGACTTCTATTCTCTTAGCCAGAATGTTCTTATTTAATTTCCTACTTGGCATGTCTACTTGGCTATTTCACAGAAATTTAAAAATTTCTTTCCAAATTTGGTTTTCTTTCAATTTTGTTTGTATCAGCTCATTCAACCCAATTATATGAACTAGAGTTGCTGGAGGAAGTAGATACATGTTGAAAATCAACTTTTGATTCCAGGGCTCAGGAATCTACCAAACCAAATATGACACTCAAACTTGTTGTCCTCAACATGTATGGCAGTTAAAACTGTCACATATTCTTCTTTAAATAATCTGATTTCCTGTTTTCTGCCATATCTAAATTTATTTGATCAACATGTACCTTTGCTCTTAAGATCAAACTTCTTTCTCTAACTCCATACTTGATAGCCAGAAGAAAAGTTCACCAACTCAGCATACCACTCAGCAAAACACTTGGCATATACTTTTATGGCAATATTCAGTAGCCCTGGTTGGTATTCCTTTAAATAATGTTTTATACATATAGTTTAAAACCCATGAGTGGGGCTATGCATAGTTATAAACTTATAACTTCTCTATATTTATTACATAATTATACTAGCAATTTGTGTTCTGCTTAATTTACTGTTGAAGAGCTCATCAAATGTTACTACATAATCCATTCCTAGAGTAATAACTAAAGCAAATTTTCTAAATGAGATCCTTCTGGTACTTCCAATAATAAACACCTTGGATGAGATTCAATAATGCCGTGCCTAATGCTTAATGCTGTGGTATATGGGTCATGTTATAGAAAGACTCCAGGGCAGGATGAGAAATAATTGGGCCATTGTTCAAAACTTGGAAAACTGTTTGTTAGCAAAGTTTTCATATCCATGACATTTATAGTTCAGGTACCTTGATGAAGGTGCATGATAATGATAACTTTTTCTTCCAGTCCTTTGGCTTTAAAACTTTCACGTTAATCATATGTCCAGGTTCCTAAACACCTAAATCTCAATTATATAGGAATTTTTAGGAATATTTCTTGGATCATTTAACTTCCTTCTTTCTTTCCATAAAAATATGTATACACATTTCTTGCATCATTTAACTTCCTTCTTTATTTGCATAAAATATGTATATACAATGTTTTGTTGTGAAGATAGAAATATCTGCATTAAAGAACACTGTCTAGTAACAGGAAATAAATATAAACAAATGAGTGTAATACAGAGTTTAGAATGTCACATCCATTGCACATATGGCTGTAGTGGGAAAAATGGCATCAAACAAAAGAACATCTTTATGAAACTGTTAATAAAATAAGAAGAGGTGCTTCACTGTCAAGCTTTTCCCACTCCTGGCCATTTTGGTTAATCACTAGTTTAAGCCACAACCCTGTCAATATGGGCAGTTTGGGCCAAGATCTCTTGATGAACACTTCTAATTCACATTAAAGGACACGAAGTGGAGACTGGACACTGCTTATATGTATATTTAGGGGATGATATCATGCCAGACTAATGTCACAACTCACATGAGAAATGACTGAGTTTTACTTCACTAGTAGTTGTCAGTAAAATGAACTGTGTTTACAGTAGCAACAGGATATTAATAGTTAAAGCCACTTGAAATATACTTTAAAATAATTGTTTATATTGGGAATCTTAATTTCCTTGCGAGAAAAAGATAATTTGGACCAACTAAGATGGAAAATAAAGTTCTATTGTAGAAGGTTAAACTTATTCATTTTCTTTGCAAAGATTTAGTATTTCCTGAAGTGAATACTTTCTGAAAAAGTATTTTCCACGTTCTTTTAGCATCTGCTTGGTGTTCTGCTTAGAAAAATGTATTTACTCTTCCAAAATTTTTTTGCCTATTTTTCTGTACTACTTTTCTGTACAAGAAATACGTAAGTACCTACCATGTGATGATATGTAGTTAAATAAAGCATTAACTACCCTCTATGGGCTCACAGTTTTGAAAAGAAGGATGTGTAAATACATCCAAAATATAATGAATATATGCAACAGGCAACATATATAATATAGAATATCTATTTTAATTTAAGCCTAATTTATTATAATACTCAGTACCTTAACTCATTTCCTGACTCTGAGGCATTTTAGAAATCCCATGATAAAACACATTATTTAAAGTGAGTTATGTTTCCTAAGGAAAAAATTCAACATCATGGTTTATATTTTTAACCAAGTTTTCAGCATCAAATAAATCATGAGTATAATCAGCCTTGTTATAAAGGTGAAGGATCCACAATTATAAACTTTTTTAGCAATTACAAATTACAGCGATTATACAAATACTGTAATTAAACAATGGCACTATGGAGAAGATGTAGTCTCCATCCTAAAGGAATCTAGGGAATTGAATTTGTACAACATGGAAAAAGGTATTCCACGTAAAAGAACAGCATTAGTAAAAATAAATAAATGAGAGTATGTGGGGTGTCTATGATACATATGAAAGAGTATAGTAAAAAGTACAAAACAATAAATAGTGGTTGGTAGGGTTTGGGAAAATGAAAAATAAGAGATGATAGAGAAAATAGTATACAAGCTTCTATGCAGTGAATCGGGGTCTGATTTATGGAAAGAGAAGTAAAGATACTATGAAAAAAAAGAAAAGTATCAAAGAAAACAAAATTACTTGTATCTTTACTATAATTATAATAGTTTGATTTTGATTCTAATGATAGTTTTCCCTAACACATGAGATGGATAAATTTAAACAATATATTTAATGGCTATTTTGCTAGAAAAATGAATATCTCACTAGGTATACCTTGTCTATGCTGTTGTACTTTATTATCTTTATCTTAAAGTGGCCACTGTTACACAGTTGTTAATGATATTGAATTTGTACCATCTGAAATAGCATTTACCTGTGATTACAAATTACTTACTAAAGTATGATTTGGTGCCTTTTAACGTACAGTTCAAATAAAAATTTTTTCCTAGGTTAGCAGAAAGTTTTTTATTATTTAATTTAATTTAATTTTATATCCAGGGTGTTCATGTGCAGGTTTGTTACATAGGTATATTGCCCTTTGTTGGATTTGAGGCTTGTAGTGTACCCATCACCCAGATGTGAACATTGTACGCAATAAATAATTTTTCAACCCTTACTCCCTTCCTACCCTCTTCCCTTTTGGGGTCCCCAGTCTCTGTTACAGAAGAAAGTTTTAAAGTTACTCTTTAACAAATCCTGTTTCCAATGTGTGCTTTATAGGGTCAATGTAGGCAGATACTTCCAGATCCCAGCTGATGCAATTCAGGTCAAATAGTATTAGTGAAAGCACTAGCTTTAAACACTATTTGAGGTTGAATTATTAAAATCTGTTATGATCTGAGGAAAAAACTGGGGTACTCAGGGTAAATATTTTGATTATTGTGCAACTCTGTTCATGTTTTAAGTGAAATATTTTATAATAGCTTATTAGAGTGGTGCCCCCTAGACACGATGTGGCAATCCTGATTGCTGGTCACATAGTTGGGCAATTATTTTAATCTGGAAATAGACATTCATTATTTTGTACTGCTCATTCAATAATTTATTTATTTATTCAACATGTGTTAGTTATCTAACAGGTCTCATTAGCGGTACAAAAGTGAATAATATACTGTTGTTGCAAATGGCAGAAATTTTTCTTTTTAAACCCATTTTTTAGGGTTTTTAGGCTGACTAGTATTTCATTGGGTATATATATACACCACATTTTTTAATTCATTTATCTGTTGATGGATATAACTTGGCTTTTGTAAATAATGCTGCCATGAACGTGGGAGTGCAATTAAAATTAGCTGGAAAGGTAGCCGGAGGTAGGGGTGCTATATCATATAATAATTCTATTTTTAGTTTTGTTGAGGAACTTCCACGAAGTTTTCTATTAATGGGTGTACTAATTTACATTTCCACCAAGAGTAGCATATAAAGAACTTCTGTGAGTTTTATCCCTAAAACAGGATAAAATGATAAAGCAGAGAGAAGACAATTACTTTTAAAATTATCTGCATCAACTCTCTCCTTTCAATGACTTTTAACTATGCTAGTTTATTTTTTTCATTAAATGTATATTTTCATATTTTTAAAAGTCAAATAGTACAGCAGGGCTTAAAGTGAAAAACAAGTGTTTTAGTTTTTCATCCTTTTATTTTCACCTCCATATCTCTAATATGAATATGTCTTTTTAAAAAGTAACTACTTTTAAATGACTATAGACATTATCTCTTACCTTGTACATCTTCTTATTCCTTCTTTTAATATAATTCTCTCACTACATTAGCTGCCTCCTGATTATTTTAGCATCCAATAATTCCCTTAATCACATACATTTTATTTTCTGTATATCTTGACTTCCAAATTGGGAGTGGGTGATTTAATGGCCTTCCTCTTCCCAACAACTTTCCCTGCATCTACCTCTCAGCCTCCATCATCTTTCTCTTTAATTGTCATTGTAAAAGTTGATAACAAATGTATTTTATTGCATAATGAGTTTTTCCATTTGTCTATAGGTGGATTCTTAAGGTTGAAAATCAATGAGTGACATTTGCATCATTATACCTGTAAGTAGTGTGAGCTATGAGTGAAGACATTGGGCTATGATTACATTTTCTCCACATAATTCCAAGTTGTAAACCCTCTGCTACCTAAAGAAGAACGTTCTATGGATTCTGTCTTACTTCTATTTATTGTTTAAAATGAAGTCACATGTTAGTTTCATATTTTATACCACAGCTTTCTTTCTCAGTTACTAGTTTCCCTCTATTGGAAAAAGTAATAGTTGCTTCCTTAGCTTTTTCCCCATTCTACATATTACTTGAAATGTGTTCTATTCTTATTTGAGAAGCCTGTAGACTTTTTTTTTGCTGCACTTTTTTCATTATTTTAAAATGTATAATTATAGAATACAGTGTTTCTATCAACTACCAGAAAGTTTCAACACTTCAGTCTTTTCCATTTTTTTATTATTATTACTATTATTATTATTATTTATTTTTTTTAATTATACTTTAAGTTTTAGGGTACATGTGCACATTGTGCAGGTTAGTTACATATGTAAACATGTGCCATGCTGGTGCGCTGCACCCACTAACTCGTCATCTAGCATTAGGTATATCTCCCAATGCTATCCCTCCCCCCTCCCCCCTCCCCACCACAGTCCCCAGAGTGTGATATTCCCCTTCCTGTGTCCATGTGATCTCATTGTTCAATTCCAACCTATGAGTGAGAATATGCGGTGTTTGGTTTTTTGTTCTTGCGATAGTTTACTGAGAATGATGATTTCCAATTTCATCCATGTCCCTACAAAGGACATGAACTCATCATTTTTTATGGCTGCATAGTATTCCATGGTGTATATGTGCCACATTTTCTTAATCCAGTCTATCATTGTTGGACATTTGGGTTGGTTCCAAGTCTTTGCTATTGTGAATAATGCCACAATAAACATACGTGTGCATGTGTCTTTATAGCAGCATGATTTATAGTCATTTGGGTATATACCCAGTAATGGGATGGCTGGGTCAAATGGTATTTCTAGTTCTAGATCCCTGAGAAATCACCACACTGACTTCCACAATGGTTGAACTAGTTTACAGTCCCACCAACAGTGTCAAAGTGTTCCTATGTCTCCACATCCTCTCCAGCACCTGTTGTTTCCTGACTTTTTAATGATTGCCATTCTAACTGGTGTGAGATGATATCTCATAGTGGTTTTGATTTGCATTTCTCTGATGGCCAGTGATGATGAGCATTTTTTCATGTGTTTTTTGGCTGCATAAATGTCTTCTTTTGAGAAGTGTCTGTTCATGTCCCTCGCCCACTTTTTGATGGGGTTGTTTGTTTTTTTCTTGTAAATTTGTTTGAGTTCATTGTAGATTCTGGATATTAGCCCTTTGTCAGATGAGTAGGTTGCGAAAATTTTCTCCCATGTTGTAGGTTGCCTGTTCACTCTGATGGTAGTTTCTTTTGCTGTGCAGAAGCTCTTTAGTTTAATTAGATCCCATTTGTCAATTTTGGCTTTGGTTGCCATTGCTTTTGGTGTTTTAGACATGAAGTCCTTGCCCATGCCTATGTCCTGAATGGTAATGCCTAGGTTTTCTTCTAGGGTTTTTATGGTTTTAGGTCTAATGTTTAAATCTTTAATCCATCTTGAATTGATTTTTGTATAAGGTGTAAGGAAGGGATCCAGTTTCAGCTTTCTACATATGGCTAGCCACTTTTCCCAGCACCATTTATTAAATAGGGAATCCTTTCCCCATTGCTTGTTTTTCTCAGGTTTGTCAAAGATCAGATAGTTGTAGGTATGTGGCATTATTTCTGAGGGCTCTGTTCTGTTCCATTGATCTATATCTCTGTTTTGGTACCAGTACCATGCTGTTTTGTTTACTGTAGCCTTGTAGTATAGTTTGAAGTCAGGTAGTGTGATGTCTCCAGCTTTGTTCTTTTGGCTTAGGATTGACTTGGCGATGCGGGCTCTTTTTTGGTTCCATATGAACTGTAAAGTAGTTTTTTCCAATTCTGTGAAGAAAGGCAGTGGTAGCTTGATGGGGATGGCATTGAATCTGTAAATTACCTTGGGCAGTATGGCCATTTTCACGATATTGATTCTTCCTACCCATGAGCTTGGAATGTTCTTCCATTTGTTTGTATCCTCTTTTATTTCCTTGAGCAGTGGTTTGTAGTTCTCCTTGAAGAGGTCCTTCACATCCCTGGTAAGTTGGATTCCTAGGTATTTTATTCTCTTTGAAGAAATTGTGAATGGGAGTTCACTCATGATTTGGCTCTCTGTTTGTCTGTTGTTGGTGTATAAGAATGCTTGTGATTTTTGTACATTGATTTTGTATCCTGAGACTTTGCTGAAGTTGCTTATCAGCTTAAGGAGATTTTGGGCTGAGATGATGGGGTTTTCTAGATAAACAATCATGTCGTCTGCAAACGGGGACAATTTGACTTCCTCTTTTCCTAATTGAATACCCTTTATTTCCTTCTCCCGCCTAATTGCCCTGGCCAGAACTTCCAACACTATGTTGAATAGGAGCAGTGAGAGAGGGCATCCCTGTCTTGTGCCAGTTTTCAAAGGGAATGCTTCCAGTTTTTGCCCATTCAGTATGATATTGGCTGTGGGTTTGTCATAGATAGCTCTTGTTATTTTGAAAGACGTCCCATCAATACCTAATCTATTGAGAGTTTTTAGCATGAAGGGTTGTTGAATTTTGTCAAAGGCTTTTCTGCATCTATTGAGATTATCATGTGGTTTTTGTCTTTGGCTCTGTTTATATGCTGGATTACATTTATTGATTTGCATACATTGAACCAGCCTTGCATCCCAGGGATGAAGCCCACTTGATCATGGTGGATAAGCTTTTTGATGTGCTGCTGGATTCGTTTTGCCAGTATTTTATTGAGGATTTTTGCATCAATGTTCATCAAGGATATTGGTCTAAAATTCTCTTTTCTGGTTGTGTCTCTGCCCGGCTTTGGTATCAGAATGATGCTGGCCTCATAAAATGAGTTAGGGAGGATTCCCTCTTTTTCTATTGATTGGAATAGTTTCAGAAGGAATGGTACCATTTCCTCCTTGTACCTCTGGTATAATTCGGCTGTGAATCCATCTGGTCCTGGACTCTTTTTGGTTGGTAAACTATTGATTATTACCCCAATTTCAGCTCCTGTTATTGGTCTATTCAGAGATTCAACTTCTTCCTGGTTTAGTCCTGGGAGAGTGTATGTGTCGAGGAATGTATCCATTTCTTCTAGATTTTCTAGTTTATTTGCGTAGAGGTGTTTGTAGTATTCTCTGATGGTAGTTTGTATTTCTGTGGGATCGGTGGTGATATCCCCTTTATCATTTTTTATTGTGTCTATTTGATTCTTCTCTCTTTTCTTCTTTATTAGTCTTGCTAGTGGTCTATTCATTTTGTTGATCCTTTCAAAAAACCAGCTCCTGGATTCATTGATTTTTTGAAGGGTTTTTTGTGTCTCTATTTCCTTCAGTTCTGCTCTGATTTTAGTTATTTCTTGCCTTCTGCTAGCTTTTGAATGTGTTTGCTCTTGCTTTTCTAGTTCTTTTAATTGTGATGTTAGGGTGTCAATTTTGGATCTTTCCTGCTTTCTCTTGTGGACATTTAGTGCTATAAATTTCCCTCTACACACTGCTTTGAATGCGTCCCAGAGATTCTGGTATGTGGTGTCTTTGTTCTCGTTGGTTTCAAAGAACATCTTTATTTCTGCCTTCATTTCGTTATGTAGCCAGTAGTCATTCAGGAGCAGGTTGTTCAGTTTCCATGTAGTTGAGTGGTTTTGAGTGAGATTCTTAATCCTGAGTTCTAGTTTGATTGCACTGTGGTCTGAGAGATAGTTTGTTATAATTTCTGTTCTTTTACATTTGCTGAGGAGAGCTTTACTTCCAACTATGTGGTCAATTTTGGAATAGGTGTGGTGTGGTGCTGAAAAAAATGTATATTCTGTTGATTTGGGGTGGAGAGTTCTGTAGATGTCTATTAGGTCCACTTGGTGCAGAGCTGAGTTCAATTCCTGGGTATCCTTGTTGACTTTCTGTCTCGTTGATCTGTCTAATGTTGACAGTAGGGTGTTAAAGTCTCCCATTATTAATGTGTGGGAGTCTAAGTCTCTTTGTAGGTCACTCAGGACTTGCTTTATGAATCTGGGTGCTCCTGTATTGGGTGCATGTATATTTAGGATAGTTAGCTCCTCTTGTTGAATTGATCCCTTTACCATTATGTAATGGCCTTCTTTGTCTCTTTTGATCTTTGTTGGTTTAAAGTCTGTTTTATCAGAGACTAGGATTGCAACCCCTGCCTTTTTTTGTTTTCCATTGGCTTGGTAGATCTTCCTCCATCCTTTTATTTTGAGCCTATGTGTGTCTCTGCACGTGAGATGGGTTTCCTGAATACAGCACACTGATGGGTCTTGACTCTTTATCCAACTTGCCAGTGTGTGTCTTTTAATTGGAGCATTTAGTCCATTTACATTTAAAGTTAATATTGTTATGTGTGAATTTGATCCTGTCATTATGATGTTAGCTGGTGATTTTGCTCATTAGTTGATGCAGTTTCTTCCTAGTCTCGATGGTCTTTACATTTTGGCATGATTTTGCAGCGGCTGGTACCGGTTGTTCCTTTCCATGTTTAGCGCTTCCTTCAGGAGCTCTTTTAGGGCAGGCCTGGTGGTGACAAAATCTCTCAGCATTTGCTTGTCTGTAAAGTATTTTATTTCTCCTTCACTTATGAAGCTTAGTTTGGCTGGATATGAAATTCTGGGTTGAAAATTGTTTTCTTTAAGAATGTTGAATATTGGCCCCCACTCTCTTCTGGCTTGTAGGGTTTCTGCTGAGAGATCCGCTGTTAGTCTGATGGGATTCCCTTTGAGGGTTACCCGACCTTTCTCTCTGGCTGCCCTTAACATTTTTTCCTTCATTTCAACTTTGGTGAATCTGACAATTATGTGTCTTGGAGTTGCTCTTCTCGAGGAGTATCTTTGTGGCGTTCTCTGTTTTTCCTGAATCTGAACGTCGGCCTGCCTTGCTAGATTGGGGAAGTTCTCCTGGATAATATCCTGCAGAGTGTTTTCCAACTTGGTTCCATTCTCCGCATCACTTTCAGGTACACCAATCAGACGTAGATTTGGTCTTTTCACATAGTCCCATATTTCTTGGAGGCTTTGCTCATTTCTTTTTATTCTTTTTTCTCTAAACTTGCCTTCTCGCTTCATTTCATTCATTTCATCTTCCATTGCTGATACCCTTTCTTCCAGTTGATTGCATCGGCTCCTGAGGCTTCTGCATTCTTCGCGTAGTTCTCGAGCCTTGGTTTTCAGCTCCATCAGCTCCTTTAAGCACTTCTCTGTATTGGTTATTCTAGTTATACATTCTTCTAAATTTTTTTCAAAGTTTTCAACTTCTTTGCCTTTGGTTTGAATGTCCTCCCGTAGCTCAGAGTAATTTGATCGTCTGAAGCCTTCCTCTCTCAGCTCATCAAAATCATTCTCCATCCAGCTTTGTTCTGTTGCTGGTGAGGAACTGCGTTCCTTTGGAGGAGGAGAGATGCTCTGCGTTTTAGAGTTTCCAGTTTTTCTGTTCTGTTTTTTCCCCATCTTTGTGGTTTTATCTACTTTTGGTCTTTGATGATGGTGATGTACAGATGGGTTTTTGGTGTGGATGTCCTTTCTGTTTGTTAGTTTTCCTTCTAACAGACAGGACCCTCAGCTGCAGGTCTGTTGGAATACCCTGCCATGTGAGGTGTCAGTGTGCCCCTGCTGGGGGGTGCCTCCCAGTTAGGCTGCTCGGGGGTCAGGGGTCAGGGACCCACTTGAGGAGGCAGTCTGCCCGTTCTCAGATTTCCAGCTGCATGCTGGGAGAACCACTGCTCTCTTCAAAGCTGTCAGACAGGGACATTTAAGTCTGCAGAGGTTACTGCTGTCTTTTTGTTTGTCTGTGCCCTGCCCCCAGAGGTGGAGCCTACAGAGGCAGGCAGGCCTCCTTGAGCTGTGGTGGGCTCCACCCAGTTCGAGCTTCCCGGCTGCTTTGTTTACCTAAGCAAGCCTGGGCAATGGCGGGTGCCCCTCCCCCAGCCTCGCTGCTGCCTTGCAGTTTGATCTCAGACTGCTGTGCTAGCAATCAGCGAGATTCCGTGGGCGTAGGACCCTCTGAGCCAGGTGTGGGATATAGTCTCGTGGTGCACCGTTTTTTAAGCTGGTCTGAAAAGCGCAATATTCAGGTGGGAGTGACCCGATTTTCCAGGTGCGTCTGTCACCCCTTCCTTTGACTCGGAAAGGGAACTCCCTGACCCCTTGTGCTTCCCAGGTGAGGCAATGCCTCGCCCTGCTTCGGCTCGCGCAGGGTGCGCGCACCCACTGGCCTGCGCCCACTGGCACTCCCTAGTGAGATGAACCCGAACCCGGTACCTCAGATGGAAATGCAGAAATCACCCGTCTTCTGCGTCGCTCACGCTGGGAGCTGTAGACTGGAGCTGTTCCTATTCGGCCATCTTCAGTCTTTTCCATTTTATTGGAAGACATATTCTCTTTGTCTCCCAGCTTACAAAGGATTTCTTTTGTTAAATAAAAATTATATTCTGTAAAATTTTTATGTCACACATGTATTAAAGCTGTTTCTTATTTAAATGTTTAAAGTAAACTTTCTTTCTTAGAGCAGTTTTTGATTCACTGCAAAATTGAGTGAAAATTTTTCATATACCCCCTGCCTTTTTTAATTTTAAAGAGTACAGCTTGAGATTTTCTCTGGGAAAATAATACTTTATTCTGCTAGTGTAAGCTTATTTTTTTAGTCTAGTGTACAGTAATAGTGCCATTTGCTCCACTGTTTGTTTTGGATGCTCCAGTAAAGAGTAGCTAAACTCTGTCTAGAATATTCTTTATAATTTCAGTAGGTTCAATTAATTGGGTTCAGGTGACCTACCAGATAGTTTGCATACATTAAATATAATATTAAAATATCTGAATATTAAGCTGTGTTACTTCAGAAAGCTGAGATTACAAAGACTATATAAACTGAAGTTGAACTCAGGTTTCTCTAATAACAAAGTTCTCTCCACTATTTCAAGCTGCTTCTCTACAACATATTGTATAAACAAAAACAGTGTTAAAGCTGTTAGGAACAAAGTGCTAAATAATCTGAATTTGTTAGATGTCTTTTCTGTTTAACAGTGAATGTATTGAGAATAAAAGTAAATAAATGATGTGAAATTCTCAATAAATTCACATCACAATCACTATACCTAATTTCAAATTATTTATGCAAATGCCTCTGCATTAAATCAAAACATGAAATGCAAGACAGTCTGTTGAAAAACAGAGTTAGCTAAAAATAAATCAAAGAATAATAGATTACTCACATTAGTGTAAAACTGGTAGTAATTTAGGCCCATTGGCACATTTTTCAGAAAGTGCCCTTTAAACTTTGTTAATTGCAAAATAACTAGATTGCCCACCTGCCATCATGACAGAGGCTTCTTGTTGCTTTTAATTCTGGAGAAGGAGGGAAAAGATGCAGCTGGCCCACCAGTATTTTTGGCTGAGACTCAAGCTGACCTGCTCTGCTCTGCCCTTTGCAGTTTGTTCACGGAGATAAAGCTTCACCAAAATCCACCCTCAAAGTTAACAGATTTCATAGGCAGCAAGGTACCTGTGGTATGGTAACACCCACATCAGGACAGGAATCAGAGATATATGTTCAAACTAAGATCCTGACACCTACTATCTGTATTTGAACTTCAGTTTTATCAGCCAAGGGGAGATAACATTAACCTTTATCACAGAGTTGTTGTAAGGAGCAGTGAGCTAACATATATAAACTGACTTTCCCAAAATCAAATTGTTGTGGAGTTGTATTTATTGCAGTTATAGACATATAGTGAACCCTATGCAACTGAATGCCCACAGTGCTCCTATTAATTTGATATCTACTCTTCCTGATGAGATTCCAGTTCCTAGGTCAAGTTGATTTTTAGGTCAGTCTCATCCTTATATGTTCTACAGCTTGGTTATCTTGTAATAGCCTCTTGTATTCTTCAAAGCAATCCCCCTCATATATCTAATATTTTGAAAATTCAGAATATAAGCCCTGTATAAAATATAGAGCCTTAAAATGTTCCAAAAATATCTAAAATTGGAGAATTGTCATGCTGAAATGGGAAAGAGAAATGCGGATGTAATTAGAATTCTGAGACTCCTAAGAGTCAGCCTTGGACAAGTAGAGGGAGCAGGACCTATGCTATTAGATCTGTGAATGGAGTTCAGCCCTCCACTTACTGCTAGTGTAACTCAAGGTAAATATGGACCTAACTGCTCTATCTGTTTTCTGATCTATGTATGGAATGGAGCTCATAATATCTACATCGATATTTTATTGTGAGTGCTAAATTAGATCACATATATAAAGGTCCTTGTGTCCTGGCATATAGCTGACTGTCAATATTAATCCCCCTTTTTCATTAATTTTAAAAGACTAACATTAGTCCTTAGTCCCCAAATTTTGCAAAAGACTTTGAACTTTTTATCCTTATCAATAACTTCCCCATGGTTGTATAGGATAAAACTGTAAATGTTTTTCATAAGTTTACACATTCATCTGTGGCAAGACTAAATCTTAAGCAAGGATCTCAGTTTTTCATTTAAGACCAAACCATAAATTCTCATGATTATAAGTATATAATATACTGAATATTATATATAGTATAATACTTTATAAAATATTTATATGGCAACATATATACTATATAAACTACATGTATTACTTGTATGTACTATAGCTTTAAATACAAAAATCTCAGTGGGATGAAATTGTCATCAATGAGAAATAAAGGGAAGTGAGATAGAATGCAAAAAAAAAAGCAGATAAATATTTCCATCAACTCATATTTAGAATAAGAGCTATTTTGAGTCATAAAAGGATGATGAATTGCTTACACTGTTTATATTATTCTCTCCATCACAGTGAAAATATAAATGATCAATGCATATATAATGTGGTTCAATTGTAATTTGCCCAAAATAAGCAATTCAGCAAAAGATCAAAAACCAAAATTCAGGTCTTCAGGTTGCAAGTCCCATACCAATGACTTTCATGCTCCTAACACCTGCATTCTGATTATACCCAATTAATGCAACACTCTCATTTCACTATCCCTCTGCTTATCTATGTTTTCACACAGGCAACTATGGAGAAAGTGGGATGGAAGCCTTCAAAGATATGTCAGCGAAGGAAGGGATTTGCATCGCCCACTCTTACAAAATCTACAGTAATGCAGGGGAGCAGAGCTTTGATAAGCTGCTGAAGAAGCTCACAAGTCACTTGCCCAAGGCCCGGGTGGTGGCCTACTTCTGTGAGGGCATGACGGTGAGAGGTCTGCTGATGGCCATGAGGCGCCTGGGTCTAGTGGGAGAATTTCTGCTTCTGGGCAGGTGAGTGATGATAAGAAAATTTACATGGAGTTAATACCAGGAATTTGGCAGCACCGAAGGGTAGCTTTTAGTGTACAATAAAAAATTCTTTCAAAGCTTAGTCTGTGCAGTGGAAATAGAGCTTAAATTTCATAATGCACCTGTGCCTGGAGAAAATCATGGGAAATAAGTAGATCCGCCATGTGCTGATTAATAGTAAAAGGAATCAACAAATGAAGATGATGCATCTTTAAGTCCTAAAAACCATGACTGTAAGGTAATGAAATGGATTTTTATATCCTTGAGTAATTCACTTGGAAAGTAAACATGACTCAAACTCACAGTTGCTTTTAAAACTGATTTTGAGAATGACTACATGAGCTTGGTTTATAATGTAGAATCATAGAATTTTGGGTTTGAAAGTGAGGGATTACTTTCAGGGCACATTTTTAAAGCATTAGAAAATTGGCTTGTTATTTTATATCACAAAAATGTAGGTGTCTGGTGACCTACATTGTTTCTAGACAAGATACTAAAATACTAGCATCTACAGAGATTGACTTTAATTATCTGGATAATTCACTTGATTGACACAACTCAGCACACTCCCTGTTGTTGTGGCTGAATCAGTGTATTAGTCAAATTCTCCAGAGAAATAAAACCAAAAGTTTATACATATATAATAAAAAATATTCATATATGTGTCCTGCACATATATATACGTATGTATAAATTTGTGTGTGTGTGTGTATACATATGTATATATATACACATATGAGATTTACTACAAGGAATTGGTTCATGTGATTAAAGACCCAAGAGAGCCAATGTGTAGTTTCAATCCAAGTCCAAAGGTTTTAGAACCATGAGAGTTGATAATATTAAGTTGCAGTCTGAAAGTTGGTAGGCTTGCAATTCAAGATGAGCCAATGTTTCAGTCCAAGTCTGAAGGCTGAAAAAGACCAATGTCCATCTCATGCTATCAGGCAAAAAACATTACCTCTTAGCCTTTTAATACTATTCAGGTCTTCAGTTGATTGTTTGAAGTCCATCCATATTAGAGAGGGCTATCTGCTTTACTCAGTTTACTGCTTCAAACGTTAATCTCATCCAGAACAATCTCACAGAAACAGGCAGAATAATGTCTGTTAAAATGTCTGGGCACTACTCATAGCCCAGGCACTAGACACATAAAATTGACTATCATAATTAGTAAGACAACACTGTAGTTTTGAATGTGTGAATGAGGTGCACTTTTGAGATGGTAACCCTGGAAGTCATAAGTGGTAGGGAAGCTGCTTCTTCATTGCATACCTTTAAAACATTATGTACCGTATATCTTTTTATTAACATGTAGCCAATATAAAGAACAGCAAAAACCTTAGAAACCACTGCATCTTTCTCAGGATTTCTGCCCCAAATAGAGAGCCAAGTCACTTGTTATTAACTTTTGATGGCTTATTAAGGGAAACATACTTCCTTCATTTTCCAAATGCTTAACTGACCATCTGTGATCAGACTTAGCTGCAGCTGAGATATATTTTATGACAGCCATTTTATGTACCCAATTCTTTTCTGTCTGATCTGATGGCAATAGATTGATGGGGCTATTTTGGTATGAGGTCATACATCCTTCAATAAAAATGATATTGAGTGAGATTCCTTTTTTATCAATGTCATACATTTTGTCAAAATCATTGCTACTTGGCAGGAATAATGCACCAGTTAGTTTCAGACAACCCACGAACATGCCAACTGCCAATATTCTTATATTGTATTCTGAAGTGCAGTGTTACCACTGCAGTAAAAAGAACAGAAAAGAAAAAAAATCTGGCTTTAAGTAGTTCTGTTTTTCTGATAGGGAATAAAGAATTCCATGATTCCTATCTGCTCCATTTGCAAGCATTAATAAGAAAAATCAGCAGCATTTGTTTTCAGTCATATGGTGTATTTGCCAAAAAGCAAATTGTTCTTTGATCCCATGTACACTAAGTAAATAGATTGGCTTTTACAATATTTGCCATTTTCCATGTATGATTTTATTTCCAGAAGCATTGCAAAATTTTATATTTTGGGTATTTTAAGATTTATTTTGTATATGATAAACATAGAGTTCTTTCCATATCGTTTAATTCATGGAATACTAAATTTATAGCCTCTAGTTAGATTTCTTTTATCCCCCCATTAACTGGCTATTTAGTAATTCGACATTTACTTGAACATCATTTCATTTTTGAGCAGTTTTGTTAGGTCTTCCTTACTCCAAATTTTAAAACTGTCTCCCTGTAGTTTCTGCCTCTTGGCCCATTTTTTTTTCTTTAAAAGTAACATGTGATGCTCTTTCAAATATTTGGGAACAACAGTGTGGTCCTCAGTACTCTCCAACTTCTCTTTGAAATATCCCAACTTCTTCCAACTATCTTAGTGAGATGGCACTGTGGGTGTTAATAAAACCACTTATCAGAACCATTTATAGGACCATTTATCAAATACTTTGTGCCAATTACTGTGCTAAGCACTTTACACGTGTTGTTTCATTTAATCATTATTTGACAAATGTTAGGTGTTTACTATATGTAAAAGTGCTTGAAATAAATAAATGAGCAAAAAAACAATAATTATTGACCTTATGATACTTACAGATTAGTTAGATAGAAGGTCATATAAGTGTTATGAAAAAACCCATATCTAAGAACCTAAATATTAAGTACTATTCTATTTTATACACAGGAGTTCTAAGTAAGACTCAATAAATATTGATGTGTGAAATGGAACAGAAAAGCAAAAGTTAATAGTTTGTAAGAAAAAGTTTACATCTACTAACTCTAATTTTACAAATGAGGAAACTGACACCTCCAAAATGTGGATGACACAATTACCCAACTACCATAACTTAGAATCCAGTGTACTTTTCTACTAACTTGTCTTCTGTAGAGTAGAAACAGAGGGAAAGTTATTATTTGATAGCAAACCCTAGGTTCTACATAGAACCTGAGTTTATTTTTAAAAAATTTTAGATAATTCAAATTTTTAATTTAAATTAGTATTTCATATCAATGTTACCTCCTGAAAATTTTTATTTAGTTCATGCTATAACTTCTTTCAGTATTCCAGTGTTATTTTGTTTACAAATATTCTGCAAATCTCTCTTTTTGCTCCTTCTCTTCCCCAATTCAACTTGAATGAATGGCTTTAGGAACTAGAAGTCAAAGCTATGTGGAAAAAAAAAAAAGGCTATATTTAGAGCCTACTAGAAGGTCCACATTTAATAGCTGTAGTTACTTATAAATATCTCCAACTGCCTTAGGTCAACCATGTTTAATAGGTCGTTCAACTTAAGTGCTTGGCAGGACTAAGACAACTCTGCCGCTGAGACAACCTCATCCATCAGCACGTCTCACCATCTGCACTGCACATCAATAGAATGTTAGAATGATACACACCTGGCCATTAGGTCTTTCCATTTGAGCTGTAGGTAATCTGCTGTCTCATTGCCAATAAAAATATCCTGTTCAGGTCCCTGAAATAGTCTTGCTAAACACTTTGGCTCTGACAGCAGGCTGAGATCAATAATCTGAACAGTAATGGCATTTCTTAAGGGGCTTATTTTATAGAATGAATACACTGTCTTAGTTCTAGATCTGGGAAAGAATTACTTGAAATACATTATTTAAAAGTTAGAAATTTAAATAAGACTTGGAAACAACTAGTTTTTAGCAAATTAACTACTGAAAGATAGTTTCATTTGATCTATAATTAACTTTATTTAAATAATTTGAGAATATTCTTTAATACGATGATGATTACAAAGCCACAAAAATGAAATGTACTTAAATTTCAAAAGTACTTGAGGATTACAAGTAGCATTTCTTAGTGAGAGGTCAATCTACATCAATATTTTTCAAAATGGAAATGATAAGAACTTACTGTAAGAAATATCCTTGCCAATGAAATTACAGTTTTTCTAGTCAAACTATGATAGTGGCTATTCCCCAGAGGTAAATATTATTCTTTATCTTTATATGTAGCAAGAATGTCTATTCCAAATTAAGTCATTTTCAAACAAGTATACAGGCATTCCTTGGAGAAAATGTGCGTTTGATTTCAGACCACCACAATAAAACAGTATCACAGTAAAAATCACACAAATGTTTTGTTTTCCCAATTCATATAAAAAGTGGGCCGGGCGCGGTGGTTCACACCTGTAATCCCAGCACTTTGGAAGGCAGAGGCTTGCAGATCACGAAGTCAGGAGATCAAGACCATCCTGGCTAACACGGTGAAACCCTATCTCTACTAAAAATACAAAAAATTAGCCAGGTGTGGCTGCGTGCGCCTGTAGTCCCAGCTACTCTGGAGGCTGAGGCAGGAGAATGGTGCGAACCCGGGAGGCGGAGGTTGCAGTGAGCCGAGATTGCGCCACTGCGCTCCAGCCTGGGCAACAGAGCGAGACTCTGTCTCAAAAAAAAAAAAAAGTTATGTTTATACTATACTGTAGCCTAATAAGTGCACAATAGAATTATGTCTAAAAATACATAAATCTTAATTCAAATATACTTTATTGCTAAAAAAAAAAGCAACTGATCATCTGAGCCTTCAGTGGGTTAGATTCTTTTTGCTAGTTGAGGGTCTTGCCTCAATGTTGATGGCTGCTGACTGATTAGGGTGGCAATTGCTGAAGGTGGCGGTGGCTGTGGCAATTTCTTAAAATAAGACAACAATGAAGTTTGCCACATCAAATGAGTCTTCCTTTCACAAAAGGAAGTGGTATTTATCTGTAGTGTGAAATGTTGTTTGATGACATTTTACCTGCGTTAGAACTGCTCTTAAAACTGGAGTCAGTTTTAAGTCTACTAAGTATACGTAATATTCTAAATTCTTTGTTGTCATTTCAACAATGCTGATAGCAACTTCACCAGAGTATATTCCGCCTCAAGAAACCACTTTCTTTGCTGATCTATAAGAAGCAATTCCTCATCCATTTAAGATTTATCATGAGATTGTAGAAGTTCAGTGCCATCTTTGAACTCACTTTCTAATTCTAGTTCTCCTGCTCTTTTCATTACATCTTCAGTTACTTCCTTGACTGGAAGTATTGGAACACCTCAAAGTCATCCATGAGGGTTGGAATCACTTCTTCCAAACTCCTGTTGTTGATATTTTGACCTTCTCTCATGACTCATGAATGTTCTTAATGACACCTAGAATGGTGAATCCTTTCCAGAAGGTTTCCAACTTACTTTGCCCATATCCATCTGAGGGATTACCATCTATGACAGTTACGGCTTTATGAAATGTATTTTAGAAATAATAAGACATGAGAGTCAAAATTACTTGTTGATTCATAGGCTGCAGAATGGATATTGTGTTAGCAGGTACGTAAACAACATTAAACTCCATGTATGTCTCCATCAGACCTCCGGGCTGGCCGGGCACATTGTCAATTATTAGCAGTAGTATTTTGAAGGGATTTTTGTATATATATATATGTGTGTGAGTAGTAATTCTCAGAAGTAGACTTAAAATATTCAGTAAACCATGTTGTAAAGAGATGTGTTGTCACCCAGGCTTTGTTTTTTCATTTTTAGAACACAGTAATACGTGTAACATAATTCATAAGTTTCCTAGTCTTCTCAGAATGGAAATGATTATTGGCTTCCACTTCAAGTCACCAGTTTTATTATCTCCTCATAGAAGAGTTAGCCTGTCCTTTGACAATCTGAAGCAAGGCCTTGACTTCTCCTCTCTAGCTGAGAAAGTGTTAGATGGCATCTTCTTCCAAAAAAAGGCTGTTTTGTCTACATCGAAAATATGTTGTTGAAGCTTCTCTATCAGTCTGCACTTGCTGCTTCACCCAGCACTTTGATGTTATAGAGACAGTTTCCTTCCTTCAACCTCACGAAATAACCTCTGCTAGCTTTACACATCTTCTGTAACTTCCTCCCCTCTCTCAGCCTTTATAGGATTAAAGAGAGTTAAGGTCTTGCTCTTGATTACAATTTTGGTTTACAAGAATGTTGTGGCTGACTTGATCTTCTATCAAGACCATGAAAACTTTCTCCATATCAGCAATAAGGCTGTTTCTCTTTCTTATCATTTCTGTATATTCACAACTTGGCTGTTTTTTGCAACAGGCCTAATTTTTGGCCTATATTTGCTTCCACCATACCTTCCTCATTAAGTATAATCATTTCTTGTTGATTTTGATTTAAAGCTTTTAAATCAAAAGCTTTTGATTTAAAGTTAGAGACTTACAATTCTTCCTTTCACTTGAGCATTTAGCCATTGTAGGGCTATTAATTAGCCTAATTTTAATACTGTTGTGTCTCTAGGGATAGGGAGGCCTGAGGAGAGGGAGAGAGACGGAAGTACAGCCAGTGGGTAGGACAATCAGAACGTACCACCCTCATTACGGTCTTATGTGGGCAGTTTGTGATGCCCCAAACCAATTACAACAGTAGCGTGTTCCTAACACAAAGAAATAATAAATGTCTGAGGTGATGGATACGTTTATTACCCTGATTTGATCCTTATATATTGTATACATTTATGGAAATATCACACTGTATGCCATAAATGTGTACAATTATCATGTAAATTGAAATAATAATATAAGCAAAAAAGATCACTGATTACAGATCACCATAACAGATATAATAATAATGAAAAAGTTTGAAATATTGTGAGAATTAACAAAATTACACAAAATGAGACCATGCTATTGGAAAAATAGTGCCAACAGATGTGTAGGACAGAGATGCCACAAACCTTCAATTTGTAAAAAATGCAATATCTGTGGAGTTACAATAAAATCAAGTGCAATAAAAACGCATGTCCATAATTTTCTTCTACTGGGCCATTCAGTGTCATCAATTTGTAATGTGGGATAAAAGTTAACAATAGGAATGATAGTACCTTTACTGAGGTCATTGGGAAATGTCAGATATGAAGTAAAGAGCAGATCATGAGTTCAGTTTTGGAGAAGTGGAGTTCAGGTACATTTCAAAGATAAAGTAGTCTACTAGGTAGGAGAATATGTAAGTTGAGAGCTCAGAAGAGATATATAGGCTGTAAATAGAACTGAGAGAATCATCAGGATAATAGCAAATCAAGGACGTGTTTGTTAAAATTAAGAGAGGAATTCTAAGAAATTATCTTTGAGGGACCTCAGCATTTAGGTTGAAAAAAAAAGATGAACTCTAAATCGGAGACAGGAACAGGCAAATCCAGAGATGTAGATGGGAAACCAAGAGTGTTGTGTCATCCAAGCCAATGGAAGAGAGTATTTACAGGCAAGACACCAGTGTCAACTGAATTTAGGAGATCAAGTGAAAATAACACTGAAATGGCCATTTGGATTTATTGAGGTGGAGAGAACTGGCAATTTAACAAGACATGGCTGAATAGAGTAATAAAAGCAGATTAACAATGAAGTAGCTAAGAAGTGAGTAGAAGGTGAGAAAGTGAACCCATGACATATAAGCCAGTATTTTGGGAAGTTGAACTAATAAGGAATGAAGAATGAAATCTACAGTTCACCCTTGAACAACATGAGTTTGAACTGTGCAGGTCTCCATTTACATATTTTTTTTCAGTTGATAGGTTGAAATTTATTTTTGAGATTTGCAATAATTTGGACAAACTCACAGACAAACCATGTTGCCTAGGAATTTTTTTTTTTTTTTTTTTTTTTTTTTTTTTTTTAGTATTTATTGATCATTCTTGGGTGTTTCTCACAGAGGGGGATTTGGCAGGGTCACAGGACAATAGTGGAGGGAAGGTCAGCAGATAAACAAGTGAACAAAGGTCTCTGGTTTTCCTAAGCAGAGGACCCTGCGACCTTCCGCAGTGTTTGTGTCCCTGGGTACTTGAGACCAGGGAGTGGTAATGACTCTTTTTTTTTTTTTTTTTTTTTGTTTTAAGGGAACCAGATGCCATCTTTATTGAGATCTCAAAGAACAGCATCCTATGGGAAGACAGAAGAAAATGCCAAGGTCGCTTCCTTCAGGTAATGCAACACTTTCTTGTGAGAGACACAACGGTAAACATGAAGATGATTGATAACTTCTTTTAAGACATATAAAAGGGAGTTATAACACAGAAGTACAATCCTGAACCAAAAAAGAAGAAAAGCCAATTTATAGCTACGGAGGCATGTTTAAAAGTGCTACACAGAAAATTTCTTTGAGTCTATGTTTTTGCAAATGGGAGAGGATTTTCAAGTCAGCTCATGTGGAAGATACACTTCATCGCCAAAGGGAATAGTGGGACAGGCACCAGGAAATACCCTAAGGAACTGGGAAGGAGATACATGGTCCCAGAGCAGAACTTTGACCCTACTGAAAAGGAAGGAAAAGGCATTCCTGACGAGCAACCTCCTTTAATGCTTTAATGGAGCCAAGTTTAACCTGAATTTCAAATTCTTGAGATAGACTTTAACACAACAGACTGTCTAGGTTTGAATCCCAGTTCTGCCACTTTTTAGCAAAGTGATCTGGAGCAGGTTACACTACCTCCCTCCATCTTATGATTATTATTATCCACATTTGGTATGAAATGTGGATAATAATAATAGTAGCTACCTCACATGGTACTCATAAAGATTAAATAAAGTAATTTAGGTACAGTGAGATAAGGCTTGCCTTCCAGCAGATATTCAATATGTGTTGGCCATTATTATTATTTCTCTAATCATTAGAGAAAAGAATAACAAATAATAAGAAATATCTGCCTACAGTTAAAGAGACATTTCCTTTAGTCACCTCTGGCTAAAAAAAAAATTAAATAAAAAAGACTAATGAAAGCCTGAAATTCAATACCAGAACCGCATGCAGTACTGTTGGTTCATATCCACATGCACACACATTCTTTGCTTGGGTCTACAGTGCAACATACTACAACCAAACATAGAACTTAGATATTTCCAAGCCATTTGATGTAAGAGCCAGCTGGAAATCCTCATTTCAATGTTCCACAAGTATCTTAAACTCATTATACCCAAAACTGAACTGATCATTTTCACCCTCCTCTACTACTACTTCCCCTAACTTCCCCTAATTCCGTGGTGCCACATCCTGTTCTCTACCAATTTACTTTCTTTTTTTTTTTTTTTTTTTATTATACTCTAAGTTTTAGGGTACATGTGCACATTGTGCAGGTTAGTTACATATGTATACATGTGCCATGCTGGTGCCCTGCACCCACTAATGTGTCATCTAGCATTAGGTATATCTCCCAATGCCATCCCTCCCCCCTCCCCCGACCCCACCACAGTCCCCAGAGGGTGATATTCCCCTTCCTGTGTCCATGTGATCTCATTGTTCAATTCCCACCTATGAGTGAGAATATGCGGTGTTTGGTTTTTTGTTCTTGCGATAGTTTACTGAGAATGATGGTTTCCATTTTCATCCATGTCCCTACACAGGATATGAACTCATCATTTTTTATGGCTGCATAGTATTCCATGGTGTATATGTGCCACATTTTCTTAATCCAGTCTATCATTGTTGGACATTTGGGTTGGTTCCAAGTCTTTGCTATTGTGAATAATGCCACAATAAACATACGTGTGCATGTCTCTTTATAGCAGCATGATTTATAGTCATTTGGGTATATACCCAGTAATGGGATGGCTGGGTCAAATGGTATTTCTAGTTCTAGATCCCTGAGGAATCGCCACACTGACTTCCACAATGGATGAACTAGTTTACAGTCCCACCAACAGTGTAAAAGTGTTCCTATTTCTCCGCATCCTCTCCAGCACCTGTTGTTTCCTGACTTTTTAATGATTGCCATTCTAACTGGTGTGAGATGATATCTCATAGTGGTTTTGATTTGCATTTCTCTGATGGCCAGTGATGATGAGCATTTCTTCATGTGTTTTTTGGCTGCATAAATGTCTTCTTTTGAGAAGTGTCTGTTCATGTCCTTCGCCCACTTTTTGATGGGGTTGTTTGTTTTTTTCTTGTAAATTTGTTTGAGTTCATTGTAGATTCTGGATATTAGCCCTTTGTCAGATGAGTAGGTTGCGAAAATTTTCTCCCATGTTGTAGGTTGCCTGTTCACTCTGATGGTAGTTTCTTTTGCTGTGCAGAAGCTCTTTAGTTTAATTAGATCCCATTTGTCAATTTTGTCTTTTGTTGCCATTGCTTTTGGTGTTTTGGACATGAAGTCCTTGCCCACGCCTATGTCCTGAATGGTAATGCCTAGGTTTTCTTCTAGGATTTTTATGGTTTTAGGTCTAATGTTTAAATCTTTAATCCATCTTGAATTGATTTTTGTATAAGGTGTAAGGAAGGGATCCAGTTTCAGCTTTCTACATATGGCTAGCCAGTTTTCCCAGCACCATTTATTAAATAGGGAATCCTTTCCCCATTGCTTGTTTTTCTCAGGTTTGTCAAAGATCAGATAGTTGTAGATATGCGGCATTATTTCTGAGGGCTCTGTTCTGTTCCATTGATCTATATCTCTGTTTTGGTACCAGTACCATGCTGTTTTGGTTACTGTAGCCTTGTAGTATAGTTTGAAGTCAGGTAGTGTGATGCCTCCAGCTTTGTTCTTTTGGCTTAGGATTGACTTGGCAATGCGGGCTCTTTTTTGGTTCCATATGAACTTTAAAGTAGTTTTTTCCAATTCTGTGAAGAAAGTCATTGGTAGCTTGATGGGGATGGCATTGAATCTGTAAATTACCTTGGGCAGTATGGCCATTTTCACGATATTGATTCTTCCTACCCATGAGCATGGAATGTTCTTCCATTTGTTTGTGTCCTCTTTTATTTCCTTGAGCAGTGGTTTGTAGATCTCCTTGAAGAGGTCCTTCACATCCCTTGTAAGTTGGATTCCTAGGTATTTTATTCTCTTTGAAGCAATTGTGAATGGGAGTTCACCCATGATTTGGCTCTTTGTTTGTCTGTTGTTGGTGTATAAGAATGCTTGTGATTTTTGTACATTGATTTTGTATCCTGAGACTTTGCTGAAGTTGCTTATCAGCTTAAGGAGATTTTGGGCTGAGACGATGGGGTTTTCTAGATAAACAATCATGTCGTCTGCAAACAGGGACAATTTGACTTCCTCTTTTCCTAATTGAATACCCTTTATTTCCTTCTCCTGCCTGATTGCCCTGGCCAGAACTTCCAACACTATGTTGAATAGGAGTGGTGAGAGAGGGCATCCCTGTCTTGTGCCAGTTTTCAAAGGGAATGCTTCCAGTTTTTGCCCATTCAGTATGATATTGGCTGTGGGTTTGTCATAGATAGCTCTTATTATTTTGAAATACGTCCCATCAATACCTAATTTATTGAGAGTTTTTAGCATGAAGGGTTGTTGAATTTTGTCAAAGGCTTTTTCTGCATCTATTGAGATAATCATGTGGTTTTTGTCTTTGGCTCTGTTTATATGCTGGATTACATTTATTGATTTGCGTATATTGAACCAGCCTTGCATCCCAGGGATGAAGCCCACTTGATCATGGTGGATAAGCTTTTTGATGTGCTGCTGGATTTGGTTTGCCAGTATTTTATTGAGGATTTTTGCATCAATGTTCATCAAGGATATTGGTCTAAAATTCTCTTTTTTGGTTGTGTCTCTGCCCGGCTTTGGTATCAGAATGATGCTGGCCTCATAAAATGAGTTAGGGAGGATTCCCTCTTTTTCTATTGATTGGAATAGTTTCAGAAGGAATGGTACCATTTCCTCCTTGTACCTCTGGTAGAATTCGGCTGTGAATCCATCTGGTCCTGGACTCTTTTTGGTTGGTAAACTATTGATTATTGCCACAATTTCAGAGCCTGTTATTGGTCTTTTCAGAGATTCAACTTCTTCCTGGTTTAGTCCTGGGAGAGTGTATGTGTCGAGGAATGTATCCATTTCTTCTAGATTTTCTAGTTTTTTTGCGTAGAGGTGTTTGTAGTATTCTCTGATGGTAGTTTGTATTTCTGTGGGATCGGTGGTGATATCCCCTTTATCATTTTTTATTGTGTCTATTTGATTCTTCTCTCTTTTTTTCTTTATTAGTCTTGCTAGCGGTCTATCAATTTTGTTGATCCTTTCAACAAACCAGCTCCTGGATTCATTGATTTTTTGAAGGGTTTTTTGTGTCTCTATTTCCTTCAGTTCTGCTCTGATTTTAGTTATTTCTTGCCTTCTGCTAGCTTTTGAATGTGTTTGCTCTTGCTTTTCTAGTTCTTTTAATTGTGATGTTAGGGTGTCAATTTTGGATCTTTCCTGCTTTCTCTTGTAGGCATTTAGTGCTATAAATTTCCCTCTACACACTGCTTTGAATGCGTCCCAGAGATTCTGGTATGTGGTGTCTTTGTTCTCGTTGGTTTCAAAGAACATCTTTATTTCTGCCTTCATTTCGTT
The DNA here is from genome assembly GCF_000001405.40 of Homo sapiens. Classification (NCBI taxonomy): domain Eukaryota; kingdom Metazoa; phylum Chordata; class Mammalia; order Primates; family Hominidae; genus Homo; species Homo sapiens. The sequence goes on from NW_019805495.1 coordinate 260,561, forward strand.
GTGTACCCAGTAGTCATTCAGGAGCAGGTTGTTCAGTTTCCATGTAGTTGAGCGGCTTTGAGTGAGATTCTTAATCCTGAGTTCTAGTTTGATTGCACTGTGGTCTGAGAGATAGTTTGTTATAATTTCTGTTCTTTTACATTTACTGAGGAGAGCTTTGCTTCCAACTATGTGGTCAATTTTGGAATAGGTGTGGTGTGGTGCTGAAAAAAATGTATATTCTGTTGATTTGGGGTGGAGAGTTCTGTAGATGTCTATTAGGTCTGCTTGGTGCAGAACTGAGTTCAATTCCTGGGTATCCTTGTTGACTTTCTGTCTCGTTGATCTGTCTAATGTTGACAGTGGGGTGTTAAAGTCTCCCATTATTAATGTGTGGGAGTCTAAGTCTCTTTGTAGGTCACTGAGGATTTGCTTTATGAATCTGGGTGCTCCTGTATTGGGTGCATAAATATTTAGGATAGTTAGCTCCTCTTGTTGAATTGATCCCTTTACCATTATGTAATGGCCTTCTTTGTCTCTTTTGATCTTTGTTGGTTTAAAGTCTGTTTTATCAGAGACTAGGATTGCAACCCCTGCCTTTTTTTGTTTTCCATTGGCTTGGTAGATCTTCCTCCATCCTTTTATTTTGAGCCTATGTGTGTCTCTGCACGTGAGATGGGTTTCCTGAATACAGCACACTGATGGGTCTTGACTCTTTATCCAACTTGCCAGTCTGTGTCTTTTAATTGCAGAATTTAGTCCATTTATATTTAAAGTTAATATTGTTATGTGTGAATTTGATCCTGTCATTATGATGTTAGCTGGTGATTTTGCTCATTAGTTGATGCAGTTTCTTCCTAGTCTCGATGGTCTTTACATTTTGGCATGATTTTGCAGCGGCTGGTACCGGTTGTTCCTTTCCATGTTTAGCGCTTCCTTCAGGAGCTCTTTTAGGGCAGGCCTGGTGGTGACAAAATCTCTCAGCATTTGCTTGTCTATAAAGTATTTTATTTCTCCTTCACTTATGAAGCTTAGTTTGGCTGGATATGAAATTCTGGGTTGAAAATTGTTTTCTTTAAGAATGTTGAATATTGGCCCCCACTCTCTTCTGGCTTGTAGGGTTTCTGCCGAGAGATCCGCTGTTAGTCTGATGGGCTTTCCTTTGAGGGTAACCCGACCTTTCTCTCTGGCTGCCCTTAACATTTTTTCCTTCACTTCAACTTTGGTGAATCTGACAATTATGTGTCTTGGAGTTGCTCTTCTTGAGGAGTATCTTTGTGGCATTCTCTGTATTTCCTGAATCTGAACGTTGGCCTGCCTTGCTAGATTGGGGAAGTTGGGAGTGGTAATGACTCTTAACGAGCATGCTGCCTTCAAGCATCTGTTTAACAAAGCACATCCTGCACCACCCTTAATCCATTTAACCCTGAGTGGACACAGCACATGTTTCAGAGAGCACGGGGTTGGGGGTAAGGTTATAGATTAACAGCATCCCAAGGCAGAAGAATTTTTCCCAGTACAGAACAAAATGGAGTCCCCCATGTCTACTTCTTTCTGCACAGACACAGCACCAATCCAATCTCTCTATCTTTTCCCCACATTTCCCCCTTTTCTATTGGACAAAACTGCCATCATCATCATGGCCCGTTCTCAATGAGCCGTTGGGTACACCTCCCAGATGGGGTGGTGGCCGGGCAGAGGGGCTCCTCACTTCCCAGATGGGGTGGCCGGGCAGAGGCTCCCCCCACCTCCCGGACAGGGCGGCAGCCGGGCAGAGGCGCCCCACAACTCCCGGATGGGCGGCCGGCCAGGTGTGGGCTGCCCGCCACCTCCCTCCTGGATGGAGCGGCTGGCTGGGCGGGGGCTGCCCCCCACCTCCCGGACAGGGAGGCTGGCCGGGGCGGGGGTTGTCCCCCACCTCCCGGACGGGGTGGCTGCCGGGCAGGGGCTACCCCCCACCTCCCTCCTGGACGGGGCGGCTGGCCAGGTGGGTGTTGCCCCCACCTCCCTCCTGGATAGGGCGGCTGGCCGGGCGGGGGCTGCCCCCCACCTCCCGGTCGGGGCGGCTGCCGGGCGGAGATGCTCCTCACTTCCCAAATGGTGCGGCTGCTGGGTGGAGGGGCTCCTCACTTCTTAGACGGGGCGGCCGGGCAGAGACGCTCCTCACCTCCCAGACGGGGTTGCGGCCAGGCAGAGGCGCTCCTCACATCCCAGACGGGGTGGTGGGGCAGAGGCGCTCGCCACATCTCAGACTATGGGCGGCGGGGCAGAGACGCTCCTCACTTCCTAGAGGGGATGGTGGCCGGGAAGAGGCGCTCCTCACTTCCCAGACTGGGCAGCCAGGCAGAGGGGCTCCTCACATCCCAGATGATGGGCGGCCAGGCAGAGACGCTCCTCACTTCCCAGACGGGGTGGCGGCCAGGCAGAGGCTGCAATCTCAGCACTTTGGGAGGCCAAGGCAGGTGGCTGGGAGGTGGAGGTTGTAGCAAGCCGAGATCACACCACTGCACTCCAGCCTGGGCAACATTGAGCACTGAGTGAACGAGACTCCGTCTGCAATCCCGGCACCTCAGGAGGCCGAGGCTGGCGGATCACTCGCGGTTAGGAGCTGGAGACCAGCCCGGCCAACACAGCGAAACCCTGTCTCCACCAAAAAAATACGAAAACCAGTCAGGCGCGGCGGCACACGCCTGCAGTCGCAGGCACTCGCAGGCTGAGGCAGGAGAATCAGGCAGGGAGGTTGCAGTGAGCCGAGATGGCGGCAGCGCAGTCCAGCTTCCGCTCGGCATCAGAGGGAGACCGTGGAAAGAGAGGGAGAGGGAGACCGTGGGGAGAGGGAGAGAGGGAGAGGGAGAGGAATATTTTTTTAAAAATAAGAAAATATGTGTGATAAATGAATATAATATTTACATATACTATTTTATCATTTACTACCATAAAATCTACACCAATCTATTATAAAAAGTTAAAATTTTTCAAAACTTTTGTGCACACTTGTGAGCCATTCCTGATTAAGAGAAAACAAAGATTTACTATTAAATCATAACTACATAAAATTAACTGTAGTACATGTTGTACTACTGTAGTAATTTCAAAGCCACCTCCTATTGATATTGCAATGGTCTCAAGTATTGTGAGTATCTGCTTAAATCACAGTTTGAGGCTAATCATCTCCCTGTGAACTGTTCATTTCACCACTAAATCACACATCACAGTGAAAAGTGATTGTTCCTGATTATTGCACATTTTTTATCATGTCTTTTGCAATACTGTGAACCTTAAATAACACCATGGGAGCAAAGGTGTCAGTAGTGGTGCTGAAACTGCTCCCAAGACGAAGAGAAAAGTCATGATATTACAAGAAAAAGTTGAGTTGCTTAATATGTACTGTGGATTCAGGTCTGCAGCTGCAGATGCCCTTCATTTCAAGATAAACAAATCCAGCATAAGGAAAGACCAACGTAATGAAAGAAAAGGAAACGTATGAAGCCATCCCTGTGGCTACACCAGCAGATGTGAAAACTTGCTCTTCTGGGGAAATACCTTTTTATGTAATTTTGAACATGCAGCTTTTATGTAGGTGTAGGATTGGGTATAACAAAGGCATACATATAGAGTCTAATATTATTCAAGAAAAAGAAAAGTCATTAAAGATGACTTACTCAAAAGGAAGGTGAAGGATCTAAAGCTGGAGAATTTAGTGTTAGCAAAGGATGGTTTGATAATTTTACAAAGATATTTGGCTTAAAAATTGTCAAGATAATAAGAAAAACAGCTTCTGTTGCCCAAGAAGCAGCAGACAAGTTCCAAGACACCATTAAGAAAACCACTGAGGAGAAGGAATATTTGCTGCAACAGGTTTTTAATGTGTGTCAAAGTGCTCTATTCTGTACAGAAAAATACCACAAAGAACATTTATTAGTAAAGAAGAGAAGTGAGCACTAGGATTTAAGGCAGGAAGGAGTAAGCTAACCCTCCTGTTTTGTGACAATACAGTCAGGTTTATTATGATCATGACTTTTCTTATCTACACAGTTGCTAATCTCCTAGCATTGAAGGGAAAAGATAAACATCAGCTACCAGTCTTTTGGTTGTACAAGAAGAAGACCTGGACATTTAGAGCTATTTTCCTTGATTGTGTCCATCAGCACTTTGTCCCTGAAATCATGAAGTACCTGGCTAGGAAGGACTGCCTTATAAAGTTCCTTTGCTATTGAGCAATGCCCCTTGCCACCCAGAACCTCATGAGTTCAACATGGAAAGTATCTACTTGCCTCCAGACAAAAAGTCTCTAATTCAGCCTCTAGATTAGGGGTCATAAGGACTATAAAGGCTCAATACACACAGTACTCTATGGAAAGGATCGTCAATGGTTTGAAGAGGATCCGAATAGAGACAACATCATGAAAGTCTGGAAAAATTATACCACTGAAGATACAACTGTTGTTATGGAAAAAGCCCTGAAAGCCATCAAGCCTGATACAATAAATTCCTGCTGAAGAAAACTGTTTCCAGATTTTATGTATCACTTCACAATATTTATGATAGAGCCAGTCAAGGAAATCATGAGATCATGGGTATAAAAAAGAAAAGGTGGGGGTGAAGGGTTTCAGAATATGGATCTTGGAGAAATTCAAGAGCTAACAGACATCACACTACAAGAATTAACAGAAGATGACTTTGATGGAGATAAGTGCTTTTGGACCAGTGCCAGATGAGGAGGAAGATGATGTTGAAGAAGTAGTGACAGAAAACAAATTGACATTAGATAATCTGGCAGGAGGGTTTCAGTTATTCAAGACTGCTTTTGACTTCTTTTATGACATGATCCTTTCTATGATACAGGGACTGAAATTAAAGCTAACAGTGGAAGAAGGATTGGTACTGTATAGAAACATTTTTGGAGAAATGAAAAAGAAAAAAAAGGCAAAAATGCATTTCCTTAAATGTGTTAAGTTAAACTAAGTGTGCCTTCCTCTCCTGCCTCCCTTTCCACCTCATCCGCCTCTTCCACCACTGCCACCCCTGAAACAGCAAGACCAACCCCTTCCCTTCCTCTTCCCCATCAGCCTACAGTATGAAGACAATTAGGATGAAAACCTTTATGATGATCCACATCTACTTAATGAATAGTAAATATATATTTTTCTTCCCTATGATTTTCTTGATAACATTTCTTCCTCTTGCTTACTTTATTATAAGAATACAGTATATAATGCATACAACATACAAAAATACATGTTAATCAACGATTATGTTAGTTGTAAGGATTTGGGTCAACAGTAGGCCATTAGTAGTTAAGATTTAGGAGAGTCAAAAGTTATATGTAGATATTTGACTGTGTAAGCTGATGTTGCCTCTAACTCCTGCGTTGTTCAAGGGTCAACTGTATATTTTAAGGGAAAATGAGGTAAAGAGAGATTTTTTAACATTAACATTTTATTTCTCTCTAAAGATGTAATTTATAATCATGAAAAATAATTTAAGTGGTGAACAAAATATATAGTGAAAAGCACTTGTATTTCTCTGTCGACTCATGGTATTATTAAATCATTTGCACTTTGATAATATTATGAATCAAAATGGCATCATAATATTTTAATTTGTAGTTTTAAAATTATGAGTAAGATAGTAAATATTATGTCAATATTTCCTAAAAGCTACCTATCCATATACTAAAACCATTTTTTTATTTATTTTTCCTTATTGATTTCTAAAAACTATAAATTAAGGACGGTAGCTCATTGGAATATGTTGAAAATATTTTTACTCTTGTCATTTAATTTGGGCTTTATGACCTTCAGATAATGCCAAGCTTTATAATTTTTAGATTTTTAAAATTTTATGATATATAGTATCTGTATCTTGCATGCAAAGGTCAGTTGTTTATTTAATTGGTTAATTTTGGTATCTAGGTAGGATAGGTGATTTAATTAATGAAAAGAGGGTTATGAATAGTATGAAATGCATAAAAATGTGGGAAGGGGTGGCATTTAAAGTCCAGGTGGAGGAAACCAACTGAGAAGATGTACTACAGAACTAGAACAGAAATTTAAAAATGTGTTGGGGCAGATATAGCTTAAAAGTTTAGAAATAGAAAAATCACTTGATGGCCTTTCTTCCTAAATTTAGAGGCAATTCGGAGAAGGAAGTTTGTGTGTGTGTGTGTGTGTGTGTGTGTGTGTGTGTGTGTAGCATAAGGGGTGTGGCAGTGGGTTGAGAAACAGTCAGTGGAGATTGGAAACCAGGAAACCTCTACTGCTAATAAGTGGTTTCATTTATTATTTTTGAAAGATATTACTCCATCTGTAATAAACAATGAGGAGAGAAAGATTTCGTTAAACTATAATGCAAGATATTTTTAAAGTAACACCAAATTTAACATTTGTAACTGTAGAGTCACATAAAGTATTATATTAATTTCTCACTGTTAGGGATTTAAAGGTTCATTAAACAATAGCCCTTTTCTCAAATTAAATACCAGCAAGAAGTCATGGAGTTAGTATACATTAGCTAAATAAAACCAAATCTTTGATCTGTGACCAAATATTCTTCTCCATCCCCACAGTCACAGACAGGGCTGAACAATCACAGGACTTGCTTGCTTTAATAGATAGCTTTTGGAAGGACAACAGAAAAACTCTTAGGTTCAGAGAACAGACTGCTCCATGAAAAGAAGAGATGGAGTCATACACACTTAACCCCTTCTCCAGTTTCACCAGACAGGTGAGTCACTATCCCCAGAAAGGATAGTAGGAAGATGGTGGAATAAAGCTGTGTGTTTTCCTTCCATGCTTTCCTCTCCTGGAGCATAAAAGTTCCCCTCAAACACCCCTATTAAAATGTAAAGAATGAGATATTTCTTTTATTTCTCACAAGTCCCTTCTGAAGTGAGTAATATTAACCTAACTTTATAGATGAAGAATCTGAAACTCAGAGACATTACTTATGTCTTTTTTTTTTTTTTTTTTGAGATGGAGTCTCACTCTGTCACCCAGGCTGGAGTGAAGTGGCGCGATCTCGGCTCACTGCAAGCTCCGCCTCCTGGGTTCATGACATTCTCCTGCCTCAGCCTCCCAAGTAGCTGGGACTACAGGCGCCTGCCACCACGCCTGGCTATTTTTTTGTGTATTTTTAGTAGAAACGGGGTTTCACCGTGTTAACCAGGATGGTCTCGATCTGCTGACCTCGTGATCCGCCCGTCTCTGCCTCCCAAAGTGCTGGGATTACAGGCGTGAGCCACCGCGCCCGGCCGACGTTACTTATGTCTTTAAATGCAACTCTGCTTGCTAGATATAAGCTGAAATGTAAATAATACCAGTTGCCGTGGGAGGTGCTGTAGGTCTGACAACTGAAAATGAACAGGGGCTTTTGATGTTATTGGATGAAGTATTCCTATGTCCAGGATGAAACCAACCCAGGACTTTGAAGCCCTCTTCTAATACTAGAGCTTGTCCTTTAAAGTAATCTGCATCTCAAAGTGCGCTGGTAGCTTTGAGATTGATTGCACTGCGAACATTTGTTTAGATAAATATTTAAAACATTTTGATAATAATCACTTTTTATAGAGTGATCTTTATTTAGCAAGCACTGTTCTAAGTGGTTGATCTTCATGTATTAATTTATTGACTTTTTATAGCAATTCTATTTGTAAGCTATTATTACTAACTTCATTTTATAGCTGAAGAAACTGAGACACAGAGAGACAACTAATTTGCTCAAGGTCCCACAGGCAGTAAATGGCAGTGAGGATATTGGAAGGTAACCTGTATCCTAAACCATTCTGGAAAACCATCTCTGGATCTTTGATAATCCTCAATTTCAGTAATAAATTTTGTCCTTACAGTATAAGAGAATATGTTTTTCTCTATTTTCAAGATAGATAATTTGAACAAAGGAAAATGTAGAATTAAAGGTGATTCTGAAAATGTTTCTTTTTTAAAAAAAATAAGATTAACAAACCAGGAGCAATTACACTTTCTGTAATCAAGAAAATTTAATAATTAGATGGACTATTCAAACTGCACTTCCATTTTCCCAGGAAACTAAACTTTTTGATGAAACTTTAGTTTTTAGTAAACAGAAAAGTTTGAAGTTGCTTTATAAGTGTGTGTAAACATCTACAGAGAAACAAAAGCAAACTGAATATTATTCTGTGCTGAATTCCAGTCAAAAACATTTGCTCTTTATTGTTTTCTAGATTTGGTTTTTTTTTGTTTGTTTTTGTTTTTTGGTTTTTGTTTTTTGTTTTGAGACAGAATCTTACTCACTCTATCACCCAAGCTGGAGTGCAGTGGCGGTATGTCAAGTCACTGCAGTCTCTGTCTCCTGGGTTCAAGCGATTCTCCAACCTTAGCCTCCCAAGTAGCTGTGATTACAGGCATGCACCACCATGCCCAGCTAATTTTTGTATATTTTTTATTAGAGATGAGGTTTTGCCATCTTGGCCACGTTGGTCTCAAACTCCTGACTTCCAGTGATCTCAGCTTCCCAAAGTGCAGAGATTACAGGCATGAGCCACTGCGCCTGGCCTGTTTCTAGAAGATTGACATGATTTTGTGGAATTAACAGAAGATGTGAACTATCATACATATATATATACACACACACACAGATTTATATACACACATATATACATATGTATATTTCTATTAGTTGGCAGGCATTGTGATAAATCATACTAAAAACAGTGACTGATTAACTGAGGCTCATCAGCCGAATTCTATTTTTGTACAATAGTTTCTTTGGAACATAGTCGCATTCATTGACATAATGTCTATGGCTGCTTTGGGGCTATAACTGCAGAAGTGAACAGTTTTAATAGAAATCATATGTCCCATAGAGCCTTAAATATTTACTATCTGACCCTTTACAGGAGAGGTTTGCTACCTGATCCAGAGTTTTTTCATCTGTGAAGATGAATATGCCTACTTACATAGCAGTATTAAGTTTTCAATATTACTCAAAAGTAGTCATGGTTTGCACATAAACTCCACTTTTTTTTTCAATCCTTATTGAGGTTTAAGGGCTTCTGATGGGTTATGAGATCTGAGAGTCTTAGGAGTGTTGGTTGGAGTTGAGGGTACAGGCTTGAATGCCATGATTCTCAGTGGAGAGAAGACCCAGAACAAAGGAGCTTTTTTTGACTTCAACATCCTGGAACATAATGTTCAAAGCAATTGCAACAGGCAATGCATTTGAATTACCTCCTCATTCAACACTAAGTGATTTAATTTTACCTAAAATAAAAGAATGTGCTAAGTTTAATAAGAAGTGTACTCTTTGGGTATAGATATTAGTCTTTTTAATACAGTTATTTTTACACCTCTCATTTGCTAAATTGTATCAATAACATGGATTAAAAATGCTTCTTTTCTTTTTTCCTCATCCCATCGTCCCCAGTTTCCTCAGAGTTGTTTTCTGTAAAACAAATGTAATTGTTTCATCCTTCTGCAAAATGATCTTAGCTGACTCCCCTTTGCCATCATATTCCACTCCATAATTTGGCATACACTACATGGCCTAAAATCTGCCAATCACTTCCTATGTTACTCAGAGGTGAGATTTAAAATATGTAACAACTAGTAAGATGTGGATCCAATCAAAACAGATGCAAGTCATAACCAATGGGTTAATTTATGCTGATGCATACCAGCCGAATATCAGAATTGACACACTTCTGCACCTTCCCACTGCTGTATCTTCACCTATATCTCAAAATGCTTACAATTCGCTGACCATATCTAGCTTACAGTGTAACCTACACTGTTTTCTCCCTGGAATTACTTCCCTGTCTTTTACCTATATACTCAGGTTTATGTATCTGGTTTATCATGTAAGACATTTCCAGGCAGTTTGGAAGATATCCTGAACTCCAGTAAGACTTCCACAGATCCCTTAAAAAATCCCTGGAAGTTTTCATTTTTATTTTTCTGTTTTCTTCTTTTTCCTCTTACACTAGAATATAAGCTCCTTGAAAGTGTGGGTAAAGGTTTATAAATCTTCATATCTTTCATACCTAATACATTATAGATATTTTAGAGTGGCTGAAACTGCAGGGGGAAAGAAATTGGCAGTAATAGAGAGGCAGAAAAATGATTCTCCTTAACTCAGTCAGCCTAAGTAAAAGGCAGGATTCTCAAACCCTAAAAGTGAAAAAGTAGACTAAATGTATGTTTCTCTGCAAGTAAGCCAGCTAAAAGTCTCCTGGTGGAGAACAGAGGTGTCTCCTTAGGACACGCTCCCCATGAGTTTATGACAGGTCTATTTCAAAGCTTTTCTTACTGAATGGTGAATTTCTGGCCTTTGCAAAGCACGTCTGAAGAAATGAGCACTTTCTATGAGGCTTAAATGTGCATTCAATTAATCAATCACTTGCAATAGGAAAAGTCAAATTATTAATAAAGTGGTGAGACAAGGAAGACCAGATACATTCTTGGACACGTCTGTGCTGTTTTAAAGGAAGCCTTCATAGGTTTTATTTCCTTTCAAAGGCAGGGAAAACAGATGTAGTTTCTTCAGTACTCTGACTTCATATTATTAGACTTGCCAGCTAATAAAGTGAATATTAGATATCATTCAGTCATTAGTTCAGAATATTTTAAAGCTTTATTGTTTTCTAATAGCTTATCAAGTCATGAATACAAGTCTTTATGCTTCAAGATGATTTATAGAGATTCTCTCAAGTTACCTTTTTCTACACGCCAAAATCTGTTTTCTTACTTAATTTTACTTTAAAAAAATAATATTTGGCAATTTTTTTACAAAAAGTAATTTTTTAAATTGCTTTTGTCATGGATACATATTTTTACATATTTATAGGGTACACATGATTTTTTTTTACAGTCATAGAATGAGTAATGATCATGTTAGGGTTAGGGTATTTACAGTATCCATCACCTCACATATTTATCATTTCTATGTGTTGGGAACATTTCAAGTTCTCTCTTATAGACATTTTAGAACAAACAATATATTTTTGTTAATGATAGTCTACTCAGCTAACAAACATTAGAATGTTTTTCTTCTATCTAATTGTATGTTTTTACCCATTAACCAACCTCTCTTATTTACACACTACCCATGTACACACCCTCTTCAGCCTCTGGTATCTACTTCCATGAGAAAACCTTTTTTTTGGTCCCACATATATGAGTCAGAACATGTAATATTTGTCTTTCTGTGCCTGACTCCAAATTTCACACTAAACTTAGTGAAAGATGCATCTTGTGAAATGTCCTACGTATTTCTATTTTTTTTTACAGGGTTTTGGAGACATATTACACAGGTGAGTGTTTATGTAGATTTTAGCATATATTCCTTCAGTTTCCATGAATATCAAAGCAGGCTCTACCAAAGTCATGGCATAAATGATTCAGATATTGATACTACCTTTTTGTTTTTGCATCTGCTTTCACTCTCACACCAGAAAAGACAAGAACACTAAATAAAAAAATAAATAAATAAATAGTGAAATAAAAAAATGTTTATTCCTGAGTTTGTTTTATTGCTTAAAAGCCTGCATGGGTGAAAGATAAAGTTTTGTTTTGTGGATGGTTAGAAAGTCACCAGAGGAAGCAGGAGAGAAGTGGGGGAAGTATTTTAGCAGTGAAAAAGTTGATGATTTGTTGTTCATACCTACATACATATCAGTTAATAGTCCTGAAAAATAGGTTGAAAAAACTGTGGAGTGTTAGGACTGTATAAGTCTCTAGGGAAGCTTGTTTCTAAAAGGCACGTCTAGCTGTCTAGAACAAATTTCACATTCTTTATCTTGAAAAGGAAGCAGCAGATGCAGCAGTCTCCCCAAAACCCCGCTATTTCAGACAAAGAGGTCAGGGGAGTCTGCCAAGAAGTGGAACTCAGAATTTCATTTCCAAATATTCTCAAGGCCATAAGGCTAAGGAACCTTACACATGTGGGGCAGAAAAAAAGAAAGATCAGACTGAATTCTGACTCAGGCTCTCCCACTATGCTTTAAAATTTGGAAACTGTAAATAAAAATTAATTCCAAAAAGGAAGGAATAATTTTTGAATAATCAAATTTGTGGATTCACAGGATTCTCATGAACTGTCTTTTAAATAGAAATAGTGATTTTTATTTATTTTATGGCTGTAGATGTTGTAACTGCAGGTTTTTCCTTCCAGAAGTGAGTCCGTGCTGCTGCACATGCCCCAGCCTCTGAATCTAGAGCTCAGTGCAGGGCCCATCACTGGACTGAGGGACAGGCTCATCTAATTCTGAGGTAAGTCTCCACCCATAGGCAGCACTCCCACTATCTAAATATTATTATTGTTAGGACCACATAGGTAATATTTCATCCTTTATCAAATATTTTACTTCTTTATAGACATAAGTGAACAACATAATCATGCAACCCTTTTGTATCTGTGTCTGTGTAGTCAGATTTATAGCAATAAGTTTGAAAGATAGTGAAAAACAAATACATTTTGTCCTCATATATACTGAGTAATGTAATGGGAAAAAGGAGTAGTGTAGCAAATTTAAAAAAGGAGCAAATGGAACAATGCTCAGAATGAAGGTGAGTTATTTAATGTTAAATACAAAATTTTACATTTCCTTAGTGTATTCATTTGAACAGCTAAGAACTGTTCTTTTGGGGAGTATGGTTTACTGGGGATTGCTGGGGGTTTTTAATTTTTTAAATGGATATGTATCATGTATTGCAAAAAAATTAGTTAATGGGTAAACATAAAAAGAAATCATTTTGTGAATGCAAGTAAAATTACAAACAAAAAGAAGTTCAGTTTAATTGCAATATGAAAAGCTACATGTTAAGTCTAAAATCCAGCTTCAGCCCCAAGCTAACATGGAGGGCCACAGAGAGACTGGTAAAAGATTTTGCAGAAATCTGCTTTAAATGATCACTTATGACGTGTACTTATGGATTTTTATCCAGTTATCTAGAGCAGTTCTTGAGTAACTGAAAATCTTCACATTCTTTCCAAAATGATAGCACTAGTTTTTAAGAATAAGAAACATTTCTAAATAATGATCTTGATAACAGCATAGCATTTAGGGCATATAATGAGCAAATTTTGCTTTGAAAATTGGATTGAAAGAAGTTGGTCTTACATTTGGCTCTCAATATGTAAGTTTTCAAAACAATTTTAATATCTGTGGTTAGCGTTTTTTTTGTCTTGTAGATAATATTAATCATCTCTATACTTTATTAGAAGTTACAAGCAAGTGTCCTTGTGACTTTACATTTCCTGGTAAATTAACTTCTTGATAGAACAATTTTTGCTTATTTACACATGCCTATGCATGTTTTCTTTCTTTCTTTCTTATTTATTTATTTATTTATTTATTTATTTATTTATTTTGCAGTGGATATTACTCTGCATTATAATGAAGCCAACAGTCATATCTTCTGATGTGGAGATTTGAGAAGCATTTGTATTGGATGTGACCGTCAAAATGCGCCCCATATCACTGCAACACCTACAAGTTTTCTTGCATGGGGTGCTCAGACTTTCACCTCTGGCAAGTATTACTGGGAGGTCCATGTGGGGGACTCTTGGAATTGGGCTTTCGGTGTTTGTAATAAGTACTGGAAAGGGAAGAATCAGAATGGCAATATATATGGAGAGGAGGGACTCTTTAGTCTTGGGATTGTTAAGAACGACATTCAGTGCAGTCTCTTTACCACCTCCCCAGTTACACTGCAGTATGTCCCAAGACCTACCAACCATGTAGGATTATTCCTGGATTGTGAAGCTAGAACTGTGAGCTTCGTTGATGTTAATCAAAGCTCCCCTATATACACCATCCCTAATTGCTCCTTCTCACCTCCTCTCAGGCCTATCTTTTGCTGTATTCATCTCTGACCAGAGACAAATCAGAAATGTGTTTATCTGCTGTGGGAACCCCTTTATCCCATAAAGCCCTCTTCCTTGTGCCTTATCAAACAGGACAAATAGGTTCTGTTTTATGTCTTGAATTGCATTCTAATGTTATTAAAACTCATTTATTGTGTTACTATTAAATGTGGTAAAAACACTAAAAGTATATGTATTGGTTCTTTATTAATTAATTTTTGAAAACTCATTATTCATGATCATGGCATGAAATATATTCTCTGTTTTTTTTTTCTTTATTTCTCACTACCACTGAGTGAAATAATAGATGACAGACATGTCTGAATGGAGTTAAAATCAGTGGAAGAGAGTCAGGATATTTTGCTTCATGCAAAAACTTGGAGTGAAGTCTTAATGATAACTGGGAAATGTTGTTTTTCTTTCTCTTTATATAACTGTATTGCACTTATCCATCATGTTTCATTGTACTAATCTATCCTTTGAGTTATATCAATTGACCTTCCATGCTGGGCTTCATTTTGGAATTCTCACCACATATATAAATAATCCCGCATTATTAGTGTGCTCTTCTACATTGAAATACACAAGGTGATCAGAACAATGCTGGATTTATTGAATTTTTTTTAAAAAAGTAACTAAATATTGACTCCTACCTCAAAACACACACAGTCACTTCCAAATAGATTCAAGTCCTGAAGGTAAGGGAAACATGACACAATATTCTCATAAGGATTTCTTAACCAGGACAAAAATTAACAATTAAAAAAATTAGTTGGTTTATATTAATGATGACTTCTGTGTTTCAAAAAACATGATACAAGAATTGAAATGCAAACCATTAGTGGAGAAAGATATTCACCCGAACATATATAAAATAAAATACAATTCATGTGCATGATGAATACTTAAAATGTATTTTAAGTATTTTTCCAGATTATTCCAGAGTGGCCTAGAATAAACTTGGATGACAGAGTCAATGATGAGATTAGCTGTGGAAATGGGAAACCATTTTTTGGAGGACAGTAGTAATGCTGTGAACTTATGAAAACAACCAAGTATTCAGTAGCAACTAAAATGTGTCTCCATAAGATTATTTTACAGATGCGTATCTGAAATCTGAAATTTGGGAGAACATTCTACTAGTGTTCTCTAGTGAGAAAATACAGCTGGAAGGAAGAAGGGAGGGAAGCTGAAGGAGAGAGAAACAGAATGCATTTGAGAGAAAATGCTATTTAGACTAAAATAGAATACTGCAGATACCATGACAAAGTGGTTAAAGTGTGTCTTATGGAGCAGAAATGGCAAAAAAATACCACAGTAAAGAGATTTACAACTGGATTGTTAGTTCTGGCTTTTATCCTGTCAATGTTGTGGCTTCTAAACACATCAGTGCTCTCCTTTGATCCATGTGTTAATTAACAACCAACACTCTGCCCCCTCTCCCAGATTCTTTCATCATTTTAAACCTAATCTAATTCTAATCCAGCTGGTCATTGTAACAAATGTAATCATCTAAGAATTTAAAAAAGATTTTTGATGAACTACTGAATATACCTCATTCTCAACAAAAATACTGTTTGAGAGGAAAAGTCGATGGTATTTGCAACCATTTAAGTGCATCCACACATGCAGACATATATATTTATATGTATATATTTATGTATCTGAGTTAATTGCATTAATTAGAGTGGCTACCTGGATTAGGATTACACTGGGCTTTGCTGATGAAAGAATTCGGAATGTTGTTTGGTTACCCTGTAATACCTATATGAATATATTAACCCTGTAATGTTACTACTGCCAAAGCTCCCTTAGATGTAATCAAGGATGATTGTATAGGGATGTATATTGTTGCACTCTTTCCAATCATGAAAGAGGGAAAAATAAATGTACTATAATGTGGAAATTGTTTAGAAAATTAGAATGCATTTTACTAAACCCTGTAAAAACCAACACCATCTATATGTGTTAATATATTGATACTAACAGATTTTCTTTTATCTCTTACATGACTATAATTCCTATTTTTCACTAGTATTTTTATTATGGACAGTCACAGTATTTTATTATGGATGGATATAGAAACAAAAATAATTCCCTCTACAGAGGGTATAAAAATTATATATCATCATATATATTATATATATTATGTATTTTTTATTATAGGTAAATATTTATATATTTATATTATATATAAAATATATAATATGCAAATATTTATATATTTGTATTTTATATAATATATATTATATATATAAAAATTATATATATATATAATATAGGGACTCGATTAGTTTCTGCTAGTGTGAAGACAAGTCATATCATGTCTAGGGGCCATGATGATAGGAGCAGTCAGAGGATTTCTTGCATTGTGATGAGTGCATATAAGTTAAACGAGCCACTTATCAGTAGAATTGATAGCAGGATAACGGCTAGGGTTACTTCATATGAAATTGTTTGGGCTACAGTTTGTAATGCGCCAAATAGTGCATAATTTGAATTTAATTGCTCTTCCTGATCATAGAATAGATGGCTAGGCTTGATACGGTTAGTAAAAATAGGAGGCCTATATCAAAATTAATTAGAGGATCTGGTATAGGGATGGGGGTTCACAATAGGAGAGCGAAAGAAAGGGCCAGGGTTGGAGCAATAATATAAAGGTTAATAGTAGATGTTGAGGGCCATAGGGGTTCTTTGCTGAAAAGTGTTATTGTGTCAGTGAAAGGTTGAAGCAGTCCCGAAGGGCTTACAATGTTAGGCCCTTTGTGTAGTTGTATGTAGCCTGAGTTTTTGTTAAATGAGTGATTTAAAATCAATAATGATAATAATGATAATTATTATTGAATAGTTATATTAATGACATTAAATTATTAATATTAATTATTAATAATGACTGATATTAACAATTGATACTGATCTTATAAATTAGAAAACAATAATATTAGGTACCAATAATTAATATTAATGTTAATAATATGAAAACTTTTTATTAGCAATTATTTCTCAATATTGATATTGGTAATTAATATTAATGTTAATAATAAATAAGTAATAATTAATAATAATATTACTCCTAATACCGCAGTGCATGTACATCCACCTATGATTTTGTTCCTAATATCCAGGGAGGGAGAGAGCATGGTATTACTTTCCATATTGCAGTAGGTGTACACCCACCCTGTGATATTGATCCAAATATCCAGGGGGGTGGAGTATGACGCTACTCCCAATATAGCAGTGGGTGTACATCCACCCGGTGATATTGCTCCTAATATTCACGGAAGAAGAGAATGATATTACTCCCAGTATCGCAGGGAGTGTACACCCGTTCTGTGATATTGTTCCTAATATCCGGAGGGGGAGAGGGTGATATTACTCCCAATGTCGCAGGCTATGCACACCCACCCTGTGATATTGTTGCTAATAATATCCAGGAAGGGAGAGGATGCTATGATTCCCCATACAGCAGCAGCTGAACACACATTCTGGGATATTATTCCTAATATCCATGGAGGGTAGAGGCTGATATTACTCCCAATATCGCAGGGGGTGTACATCCATTCTGTGATACTGTTTTTAATATTCAAAGGCGGAGAAGTTGATATTACTCCCAATATCACAGAAAGTGTACAAACGCGTGTGATATTCTTCCTACTTCCAGAAGAAGAGAAGATATTACTCCCCATATCGCAGGAGGTGTACACCCACTCTGTGATATTTTTCCTAATATGCAGGGCATGAGAGGATAATATTATTGTTAATAGCGCAGGATGTGTACAGCCCCCCTGTGATATTGTCCTTAATATTCCAAGGCGAAGAGGATATTACTGCCAATATCGCAGAAAGTGTACACCACCCCAGTGATATTGTTCCCATGATCCAGGAGAGAAGAGGATGGTATTACTTTCAGTATCGCATGGGGTGGACACGCCCCCAGTGACACTGTTTTGAATTTCAACGTGGGAGAGGATGGTATTACTCCCAATATCACAGGGGGTATAAACACTTCTTTGATATTGTTCCTAATATTCCGGGGTGGAGAGGATGTTATCACTCCCTATATTGCAGAGGGTTTACACCAATCTGTGATATTGTTCATAATTTCTAGAGGGGGGGATGATATTACTCACAATATCGTAAACACGCTGTGTGTCCACCGTGGGTCATGATATCCAGGGATGGAGAGGAGGGTGATATTACTCCCCATATCGCAGGGGGTGTCCACCCCGCCTGTCACACTGTTTCTTATGTGCAAGGGGGAGAGGATGATATTACTACCAATATCAAAGACGTGTACAGCCCCCCTTGTGATATTGTTCCTAATATCCACGTTGGGAGAGGATGATATTACTCCCAATATCACAGAGGGTGTACACCCCGCCTGTGATATTATTCCTACTATCCAGAATAAGAGAGAATGGTATTACTCGCAATAGTGCCGGGGTGTACACCCCCCTTGTGATATTGTTCCTAATATCCAGAGGGGGAGAGCATGATATTAATAACTCCCAATATCGCTATGGGTGTACACCCACCCTGTGATATTGCTCCTAATATCCAGGGGGTAGAGTATGACATTACTCCCAATGTAACGGTGGGTGTACATCCACCCAGGGATATTGCTCCTAATATTCATGGAAGGAGAAAATGATACTACTCCCAATATCATAGGGAGTGTACGCCTCTTCTGTGATATTGTTCCTAATATCCGGAGGGCGAGAGGATGATATTACAGCAATATCGCAGGCTGTGTACACCCACCCTGTGATATTGTCCCTAATATCCAGGAAAAGAGAGGATACGACTCCCCATAGAGCAGGAGATGTAAACCCACCCTGAGATATTGTTCCTAATATCCATGGAGGGAAAGAGCCCGATATTACTCCCAAAATCTCAGGGGCTGTACATCCCCCCTGTGACATTTCTCTTAATATTCAAAGGCGGAGAGGATGATATTACTCTCAATCTTGAAGAAAGTGTACACTCCCGAGTGATATTGTTCCTAATATCCAGAAGGGGAGAAGATGATATTACTACTCATATCGCAGAAGGTGCACACCCACTCTGTGATATTTTTCCTAATATGCAGGTTGGGGAGAGGATAATATTGCCAGTATCGCAGAGAGTGTACACCCACCCTGTGACATTGCCCTAAATATTCAAAGAGGGAGAGGATGACATTACTCCCAATATTGCAGAAAGCGTACGCTTCCCATTGATATTGGTCCCATGATCCAGGAGAAAAGAGGATGATATTACTTTCAATATCACAGGGTGTGTACACGCCCCCAGTGATATTGTTCCTAATTTCAGCGTGGGAGAGGATGATACTACACCAAATGCCGCTGGGGGTAGAAACACTCCTGTGATATTGTTGTTAATATCCAGGGGCAAGTGGATGCCATTACCGCAAATAGTGCAGAGGATGTACACCCGTCTATGACATAGTTGGTAATCTCCAGAGGCGGAGAAGATATTACTCACAATAACGTAAACACGCTGTGTGTCCACCGTGGATCGTAATATCCTGGGGGGATAGGCGGGGTGATATTACTCCACTACTAGGATTTTACCTCTACTGCCACTCTTTGTTAACACCCTGGGACAGTATTTTCCATATTCTAGGAGGATGTCACTACCAAAATCACAGGGGGTGTATACCCTGCTATATTATTCATAATATTGTAGGGGAATGTTCATCCTGATGTCACAGGACTGTACACACTGTGATATTATTCACAATACCCTAGTGGGACACTAATAATAATGTCACAGTGTGTGTACACCTTGTGGTATTATTCGTAATATCCTAAGGGGAGGTTACCTTTATTGTCCCACGCGGTGTGTTCCCTTTGATATTATTTGTAATGTCCTAGAGGGATGTTACTCCTTGTGTCACAGGGTTTGTCCACCTTATCAAATTACTTGTATTAACCTTATAAGATGTTACTCCCTATATCACAGGGGGTGTACACTCTGTGATATTATCTTAATATTCTAGGGAAATGTTACTTTTAATGTTGCAGAGGGTGTATACCTTGTGAAATTATTCGTTATAGTTTTGTGGGATGTTACCCCTAATGTCACACGGGGTGTACACACAGTGTAATATTCTATGGAAATCTTACTCGTAAATCACAGGTCCTGTACACCCTTTAATATTCTTCATAATATTCTAGGAAAACGTTACTGTGAATGTCACAGGGCATATACACCCTGTCACAAAATTCGTAATATCCTAGGGGGAGTTCACTAGTAATTTCACAATGCATGTACGCCCTTTGATATTATTCGTATTATCCGAAAGAGATATTACTACTGCTGTCCCAATGCATGTACATTCTCTGATATTATACGTTATATCCTCGGGGGATGTTACTTCTAATGTCACACGGGGTGTACTCCCTGTGTTATTTGTCATAATATCCTAGGGGAATTTTACTTTTAATGACACACGGGGTGTACACATTGTGATACTATTCGTAGTATTCTAGAAAGATATTACTCCTCAGGTCACAGGGGATGTACACCCTGTGATATTATTCGTACTATCCTAGGGGACGTTACTCCAAATGTCGCAGAAGGTGTAAACGCTGTGATATTACTGGAAATGTGTCAGGGAAAGGTACTCGTAATGTCTAAGGGCATGTACATCATGTGTGCACAGCCCCTGTGATGTTCCTTGTGATATTCTCGAGGGATGTTAATCCAAATATTACATATGCTGTTAACTATGTGTGAACACCTTTGTGGTATTATTCCTAATATACTAAAAGGATGTAACTCCTAACATCACATGGGGTATATGCCATGTATGTACACATTTTGCGATATTATTCATAATATCTTAGGGAGATGCTCGTAATTTTACAATTATTCACGTAATACTTTAGCGGGATGATACTCCTAAAGTCACAGGAGGTGTAAACCCTGCGATATTATTCAGAATATTCCAGGGGGATGTTACTCCTAATGTCACAGGTGTGTATACCCTGTGATATTATTCACACTTTACTCGTGCGATATTACTACTAATGTCACAATGTGTGTACACCTTCTGATATTATTCGTAATATCCTGGGAGGATGTTACTCCTAACGTCACAAGGGTGTACACACTGTGTTATTATTAGTAATATTCCTGGGGGATTTTAATTTTAAAATCACATGGGGTGTCAACCCTGTGATCTCATTC
The DNA here is from genome assembly GCF_000001405.40 of Homo sapiens. NCBI lineage: Eukaryota > Metazoa > Chordata > Mammalia > Primates > Hominidae > Homo > Homo sapiens. Next base: position 281,576 of record NW_019805495.1, read on the forward strand.
GTAATATCCAAGGAAGATGTTACTCCTAATGTCACATGGGGTCTACACCCTGGGATATTATTGGGAATATCTTAAAATGATGTTATCTTAATGTCAGAGGGTGTGTACACCTATTGATACTATTTGTAATATCCTAAGGAGATATTACTTTAAAAATCACAGTGGATGTACATCATGTGTGTAGACCCTGTAATATTATTCACAATATCCCAGGGAGGTATAACTTTTAATATCACAGCAGATGTTCTCTATGTGTGTACACCCTGTGGTACTGTTCATAATAGGCTATTCAGCAAGGCTCCCGCGCCCACCTTCCAGCCCCAGAGGCCGGCGCGGAAGGGCAGCACCAAGGACAGTGGCCACCTGCGGATACCCAAGTGGCCTTACAAGGTGGCCACGGAGGAGAAACCGGAGGCTGAGGAGGCCGAGAAGAAGCGCCAGGCCAAGGTGCAGGAGAAGCACCCGGCGCCGTGGAAGAAGAGGACGTGAGAATCCGCAGGTTCTTGACACGGGGTTCGAGGGCAGGGTGAGGCCGCGGGGCTGAGCACCATGGCCGCTACCGGGACCACCAGGCCGTGCGCGTTTCCACGCTGTCTTTCTAGGATGCTCCCAGGAAGGGGCTGGGGGAGCCACATCGATTCGCCTGACACCAGCCACCCTAGCAATCAGTACACCTAGCGGGCATGTTGCCTAAAAGGCTCCCTTTAGAGAACCTCAATTAAGATGTTTTTAAAGATCAATTTATTAGGCCGGGCGCGGTGGCTCACGCCTGTGATCCCGGCACTTTGGGAGGCCGAGGCGGGCGGATCACCTGAGGTTGGGAGTCTGAGAGTAGCTTGACCAACATGGAGAAACCCCGTCTCTACTAAAAATACAAAATTAGCCGAGCATGGTGGCACATGCCTGTAATCCCATCTACTCAGGAGGCTGAGGCAGGAGAATCGCTGGAACCCAGGAGGCAGAGGTGGCAGGGAGCCAAGATCGCGCCATCGCACTCCGGCCTGGGCAACAAGAGCCAAACTCCGTCTCAATCAAAAAAACCTCAATTTATTAAAGGGTATTTTCTGTGTGATTTTGTATTTTTAATTGTTATCCAATTTGCCAAGTTTTACAAGTGATAGGGCCCCTTGTATCCAAGGCAGTTTTAATACACTTGCCTGAAGACCTTGTATTTAAAATACTGTTTCTAGCAATAAATGTGTATGATATCTTTAGGAGTTTACACAGAAATCATGGGATTCTCTCCTTTTTGGCTGTTTGTTTTGGTCTTTTCTTCTCATTGTGGGTGCACATGCACACTGGATGTTTTTATTAATTAGATTAAGTGATGCCGGATATTTCTGTTTGATGGAGGGATTGACTCATTCAGCCACATGATCAAGTGAGAAAGAGATATCATATTTTATTATATCTTTTTAAAAAGTATTATCCATACACTCATATATTGGGGAAAAACAGTTATCATCAAATTATAAAACAATGCCGAGATAAGCATGCATGTATTGCTAGAATTAAACTCTTTTTATTCAAGGAGTTTTAGATAAACTGGATAGACTTTAATATCCAGATAGACCATCTTTAACATATTAAAAATAGATATGAGGGAAAAGTGTCATTTGATAAAATGGGAGAAAAGTAATAGATGATTATCAGAAATACAAATTAAGCCATATATGCTCTTAAGTTAATCGAATCCAGACATCCTTCAAATGTAAAAAAAGGATGCAACAAGAGTAAGGAGCCCAGAATGATGCAAGTTAAAGGAATAGGGGGGAGGTGATGTTTAGAACAAGCAAAGAGAATGCAGTGGGAAGCAAACTTATTTTAGGCAAATTCTCCTGGAGTGGACCAGACAGCCCTCTCTTGCAGACTCAGTTCCAAAGAGTCCCTTATGTGGGTATTTCTTTTATTTTTCCTTTGAGGACTGCACTTGATGTTTAGTTCAACCTCATGCGGACCTCATGGAATTTCCAAGACGTGGGGCCTTGGCATTGTGGCACCTTCCTGCCACGTGTACATAATTCACAGCATTACCAAGTCACCACGAGCTCCACGCTCACCTCTGTCAGCCCAGGACCCAGCCAGACAGTGTCACATGGTCTCCCAGGCATGCCTTTCCAAGCCGGCTATCCCTGCTGCGAAAGTTCTGAAGGCACTGGTCTGGGGAGCTGAGCCCTGGGCTTGTCCTAAAGCTCCATAGGTGACTGCACTGCAGCCCACATGGAGAGCTGCAGCTCTAACACAGGGATTTTGAGAGGCCTCAGTCGCCTTTAAGAGGCACTTCCAGGACACCCATCCTGAGCTCTCACAAATGGCTCCACCTTCCCAAGAATGTCTAATTGGCATTGGAACAGCCAGTGTCTGGCAGCTTCGCTCGGGCTGATGTGGCATCTGACCCTTGGTGGGTTACTAGACATTCCTTCCTGTTTCCACCATGGGAAGTTGACAACTGGGAATGGTATGGAGCACCCACTTCTACACTAAGCCTTGGGTGTCTGCTGCTTCCAGGTCAAAAATGGATATTTCTGGTCCTGACCAGCCACTACCACACTGTAACCGATGCTCATAGTCTCCAGGGATGTGTAGAACAGCAATGGTAGGACAGAAAACAACTGGCAATTTCCCCAGGTCCCACGCTGTTCCAGAGTGGGCATGTTGGGTCCCTGTTCCCAATGTGTTTCAGCCTTACCCAGGTGCACAGGGTACCATGGGGCCAGCACAGGGCTTGTCAAGTAATGCTCCTGGTGTCCACAAAACAGCTCCAGAGATACCTGCATTTTGAAAAGCCTGCCAAGCCAACAAGTATGGGTCAAGACCCAGATTGCTTTGGCAAATCTGAAGGTGAGCTGGCCACTTGCCTGGTGAGTAGAAGCTGCCTTTACCTGGCCAGTGTATGCAGCTTGAGAGAAAATGACAACTTCACGGGGGGGTTCTGGTGGGACTGGGAAGCCTGACCTCCCCCGGAGCTTTGGTATGGCCCCAGTGGAAAGACTGGATTTTGAAAACCCACCAGACCCAACTGAAAGAAGGGTCATCCCTGATGGGATCCTGGACTCTCCCTGGTCTCTCTGGAGTCACTCTAGATGTGGCTTGCCTGTGGGCAACCCTTCCCTTTGGCCCATGAGGCAGGTCCAGGTAGCTTCTGCAGCGGTGTGCCTGGCTACTGGCCCAGCACTTCTCATTTTTGCCATGTGGAATCAGATTTGCTAGTAGAGGAATTTTCCAAGTCAAAGGAAGTGTCACCAAACCTCTTTCCTTGACCTATGGTGAGCCCAGGCTCTTGGTTTCTTATTCTCTTTGGAGTGGGCAGCAGAGGGGACAAGCAGACCTCCAGCCAGGCTCAGGGAGTGTGGGAGGACAGGGAGAAAAGTCTAGATGATGGGGAACTGGAGCCACCTTGAGGGGGGTGTCCTGGGGTCAGTGTCGGGGTGATCAGATGAGCCAGTTTATATTTAAGCAACATTATTATGTTCAATTATTTTGGGTAACGGATTCCTCGGGGGAGGTGTGGTCATCTGGTCCCAGAGGTGGAGTGAAATGCCCACTCATCTTCCTGAGCCATTTGGAAGCCCTTTCTTCTAGCCCTAGGTACTGGTGACACAGGCTCCTCGGTCTCAGGAGGTGCACAGTGCTGGCGGGGTGGGGGGGATGCAGGCTTCTTGTCACTTACCCACTCAGCACTATTGGGCATCAGGCATTCACAGGTCTCACAGTGGCCTCTCTAAAAACCTGGTGTCCTAGGATAACATTTATTATTTTTGTCTATTTTTGTTTCTTTGAACTTCTGCATTCACTCACTGAGGGCTCGCCCTCCCTGCACCCCTCATGTTGTTCAGGAAGGAGGGGACTGATGAGCATGGACCCCCTTCTCCTCTTCTGTCAGTTGCCACCACACCTTCCCCACTGGCTTTATTACCACTTTCTCCCACCCCTGTTGCCTCATCTCCTCCTCCTCATTTACCCTTCCTTCCTTTGCCTGTTTTCTTCTCCCAGTTGGTTAAGTTCTTTATCATCCCTGGCACCACCTACCCTGAGTTCTACCAAGAACAGAAAAGCAGGGGCCTCTGTGAGGCAATGTGGTGTTATCATGGTGGGACCTCCATGACCCCAGAGTGAGTGATCAGCAGGCCTGCCAGCATCCATGCTAATGGCTAAGAATTCCTACACCACCGTGCCCCTCCCACCCCCTCCTCTTTGCTCAGAAGGGAGACCAGGTTTGCTCTCTTACAATGACAGCCCAGCCCCTGCTGTGCACAGGGATGGGGCTCAGGGTCCCTCCCTGCACCCTGATGTTAATTAACTGTAAATAGTGAATTTCAAGTTGACAGCTACCTTCTCAGGGTTTTATATATAAATATAGTTAAAGGAAAAGCTCAAGACTATTTTACTACTTTTTAGTGTTTGTGAAAATTAAGCTTAAACTGGACAGAATAAATATTTCTCAGACAATGGCGATGCTACTGATTACAAGTGAGATAGGTGGAGCTCGCCCCTTGGGGAGAATTTTTTAGGGGGTTGGAGATTGGGGACTCTGGCAGCAGAAATGGCTTTGTGGTGGGTGTGAAGTCACTTCTGTCCCTCGGAGTGCCTATGGTGGGTGTGAAGTCACTTCTGTCCCTCGGAGAGCCTCTTGCGGATGTGAAAGCATGTATCAACACCAGTGAAATCCACCTCCATGTGCATGGTGGCGGCTGATGAGAACACAAATAAGCCAGTCCTGGCACTTCCCTCCAGAACCGGTCACTCCTGGTCTGACATTGGAGCATGTGAATTAAGAGTGACAATTTTTTCTACTTGCTTCTGCGAATAAAGTATTCTACAGTCAGCCAGCACTAAACTCACTAGAAAGGAGGAGGGAAGAGCGTGGAGTCAATCATCTAGAATTACCTCAGTGTGCAGAGGCTGTCCCTTGGCTGCACTTGGGAAAAGCAGTGTGAAACATCCTGTGCCTCTTTCTTCTGGAGCTCCTCCTGACAGTCTCCTGGCAAAACTAGAGGCCTCAAGGCTATGGAGATCAGAATTTCAATAGCTTTGTCATCTCAGCATTGACCACTCCTGAGACCTGAGACTCCTCCTGGGAGCAGGAGACAGGGAGTTCGTGATGTTCGTTGGAAAGTAGGATTTATGAATGCAGGAGGGCCGCGCTGGACTCCTCTGTCTGCTTCTCTCCCTGCTGTCAGCACTGACCAGGTCTCCGGTGTGGAGGCGAGTCTGTTGTGGGTGAAACAGAAGCCCCTGGGGTAAGGCCAGACCCCAGGCCTGAAAAGGATGCAAAGCCTGCTGTTTCAGGCTGTCAGGAAGAATCGTGGTTACAAAGTGAATATGATGAAATGCATCCCAGAGAGGAAATGAATGTGCCGTCACTAAGAAGTGGGTCTGGCTGCCAGGTCTCTGGCAGTCCACCGGCAAGAGCACTACATCCCCTGCAGCCCTGCCATCCACACTACATGATGTGGGGAGGCTGTCTCTTCACTCTTACCCTGGGGACCCAAACCTGCTTTGAGGAGTGAGTCACAGCCCTGATGTGTGCCTTGCATTACTCTTTCCCCAGGTGTGCCTGGAGACTCAAGCTTGCTCATTTCTGTCCTGACACATCTCGCTGGTCCTGTGGTGGTCAGAGTCCTCCTGTTCTGTGTCAGCTCCTAGATATCATTAGTCTTTCACGTGATAAAGTATGAGCACTTTTCTCTTTTACAGTATTTGGGGAAATTCTAACACACTCCCCAGGGATTTGCACAGGTCCCTCTGGCTCCCATGGTGGGTAATTGTATGGATTCTGCACCTGGCAGTCAGCACTCCCCCTTGGAAGCCCCTGGGGTCCCTGTTTCTGTGGGCCTGGTCCTTGGTTTCTACCCCAGTACCTTTTTGCTGGAACCTGCCTAGAACTGCCTGGAGGGCCATGGTCTAGGGAACAACAGGTGGAACCCTGACCACAACAGATCCTTCTGAAACAACAAAGTCACCTTGATGACGATGACTGCAATGGGGTGAATGCCATCGCAGCGGGCATGCTGGGAGCCACCAAGGGCTTCCCGCAAAAGAAGTTCTTCCCAAGGCACCCTTTGCATCTTCCCCTCCTCACCTCTCAGTGCATTTGGAACTTGCTTATGCGTTGGAATGACTTAAATCAACTCCTCGTTTCAGTGCCCCTGCACTCACATGTTCCTTCATTAACATTTTAAATAAGTGGCTAAAAAAACTCCTCTGGAGGTTGTTTTTGAAAGCAGGAAAAAGAAAAACACAAGCTACCTGAAATGATTTTACTAATTTTTGAGTGACTCAGTTGAAAGTCAGTGTTGCATACACAATTTCCTCATGCTGAGCCAGCTTGAAATAAGACTTGATAAGAGGCACGGCCCTCAGTAGCAGGTGGTGCCACTGTGGACAGTGTAGACTGTAGTGTGAGGGTATGCGCAGGTGAGTGTAAGTGTGTTTACTCATACACACGGATAAACTGAAAGGACACCGGGCTTCGTGCTGGCAAAGTTATGATGCTGCTGTAGCTTGTTATGGGCCCCGGGCAGTGTCAGATGGGAAATGCTTTGGTGGCATGTTGTTCAATATATATAATGGAGTGTCCCATGGCCCAAGGACCCACTATGAGCACACCACCCACAGTGGTGGAGAACACGGCTGGAGTCATCACAGCCCAGGTCTTTATTGAAAGGCAGTGTTGACCCAGAAGGCTCGCGTAGAACCCATTTGGCCAGGTGTTGTCCATCTCTCTCCATCTGACCTGCCTTGGCTGCACAGAGGGACCCAGACCCAAAAGGCCCAGACTCAAGAGGAAACCGAATGACGTTTACCATTGCACCAGCTTTCATTTATTTTTTTCCATATGATCATAAGAACTGTATTACTAAGTATGTTTATAAATGCTATTTACAGTCTGTTCCCTTTTATTAGATGAAAGATTAATAAAGAACAAAAAATTGGCTGTAGTAAACCATGCATGAGGCCAAGAGTGGTGGCTCATGCCTGTAATCCCAGCACTTTGGGAGGCCACGACAGGCAGATCACCTGAGGTCACGAGTTCAAGACCAGCCTGGACAACATGGAGAAACCCCAGCTCTACAAAATACAAAAATAAAAATAAAAATAAAAATAAAATAATTAGCTGGGAATGATGGTGGGTGCCTGTTATTCCAGCTACTTGGGTGGCTGAGACAGGAGAATTGCTTGAACCTGGGAGGTGGAGGTTGCAATGAACCGAGATTGTACCATTGCCCTCTAGCGTTGATGAAAGAGAGAGAGAGGGAGGGAGAGCAAGAGAGAGAGAGAGAGGGAGGAGAGAGGGTGTGCATAGAGGGAGAGAGAGAGAGAAAGAAAGAAAGACAGAAAGCAAGCAAGCAAACAAGCCAGCCAGCCAGCCATGCCTGAAGGGCAGTGTGTGGTCATCACTTCAACAGGTTGACACTCACCTGGAAGTCATGAAATCTGTCCATTAGTCCAGTGATGGGTTGAGCACTGAGCTCTGAGCTCACACACTGGGGCATGTGCCGCTGCTCTGACTCACTCCTTTAAAGAGGAAAATACAATTCAGCTTTCTAATACCAAATATTTCATCACAGGATTGAAAAACAAATAATCATTCAAGGGAAATTCATCTTTGGAACCCTTTCCTGATGTAGCAGTCCCAAATCATAGGGATTACGAACTTGAGCCACTGAGCCTAGACTGACTGATGTATCCTACCAATAAGCTATATACATAAACTCATGTCTTCCCACTTCTCAGAACCATGAAATCAATCATTCCTCCCTTTCTTTCATTTATTTTTATTGTTTCCTAACAATACTAGAAGCCAAATTCATTCTTTTCTTAAACCACTTTTATTCATTAAATGACTTCCTAAAACACACGAAGAAAGGTTATGATTCATCATTTCTTCAATATACACCCTTTGATGTCGGACAACCTACCTGAGAGTCATTGGAATTTATGGTGATTCACAGATAATTTTTTGCAGTATTAAGTTTTTAAATTAGTCTTTAGTACTAAACCTCCCTACTCCATAGCCTGACCACTCTCTCTGAGCAGTAGTCAATGCTGCATTGTACCCTCAGGATTGGAAGCCATGAGAAAAAACCTTCCTCAAATCCTAACCAAGATGATTTCCACTCAAGTGGTAAGTGGATACATTTGTAGCATGTCTGTCTGAGGCTGAATCCGAGAGAAAAAGCCTAATACTTACAATCCACTGGTTGGTTTTCCTGCTCTCCTCATTTAGCTTTCTTTGGTTTTCTTGAATTTTTTCCCAAAAAGATCTCATTTGCTTCATTATCGTCTCCTATAAAAGAACTATGAATTTGAACATCAGAGAAACAAATGGCTTTGGGTGTCAGACACCCACTGATAAAGAAATCAAGAGATGAGATATGAAAGAGATTTGGGAAGATCTCAGACTGTAGAACCACAACATGGAATGCAACCAGTACAATAAGAAAATCATAAGCAGGGCTAATTTACAGATAATGTGGCATCTTGCATCAGAATTGGAATCTACTGACACCAAACCTTGCTAATTCTAGCATATTTTATTCTATTATTTCCAGTGTTGGTAAATAGGTTTCTTATATAGAAGGCTTTTGAACTTGTAGTTTAGATAGCCAGAAACTCTCTCTGATATTGAGCTCTTTACGTGCCTTGAACATTAAGCTAAGTAGTCAAATTATTATAATGATTATTAACTTCCATCACTCCCTCAGTGAAATGCAAGTTCCAGGAAGGAAGGTATTCTCACAGATTCCATTTAAATTTCTATCATTGATACCTAGGCACTACATGATATCCAGTACAGAACAGAATAATCCTCATGCTCTTCATCTTCCCCCTAATCTCTTTACCTGTGCCATCCTCCAGCTTTCAAAGTGCTCTGAGAGCCATCACTTACCCAGTGTTCCTTAGTTGCCCCTCACAGTGTCTGGGAGCCCAGTGTTCCCGAGTGTTCCAGAACAGCAAATGAAGCAGGCTCTTATCCACCGCTCCAATATCTTTTTTTCTCCCTGTGGATCCCACACATTTGTTCATTAGAGCTCAGGAATTGCCAGAGACTGGCTTTTATGGCAATGAACACTGGAATCTCCAGAAGAATATTAGTTTTGACGTCCTCCTGCTGTGACAGTTCCCCGCATGTGGGCAGCCGGTAGGAATTTTGGCTTCTTCCCAGGAAAGGCAGAGACAGGAAAGGCCTACAGAAGCTGGGGCCGCAGCCTGTGGTGATGGGGTCTATGAGTTAGTTCAGACAGAAGAGGCAGATGGGTTCTTTCTGGAAGGCTTGTGTGATGTCTGAGACCATTTTCCTGAAGGAAGGAAATTAGGAAACATATGATTAAAACTTCATCTTATGCCTTGGAGAAACAAAGACCAAAGCAAAATTTGACTCAGGTTGTGACTCAGTGATAAACTTCTGTCCAGAGTAGAACAGGCTTTATTTTGTATAAGACAAAAATAGAACCTAAGGCACAAAGAGAGCTCTTGGATCTGTAGGTAAAATTGTTGGGTTCATGCACAACTCACAGGGCACTACATCTTCTTCCTACCATTTTCTTTTGCATAGAAAAATGAACCTCAGAGAGGCCATATGTGATGGCTCACACCTGTAATCCCAGCACTTTGGGATGCCAGGGCTGGTAGATCTGGCTGGAGGCCAGCCTGGCCAATATGGGGAACCCTGTCTCTACTAAAAACACAAAAGTCAGCCAGGAGTGGTGGCACATACCTGTAATCCAAGAAACTTAGGAGACTGGGCAGGAGAATTGCGTGAACCCTGAAGTTGCGGTCAGCTGAGATTGAGCCACTGCTCTTCAGCCTGGGCAAGAAAGCAAGAAGAAAGGAAGAATGAAAGAGTGAGAGAACGAGAGAGAGAGAGAGAAAGAGAGAGAAATAAGGAGGAAGGAAACAAAGAAAAGAAAAGAAAAGAAAAGAAGAGAAAAGCAAAGAAAAGAAACCTCAGTTTTTTTGAGTTTTGATTTTACTCCAAAAACTTCAGGTTTCAGAGTATGAGATTAGGACCAATTTATACCATTAGATGATGGGTCCTGAATGCTCTGTAAACCATTCTTAATGCTCATTGTGATTGGATTAGAAAAGATTGATTCCGTAAAAAGAAAAAACGTGATTGTTTGAGGAAATGGTATTTAACTGCAATTTTACTCTCATTGTTTCATTTAGATGTCATAATTTTCTCCTTTAAAGTATTTTGAAAATTCTCAATCACAATCCACCACTGCAAAATGATTTCTAAATAACCATTATTTATTTACTGAACATTGTGAGATTTGATCAGTTTTCACCCAGAAATGCTGAAGAGACATTTAGTATACTCTAAAACAATATTATCCTCAAATTATTCAACATATTACCTAAGTTGTATATTATAGAATATTCTGTCTTGTGCATATATTTATGTGCCAACTTTAGAACAGAGGGTATTACATTTATGTACAACATATAAAATAAAATATTCTCAATAAAATTTAGGATATACAACAAGTATGAAATTGCAAGATATCTGAAAACTATTTTCTGTGTTCTTAGAATACATAGGAACAAGTAAGGAATACATAAATGATACAAGTAAAATTAATCTTCACTGTGTTTCACAAGTATGTAGGAAGACAGGATGACAAAATCAGAGTAAAAACGTTTTTACTAAGTAAGCAAATGACATCACTTATAGAAACAAGTTCAGTTTATTGAAAAATTAAACATAGTGCAGTCTGTTTTGGATTGGAAAAGTAGCAGGAACTCCTCCTCTGTTAGTTGTGTTCTCACCCAGAAATATACTTATGGTCTCACTGAATCTTGCTGTAGAAGTAGTACTATAAAGTCTGGTCAGGGATCAGGGCCTCATCATATAGTGGTAGTAGCTTTCAGACATCTTCACAGCCAGTTCAAAAGCCACTCTGTGTGTCCCAGAAAAGAATGAGCTTGGCTACTTGTACCTCTTTATATTGAATCTCTGAAAAATCACACCCATTTCAAACAGGTTGTCCATTTCTTGGAGTTTGGGATAGCCATTAGGGTTTTTGATTAGGTTTCACCAGAAGAGAGGAAATGATGGATTCAACACCTTGGCTAATCTCCCTAAACAAACTTTAAACTTCCTTTTATCAAGAACCACTGAGTTTACAACAAATGAACCCTCAAATACCAAACTTGTAGATAATTTTTGGAGTTCTTTAATATTTTACTCATCAAAAGATGAGAAAGAGGATACCATCAATTTATGATTTTAAGAAATGTCTTCAAAAGTCTGGAATAGTTTTTCTCCCTTTTCTTTTTGCTTTATTTTTTTCTGTTTTTGGAAATGTTTTGCCTGAAGTTGGCTTTAATTCTAATAGTCACTGAACTAGACTGGAAATGCACTCTGCTGTTGCCTTTGAAGCTTGATTTCAGGTTTTAATGTATTACTGTCAATTTATATATATATAATATCTTTTATATATTATATTTTTATACATATATAATATATTATATATATTATATATTATATGTATTTTATATATATTATGTGTATATACACACACACACACACATATATATTTATATATATATTCTGGTTCTGTAGCCTAGGCTGGAGTGTGGTGGTGCAATCACAGCTCACAGCAGCCTTAAACTGCTAGGCTCAAGTGATTCTTTAGCCTCATTTTCTCACAGAGCCAAAATTACAGACATGAGCCACTGCACCCAGCCTATTAATTTATGTTGTCAATAAAAGCATAAGAATTATCTTTATTACAAATTAAGAAACAGAATATCTTTAAGGAAATATTATATCTTTTAGGAAAAATAAAATCTTCAGTAGTTATAGACTGCTATGAAAACTGCTGTTACCAATAGCAATTTTGTGTACGTCTATATGACAGATACACATGTAAATATATATAATACATACATGAATTTTTTCACATTTGGCAATCATTTAAGAAATTCTTTTATCATATAAATTCTAATTTATATTGGTAAAAGTGAAATAAGTAAAATTTGCTGTTTAGTGAAAACTGTTTAGCAAGTGAAATGAAGCTGCAGAAAGTGTGAATTGGATAATAGATATAAAGATATGTCATGAAGGCTTCACAGATGGACAAACAGAGGTAAACTAGGAGAGTGATAGTGACATAAGGAGGATGAGAGTATCATGTATGTCCTTTATAAACAGCATAATGTGTGATTGACTGTAGCACACAGTAGAGCTAAGTAGAGAAGATGAGGAGAGTACATATTCAAGGGTATAATGTTTGATAATTTTTTCAGAGTAAGCAAATGAATGGAATTCAGGAAGCCAAACAATCCCCATTTTGGATGTATAAAACATAAATTTACTTTGTTTTGAATGTGTAAAACAATATATTTTGGCTGATATTTAGTATTTCTCTGTCTTTGTTGGCTGATTCATTATAATGTGTTTAAGCTTGAAACCACCACCAAAGATGAAGAATCTCTTAAAAGCAGCCAGAATAAACTGTTTCATTTTGAGGGAACACTTAATAGAATGACAACAGACTTCTACATAATCATAAATGTAAGTATAAGACAGTGGACTAATATTTGTAAAGTGTCAAAAAATGTGACTGGCAATACAGAGATGAATATGGATTGGAAATATCTTTTACATAAGAGGATAAAAGGAAGATCTTGTCACATAAATATAATAAAAAAAAGAGGCTTTATACCCTACTAAGGACTTCTAGAACAGTACCCATGAGATCTACTTGAAAGATAATTCTAACACCTCTGCCACATTTGAATCTGGCTTTATTAATTACTTTTTCTCTTAACACTGTGTCCTTTATGTATCTTTTCTGTTTCTGTATATGTCTGGTAAGTTTTACTCAAAAAGTGAACTATGTAGAGTAGACTAATATAGAAAGCAAAACCGGCATGTGTTCCCTTTTTCTAGCCTGTATGTGTGTGTTTTGAGGGAGAAGGTTGAATCAATCTAGTCAGGAGTTGATTTGGTTTTGAGACTTGTTCTTCTTAGAGTTGATTCCAGTGCACCATAGGTTTCCTGCTTATCTAGCATTACTTTGTTTTTCGGATTGGACTGGTTCAGCAGCTTTCCTCAGTATCTGCTGTATCCTCAACTTTAAGTTTCCCTCCAAATTCCGCTCAGTCCCCCAGAACGCACTGCTTTGACCTGTTACTCAACAATTTTTTGCCTAGTTGGGGTGGTGATGAGGATGGAGATGCATTCTCTGAGATTCTGATGAAGCTCAGTCACAGGTTGACACTGTTTCTGGGTCTTCATGGTTGGAACCTTCTTAATGATCCTGTCCAACCTTCAGATGTAGGTCTAAATCCTCCACATATTTTTTTCCTCTTTTTTCTTTTCCCCTTTCCAAAGTTCAATTAGTTTTACCAGCATCTCAAGGGCGATGGCATTCCATATATTTCCCTTTGTACTTTTAGGTTTTGTTACACAGGGGAGACGGGGAGGTAAATACAGGTCTTAAAATGTGATATTCTCTGAATCTCTTCACAGACTGTAAAACAAATGTATGTGGCACATATACACCGTGGAATACTATGTAGCCATAAAAAGGATGAGTTCATGTCCTTTGTAGGGACATGGATGAAGCTGCAAACCATCATTCTCAGCAAACTAACATAACAACAGAAAACCAAACACCGTATGTTCTCACTCATAAGTGGGAGTTGAACAATGAGAACACATGTACACAGGGAGGAGAACACCACACACTGGGGCCTGTCTGGGGTGGGGGTCCAGGGGAGGGATATCACTGGGATAACTACCTAATGTAGATGACGGGTTGATGGGTGCAGTAAACCACCATGGTGTATGTATACCTATGTAACAAACCTGAACGTTCTGCACATGTACCCCAGAACTTAAAGTATGATAATAAAAAAAGGTTTATGTCTTAATGTTGATGTTAAATTATCATAAAGTATATACATATGCATTTGAAAAATTAGGCAAAACAACAAATTCATTTATTTCAAACTTCTTATTTTATACATGAAAATACCATGTATATATATGTGTGTGTGTGTGTATATATATATATATATATATATATATATATATATATATATATATATAATTCTCTTCTGCATGAAAAATGCTTATAGTTTCTCTCATTGATTTCAATGCTTCCTGTATCTTATCCTGGTTAATTTTCAAGTTTCCTAACCATTACCTTCCAAAACATTATTCAATATTCTAACTTCTAGCATGAGTTAATGGAGTTCACAATTTATCTAAATAAAACACTGTAATATAACATTTGTGTGTTTCAATTCTTTTCTTAAACTTCTCTTTGAGATTCATTAATTTGTTGCATTTCGGTGTTATCTCTGTTTTGTAAAATTATTTTGTACAATGAGATCACAATTTATTTAGCAATTCTACTGTTGATGAATATTTATTTTGTCTCCAATTTGGAGCTACTATAAAAATTGCTGCAACGATCAACATTGTGTTTATCTTGAAATACACATAGGCAGGCTGTGGAATATATTTTAGAATGAGAATATGTAGCCCATAAGGAATGCTCATAGTCAGTTTGCCAAAAAGTATTTCAGTTTGTATCCCTCCAGCCATGAATAAGTTTCATCATTGATTCTTTATCTTTCACAACACACAATATTATGTGTTTTTACATTTTGCTACTTTTTATGGAGGCCTGTGGTTCAACTTATGGATTAATTTTTATTATTCTGAGGACTAATACAAGTAATCCCTTTTTCATATTTGTCCAGATATTTATGCCTCCAATTTTATGAAGTGCCTGTTCAAATATTTTCCCAATTTTATATTGGTTTCATTTTCTTTTATTTATTACCTTCATTAATCACATGTATTATATTTTATTGCATATATGTTGGGATAAATATTTTTCTCCACTCTTGGTTTGCATTTTAATTCTTGGATGGTATATTTTGAAACACAGAAGTCATCATTTTTGATATAAAGTAACTACATTTTTCTTCTTAATTGTTCCTTTTTTGTCCTGGTTAGGAAATCTTTCTGTGTGAGAATATTTTATTGTGTTCCCTTCACCTTCAGAACATGAATCCATGTGGAAATGCACTGTGTATGGTTTGAGGTAGGGGTCAGTATTCAGTTTTGTCCATTTGAATATTAAATTGATCCAGCATTGTCCTGATCCCCTTGTAAATTTCACTGTAGGACATCACTCTGATCATGCACGAGTATTTTGAATATAAGATGAGATTTACAAAGATAAGCACAGCATAAGAGGTCAAATAAGATTACCTCAAAGGATAGTTTCATAAATAAAACACATCAAGAAGTATAATATTGTTAGATGAAGAGAAAGAAAATATTTCCAGGTTACCACTGAGTCTTTTTACTCCAAATTTTTCATGAATCCCAAGATCTCTACTTTCTTCCATTGATTTTAACTTCATTTAGACAACTCTTTCCTCTATTATTTTACTTTGTGACATTCAGAAATAATTAAAAACCAGAGAATATATTCTATGCCATAAATCATGGGTGATGATTTTCCAAAAATGATTTAAAAAGGAACCAATACACATGGTTGCAGTGTTTTCACCATATTTAATAGAAACACTATAAATGAGTTTTGATGACATTAGAATGCAACTAAAGACATTAAATATAACTTATTTATCCTGTTTGATGAGGTGCGAAAAAAAGGCTTTCTTAGCTAAACAGGTTCCCAGAGCATATAGACCCATTTCTGACTTTTCTCTGGTCAGAAGTGACTACAGCAAAAGATAGGCCTGAGAGGAGGTGAGAAGGAGCAATTAGGGATGATGTATATCAGGAAACTTTGATCAACATCAACAAAGCTCATGATTCTACCTTCACAATCCAGGAATAATCCTACTGTGCTGGTAGGTTTTGGAACATATTGCACCACAAGTGGGGTGGTGGTAAAGAGACTGCAGTGAGTGTCCTCCTTAACACATCCAAGAAGAAAGAGTCCCTCCTCTCCATCTATCTTGTCATTCTGTCTCTTCTCTTTCCAATAATTGTTACAGACACCAAAAGCCCAATTCCAAGAATCCCCCACGTGCACCTCCCAATAATATTTGCCAGATGTGAAAGCCTGAGTCCCCCATACAAGAAAACATTCAGATTTTGCAGTGATATCGGGATCATCTTGAGGGTCACATCCAACATTCATGCTTCTCAAATCTCCATACAGGAAGATATGACTATTAGCTCTTTCAAGCCGCAGAGTAAAATCAACTGCAAAAATAATTTTTTAAAAATATAGATACATGTAATTAATAGAAATTAGAATTCTTGAGGGAAAAGTTGTTCTACCAAGAGTTTACTTTACCAAGAAATTGGAAGTTACAAGGACAGGAGAATTGTGGCTACAACATTTAATAAAGTATAAGGATGCTTATTATTCTCTATAGGAAGAACAAAACCCTAAAAACAGACATTGAAAACTTAAAAATTGAGAGTGGAATATAAGACCAGCCTGCTTTAATCCAATCTCCAATGTAACAGTGAAATACTTTATGCCCTGAATGCCCTTTAGCTATCAAGGTCATTATTATTAAAATATTTCTTGTTCTTAAATACTAGGGATATAATTTTGGCAAAAGGGGAAGATTTTAGCTTACTCAAGCACCACTCTAGATAACTGGATAAAAGTCCATATGTTCAAATTACAAGTGATAACTTAAGGCCGATTTATGCAAAATCTTTTACCAGTCACTTTGCGGACATCACTGCTAGCTCTAGACCGGTACCGAATTTTACATTTCACACGTAGCTCTTCGTGTTGTAACTAAACTGAAATTTCCATTTTTACTTCCTATTTACATAATAATTTCTTCTTTCTTTTTACCTGTTAAGTCAAAATTTTACATTACATCAATAATATATATTTATTGTAAGAAAGTACAAATACTCCAACAAACTGCAGTGAACTCTATCCCCCAATGAAATGTGTTTAACAATTCAAAGGAAATACAGTAAAGAAATGTAAAATTTTTATGTAGCCTTGGATTATTATGCTTCCTTCTGAGCATTGTTCCATTTATTCAATTTTTTATTTCTTATGTCATTCCATTTACCCAATATAAGTCTATCCATGTGAGCCCAGAACATATTTGTTTTTCACTATGTTTTACTCTTCAGGTTATAAATTGGACTATAAAAAGAAACAGATATAAAAGGATTGCATCATCATATGGTTCACTTCCTGCTGAAATGAAATAAAGATTTGATGAAGGGTAAAATATTACCCCCATGATTCTAACAAGAAGTAATACACTGTGGGAATTCTGCCGACGGGCTGACACTTACCTCTGAATCCACTGAGCCTGTCCAGAAGTCCAGTGATGGGCCCTGCACTGAGCTCTGGATTCACAGGCTCAGACACTTGCAGCAGCAGGGACTCATACCTGCAAGGAGAAAGATACAGCTACCACATCTACAGCCAAAAAAAATACATAAAAATCACCATTTTCATTTAAAAGACATTTCATGAGAAGCCCTTTAACCCACACATTTGCTAATTCCAAAATTATCATTTTCTTTTTCAAATTCATTCTTATTCACAGTTCCTGATTTTCAAGCACGATGGTAAAGTCTCTCTGACTGAGAATTCATTCGGATCTTTCTTTGTATTGCTCCAAATTAGTAAGGATCATTAGTCTTAAGACTGGGAGAATATTCAAAAATGAAATTCTGGGTTCCAGACCTCACCAGAAATTCCTGAAATCACTGTCTGGAAAAGTGGGGTTATTTTTAAGACTGCTGCATCTGTTGCTTCCTTCTCAAGGCCAGGGTGTTGAAACGTGCTCCAGGCAGGGAGATCTGCCTTTTATAATTGAGGTTCTCTGGAGGCCCACATGATTCAAACATTCCGAATAGTTTGTTTCATCTATTTTTCAGAATTATATATTGAAATATAAACTAGAAATCATCAACAATTTTTGCTGCTAAAATACTTTCCCCTTTTCTCTCTGGCTTCCCCTGGTTGACTTTGTAGCCATGTAGTAAATGTGATATTTTCTCTTTCAAATATGAAGGCTTTTGAGCAATAAAAAGGAAACTAGGAATAGAGATGCTCACTTCCTTTATTTTCTTTCATTGATTTATTTTTTTTCTCTTTCTTATTTATTTATTTATTTATTTTTGGTTTTGCACAACTTTCATTGAGCTGCTTAATAAAATCACTGAGTATGGCAACAAAATAGATGACTACATGGGGTGGGGGATGGAGAAAGTACAACCAGCACAAGGTAGTATCAATATCTGAATCAATTTTACCTTCAATATCAAAGTTCCTGCTTGATATTTGTGGAAACTAAAAGCATCTGCAAAAATCTTGGTATGCACTCACCTTTGTAATATGTTTCCAAAAGACTGTAAAAAAAAAAAAATAGGCTTAGTGCTTTCCATAAGACGCACCTTCAACTAAGTTCATTGTGAGATACGGAGACAGTTTCTGAAGATATTATTTTCCTACAATGTTCCCTCCTGGAAAGCATTTTCTGTTTCTTTTCTCATGAAAATCCCAGTCTATCATATGTCACGAATTAATGTCCTGATAAAGTCTAAGTCTTGCAGACATTCTCTTTACAAGTGAAGGGAGAGGAGGCCCACAGAGTCCATGCTCTGCTGTAACCATAAAGAAGCTACTCAGTCATCTACCCTAAGCCCTGTTACCAAAATGAGTGGACCACAAAATAATATTAGTGTGATCCTAGATTCCCCAACTTCTCCATCATGCCATGTCTCCAAATTAGCCTAAATGCCAATGAATCACTTCTCATTTTATCCACGTTCAAAAATCCTAAATAAATCACTGACTTTTGATGGGAAATATTTCTTGGGGCTGTCTGTTACCTTGGCCATTCCGCAAAGTGTTGTTGCTGGTGGATAAAGTAAGAGGGACGTTCGGTCTGGTAGAATTACTAGGAGAGGCTATACCCTCCCAACCAAGTAGCTATTAGCTATCGAATCGTGTTTTTGGAAACAAATCATGGAAGTAAAGGGGGAGACGGATTTCAGGAGAGAGGAAAAACATCCATGCACGTGAATCTTCAACATCATGATACCCCACGGTCAGTCCGTACCTGGAGTAGCTCCACATCTGCTTTATGGCACATTTGCTTCAGATCCTCATACATTCCTCTTAAAAGCTCCCTGGAATGTTCCATTCTGGCTTTGCTTTCATTGAGTTGCTGAAAAATATCCTCGCCCTCCTTTCGCAGCCTCTCCAAGTGATGTTGCTCTTCTTCACGGAGAAATGCAAGCATCTTCTGATATTCAGCTCTGATTGCTTCTATCCTTAAACTCACATAATCCTGCAGTGACAATTAGTCAAAATAGAAATGTTTTATCCACCTTCTCTTGAATTTCACTGATTCCTCTTAGCATTCTGAACACCCAATATTTTAATCCTCAATCTTGTCAATTCTCAGATTCCACAAAATTTTATTCCTTTCCTTTTTTTCTGTACTAATATCACATAGTTGTTTCTGCCCAGTTACATTTACTTGATTAATGATAAAATGTTTTCTAAGATAGTTATATAAAAATGGATTTCTCTCTTCCACACCACATTTATAGAAAGAAAACACAGTTCTTGCTTAAGAATCAAACTATTAGTTATATTGACTAGGTAAGAAACCATTATTTCTATTTTGGAGAATTGGGGCAAGTTATGTAAAACCATTATATGACAAATGATGACATGACCCAGACTAGCATTGTCAACTCAATGCATTTCACCCAGCATCACATATTCTAATAAGGTTTCATTTATCCTCTTCCAAACTCACCCTAATCGGCAACATGGGCTTCTTGGTGGTTCCTCAAACCCCCAAATAAATGCAAATTAAATATTACTGCACATGCTGTTTTCTATGCCTAGAATTATTTTCATATATATATAAATACATGTTTCTCATATATGTACTCATATATATATTTCTCAAATATAGGTATATATGGATATATGAGGAATATATACGTGTATCTGTGTGTGTATATATATATTCCTCAAATATATCCATATATATGTATATATACCAACACCCAGGTACACATATATATTCATATATTTATGAGGAAGAGAAAGGCAAACAGGAGGATATATATATTTCCTCCTGATCAAGATTTTGTTTCAGTGTGAATTTTTCCATGAGCCTTTTTTCTAACCACCCTATTTAAAACTCAAACCCTCATCCCCAGTCCCTGGCCTCTGTGCTCCTTTTCTACTTTCCTGCTTGATTATTCTCCAAAGACACTACTACACTCTAACACATCATGTACTTCACATATCTGCATGGTGACCATTTGCTTTTCTCATTTCCATTGCAAGATTTGTGTGTTTTCTTTCTTCTTTACTCCTTAACTTTCTAAGTTGATATTTGACATAGACTAGGTACTCATAAAATATCTTTCAATGAATTAATATTAGAGTAAATTAATGAATTAATATTAGATATCATACCCTCAATATAAACATCCACAAAGAGAAAATCATTTCTAGAATTCTTCTCAAGTCCTTAGAGTTCTCCTTATATTAAATACTAGTTCCCATATTTCTCAGATATTTCTGTCTTCATCAAGACACAAGTCTACATTTCTTGCCACTTTTCCCATTATGTGTTATGACTTATTCAATTTTAATTAGTGCTGATATTTAATTTCATGCTTTCCCTAAGGTTGCACTCTTGCTCCTTCTGCCTAAAATTTAGCTCACATTTCAATATGCTTGCCCACCAGGATTCAAATTCATACTGACTCAGCCTTAGAAGGGTCACCTGAAATTTCCATGACTGACAAATAACTCTTGTGTCCAGAATTTATCCAGGCAGCCCATTGGGAAGCATGTGAAATGGCTCAGTTTCTTGTATTTGTTGGGGGTATTGCTATAGGTTTGTATGGAAACAGATGAGCATGCTTGGGTAACATCTGTGGTCTGATTAGAAATCCTACCAAAGAGTCACACTAACTTATATAAAAAATTAGGGTGTGTTTTTCTCAAGTGTTTTTTCCTTGTTTATTGAATTCCAGAAACATTGTGGGTTGAGATCAAGTTTCTATTTTAAGAGTCACCCATTTGTTCGCTATAAGTTCCCAGAAAAGGTGGAGTAATACGGTACTAAACTTCCAGCATCTGGTTCTGGTGGTTTCCATGTTCTGGTTTCTGAGATTTTCACAAGCTTTTTCCCATAAGCACTGCATTTTTTTTTAGGAGCTCCTCCTGCAAAACAGCCATGAACTGAAGCACAAGTGAGGACAATAAAGTATCATTCACACTCTGATATACGAAGGACCCAAAATGAGAGACAAATTAGCCCACAGAAAAGAGAGTTTGCTTTGTTTCTCCTCATGTTTGTCAAATCTGAGAGGTGTGAAGTCAAGGAAGCTCATAACGGACATGCTTAAAGGGACACAGAGATGGCATCATCCAATCTCCAAGGAAAGAGACTTACAAGAATTTCATGTGTCCTGTATAGAAATAGATCTTCAGAGGCATCGCTTACCCGGTATTCCTCAGCAGCCAACTCAATGGGACAGTGTCTGTGATCTCGGTGCTCCTGAGAGTTGGAGCACAGAAAACAGAGCAGGCTCTTGTCCACTTCACAGAACACCTTCTTTTTGTGTCTGTGCATCCCACATATTTGCTCCTCAGAGCTAAGGAATTGCCGGAGGCTGGCTTTTCTGGCAATGGAAGCCATGTTCTTCAAACAAATGTCAGTGTTGAGGTTTCTCTGCCGTGTTGTCTTCTTGCATTTAGAGCACTGGGCAGGAACTGCCATGTCTTGCCAGTTGAGGTACAAACAGGACCGGCAAAAGCTGTGCCCACAGTCTATGGTGACTGGGTCTAGGAAGTAGTTCATGTAGATGGGACAGGTGAGTGCCCTCTGGAATACTTGCGAGATTCCAGAATTCATGTTTCTGAAGAAGAAAGAGCAGCATGTCATTTTGGGGTCTGGCTTGGTGAAAATCTGTGAACATGTGGTGATATGTGATAGCTATATTTTCTTCTTGACAGTGCTCATTAAAGCAGAACAAACTATTTCCTCTGTAACAAAAATGAAAAATTCATACACAAAGAGAGTCTTTAGGCTTTTTAGCAGACACTACTGACTAGATGACACACAACCTCTTCTACTCCTAATTCCTGCCCATAACATAATGCAAATCTTTTCAAAAACCTATTCCCTGGATGTCGATATGAAAGTCGGGTTTTAATCTTAAGTGGTCTAGAATAAAACATGCTTGTCCCTATTTCTCTTTCAAATAACTACTGAATGACTATGGGAGAGGAGTAGAAAACCTACGTTGGGTAACAAAACATGGGAAGACGGTCAGAGGGCGCTGTGACATATTTTTAGAGAGAGGGACCCAGAAGCCGGCTCTTTAAAACAAAAACAACCCCAGAACAAACCAACCGACCAGATAAACAAAAAGGCAGCAATTAAACCAAGCTGGGATCACTAGGAGATAAAATAAATAATGAAAAATATTGGGTTTATTTTTCTTACGGCTTAAATTAACTTCTTCTTTGGGCTACTCAATCTATGAACTGACATATAGTCAGTTTTCTAAAAACTGAAATGTAATTATATTACAATGGTATTATGGTTAATTTTAGGTGTTGACTTGACTGGATTAAATAATACATGGAGAACTGGTAAAGCATTATTTCTGGGTGAGTCTGTGAAGGTGTTTCCAGAGAGACATGTAAGTTGGTGAGCTGAGTGGGGAACAGCAGCCCTCAATGTGGGTGGACACTATCCAATCAGCTGGTAGCTCAGACTGAATCTAAAGGGCAGAGAGAAGGCAGTTTCCTCTCTTTCTCCTGAAGCTGATTCTAACTCAGCCAGGATATTGGTATCTCCAGGACACTACCTTAATGACAGCCTATGTTCAACTTCTCAGACTCCATAATCAAGGGAACAAATTTCCCTAGTGGACTTCCTCTCCTGTAAAGTGTCATGTGTAGAGTGAGAACAGATATATGATCTGAGGGACACATTAGACAGTCTCATTATTGTTTGAACATCATAGGGTATACTTACACAAACCTCGATGGTATAGCCTACTACACACCTATGGTATACAGTATAGCATATTGTTCCTAGGCTACAAACCTGTATGGTATACGATCGGCAATTGTACCACAATTGTAAGTATTTTGGGTATATATACATATATATAGTTATGTACACATCCTATGGTTCTGTCTCTCTGGAGAACCCTGACCAATACAAACTGTAATCTTTGCCTTGGCAGTTTGAAGTCCTTTACCTTACTCTTTTTTACTAAACACTGCTGAATTTAAGTGCCAACAGTGAAAATTTAAGAATTGCAAATATTTTTCAGAAGTCATCTAAGCCATTTCAAGGAATTGTTCATAGTTTCACGTGAGGTAAGCCTCAATTAAAATGACAACTGGTATCAAGTATCAAGTTATTCCTTATGCAGTTATCTGCTAAACAATTGTGTTTTGATTTCTAAGCTAGGATATTTTGGAGAGCATTCTTATTTCTTTAGTATCACCATTTTTAACTCGTCATTGCCTCAGTAACTTTAAATCCTGTCTAAAAGCTTCAGGTTATGAAAGCACAACATTTACAGTATTCAATAATTATCCTTTTTTACTTAATTAAGTGTACCAATATTAGTACATGCAGTACACATATATATGTTTTAATGTGAATTC